>NC_000004.12:44695561-45004985 GCF_000001405.40 Homo sapiens | reverse complement strand
GCTCACTCTCCAGGCATTCCTTACATTATTTATAGAAGAATAAATTATCTGATCCCAGAACTACATCAATTCAAGTAGAAAGAGTAAGTTAGAAATTTCTATGTAAAATTATCATATTAAAAACAAGAAAAATCACAAATCAAAAGCAGATGAGCAGCATACAATAAAAAATTTATATGGTTTATATGTACTTACTAAATATTATAACTAAATTTTTAATTTAAACATGACATGAAAGAAAATAAGACACCTATAAAACTAAGAGATTAAGATATAGATTAGCAAAAATTTCCAAAACCACAGAGAAATATGAACCGTGAGCTAGTCGAGAAAAAAAAAAGTGTTTTGGTAGGGGAAGCCTTCCAAAATAAAAGTAGAAAAAAAGTTGTATAAATATCATGAGTTCACATTTGGCCTCTCCAGCATGGTGGTCTTGCTTCTTACATGGCAGCTGTCACCAAAGACAATGTTTTAAGACAAGCTGAAGCTGTGTGGTCTTTTCTAAACTGGCCTTACAAGCTACAACATCATTAATTGCATTCTGTTGGTTAGGAGCAACATACTTAGTTTGCCAAATTCAAGTAGAGAGGGCAAAGACAGCAGGTTGTCAAGGTCCACTGTAAAACAGCATGCAGAATGAAAGACATAGTTTAATCCATCGTTGGAAAATACAGCTTGCCAGAGCAAGATACGTAAGAGTTACTTAGAAATTAGTTTTTCACACATGGTGGACATTCATCAGTTATGTTTTACAGAGAGAACAAACAAGCAATGCTTAAAACAAGTCAATTAAGTAGAGATCAGCTAGGAAATCTCTAATCTGATTACTTCATTGTTTACAATAAGGAGTGAAAGTTCAATGGAAACTGTTTGAAATTAATAAATGGAGTAAAAGAGGTATAAGCATTTTCTTAAAGGTGCAAATGTCACTATCAGAAAAACTAAAAATAATATAATCTGATCATGAAGGCAAGAGAAGAAAGCTGGAAAGAAATGAAAGAACGCACATTAAAGTGTGAAGTCAATAGGTAAAGTCTAAAATGACTACATCAAGATCCAGTATTTTTCATACACTAGGCCATATGTAAAATGATTTCCCAGAATACAAAAATAAAATATTACTACATCTATCTTAGTTGTTTGTATCTGGTATATGAGAGAAATTTATTTTTTTCATGCATTTAATGTAATTACTAAGAATTTTACCTGTAAAAATACATAACAGTTTTTATTGACATGTGGAAACTGTATTTTGGATTTTATTTTATTTTTTTGCTAACAATGGTTTAAAGTTTCTTTTTGCTAATAATGGTTTAAATCTTTAAAGTTTTTGAAACTTTACCAATAAACAGTTAAAAAGTAACCACTTGAAGAAAGTAGACTATAAAGTGTCACATTATAAAAAGGAAACACACACATGAACGGAAATAGAAAAAAAGATAGAGTGAACAGTTTTTTAACGTCACAAAAAAGATGAAATGTGAAAAAATATGCATGTAGGTAGGAAATTTTTTTTGTCATATCAAGAAGGAAAGGCATTCACTTAATAAAGGGAAAAAATCTCTCAAAATGCTCAAAACAAATCTTAGGAATATCTTACCTACAGATGATCCCCCCAAAATTGAAATGAGAACCATGGATCCACCACCAAAGAAGGTTTATTTCATGTTAAATAGCAGTAAATAGATATTTTAAAGTTCAATTTACAATGTTTAAAAATATGTAAAATATGCAAAAATATGTCATAAACCTTTAGGCATAGAAAATGAAAGCATCAAAATTCATGTTATAAACTGTAATAAATACTAAATGTATAAAAATAATAATGAGACATTCAAAAACTCAAGTATTACTCGAAGTATTGCCAAAAATTTACAAAATATTGAGCATATAAAATAATTTTAAAAGTCTGCAACTATATTTATGGCATATTAGTAAAGCAAGACTCAAAAAATAATACATGGATTGAAACACCTAATTTAAAAACAGAATAAAAATAAATGAATTGAGTAACCGGTTCCAAACGTTAGAAAATATATAACTACGTAAGCCGAAGGAACACAGAATGAAAGAATTGGTAAAGCAGAAACAAGGAAGTAATAATTTTTAAAGTAATAAATAAACAAAAGTTCTGTTTTTGCATAAGAAAAATCAACACAATAATAAAATTAAACTACAAGAGTAAATGAACCTCACCAAAACGAACCAACCAAAGGAAAAAAAGTTAAAATTCATAAACTTTAAAAGTGGGGGAAAATTACAGGTAGAATTCAATGTAAAAAATCCTATTCAATTTACCAACATTATGAAATAAATCTGAATAATGATTTAAAATTGCTATTTTCTAGAATAATACAAACTACCTAAGCATAATTGACAACAAATAGAAACTCTCAAGTTTCTGTTCTAAAGAATTTAGACATTTGAAAATTGAGAATGATAGCTGCCCCTTAAGCAAGCTCTAGGCTCTGATGGTTATAAAAGTTCTCCCTGGTTGGGAGGCTGAGGTGGGCGGATCACCTGAGGTCAAGAGTTCAAGATCAGCCTGGCCAACATGGCGAAACCTCGTCTCTACTAAAAATACGAAAAAAAATTAGCTGGGCATGGTGGCACGTGCCTGTAGTCCCAGCTGCTTGGGGAGGCTGAGGCAGGAGAATCGCTTGAACCCAGGAGGCAGAGGTTGCAGTGATCCAAGATCACACCCCTGCACTCCAGCCTGGGTGACAGAGGCTCCATCTAAAAAACAAAAAAAGTTCTCCCCGGAGCTTTCAAAGAAAAGAAAACATCAAATCTGTCCAAATTGATCCAGGTAATAGAGATAAGTATGTCTACCAATTGATTATGAGGACAGCATAATACTGACCCCAAACTGGCAAAGGTTACACATTAAAAAATAAATCAAACTAATCTCATGAACAGAACTCAAAAGTTAAATATGCAAGCAAATAAATTAAGAAATAGAAAAAAATCTGTAATGGATTTGAGCAAATTGAAATCAGTAGTAAATAAAATAGTTAAACAAATTATTCAATATTAGGAATTTGTAATAGAATCTTGATATGGTTTGGCTGTGTCACCATTCAAATCTCAACTTCAATTGTATCTCCCAGAATTCCCACATGTTGTAGGAGGGACCCAGGACGAGGTGATTAAATCATGGGGGCTGGTCTTTCCTGTGCTATTCTGATGTGATAGTGAATAAGTCTCATGAGATCTGATGGGTTTATCAGGGGTTTCCACTTTGCTTCTTCCTCTTTCTCTCTTGCTGCCACCATGTAAGAAGCGCCTTTCGCCCACTGCCATGATTATGAGATCTCCCCAGCCATGTGGAACTGTAAGTCAAATTAAACCTCCTTTTCTTCCCAGTCTCGGGTATGCCTTTATCAACAGCATAAAAACAGACTAATACAAATGTGTAATATTAATGACTATGAAAACTTTACAGTCACCTCCATAGTTGTCAAGAAGGCTAAGTACACATCACTAAAGAGCTGATTACATAAGTTATGCCAGTGCTATGTGAAAGAAATATCTGCTGCTTTTAGAAAGATTAAGCTAAGGTTATAGGTATTCTGAAATTTTGCTTCATTTACCATTAACTGGGTTGAGGAGGGGAAGCTTGTTGCAAAAGAGCATGTATAATTCCCATGAATATAAAATATAAAATACTAAACCTTAATAACCATTCTTGCAATAAAGAAATAATATCTTAACATGGAAAATAAAACTATCTAAAAATAAAATAATTCTGTGTGAAATAGATTATTACTAAGTCAAAATCTGTGGGAAAAATTTTTAAATAAAAACAAAAATAGTTTTTTAAATAAAGGATGAACTCCTCCAAGGCACTTAGAAAAGGCCAAAACAATTCAATTTGAAATAAAAAGGAACCTACATAGGAGTTCTCAGGAAAAAACAAACAAACAAATATCGTTTATAACTCAAGATATGGAAAAACAAAAAAATTGGAGTATCAGAGGTCAAGTTCTTGATAGCAAACAATGTTAGTGAAGGTATAAAATATTTAGTGAGAACATAATCTGGTACAGGCTATTCAAAAAGCAATTGAGAGAGAATATTAAAATTAAATGCAGATGTACTTTTGAAATTTAATTCCTGGTAACATATTTTCCAGAGGAACCCACACACGTATGCTTATTACTAGAATTCTCTACCTAAGGAAACCTTTGTGATTGCTCAAACACTTGATTCACCATTTCTTGCTAGTAATTGTTCCCTTCTCCCTTACTTAGCCTTATTAGGCACTCATCTCTCTGTATCACATTTACTTATTCTCTCACCATCTTTACTTCTAATTCATAAATTACTTTAGGGCAGGAATCATTTCTAAATAATGGTATATCCAATGATCTCTTATAATATCTGGCAAAAATTAAGTGCCTAACAAACTCATGTTGGAAAAATACTGAACAAGAACAAGGTAAGATACAACAAGTCATCAAGCTGCTAGTTATAAAATATTATGTGAATCACTTTTAATATTAAAAAATATCTTTTCCAAGTTTGCATGGTTGTTAAAAAAGATTTTAAAAATTCTCATATTCCTATATATAGGCTCTATTTTAGAGAAAATAATGCGTAGATTCTGTATTTGACTTCTGCATTTCTTAATTTCTTCCCTTGTCTTTTTTTTCACATCACAGGTGAGAAAACAGCTCTCACAATGCTAGAAAGTGTTGTGTTTATCATTCACAGATATAATGATAACACTGGAAACAACACTCTCCTTCCTTCTTCCCCCTAGTTGTTTTGTGGTGTTTTGTTTTTAATAGATGCTTTTTCTCAAAGTTTACCCATTTCCTTTACATTGTGTAACATTACTGTCTGTTTTCTAAAAAGCAAGGAAGAAGTCATTTAAGTAAGAAACTAAAATATATGTTGCAGAGGGCTGTCCTCCTCTGTGGCAGGGTTAAAGAGATGAGCAGAACGTGATCATTAAAGGACAGAGGAAGCAGATCTAAGGCATCAGTTCTTAGAATGTGGTAAGAATGAGGCACTTGGGTGAACCCAATAATGACATTGAGCAATAGGGCTTTGGAGAACAGATATAAATATGTAAGTTTGGAGACCTGCATAAATTGTAGAAAGTTAATGGGAAAGTAAAAATATCTGAATTAGTGTCAATGATAATTACTAGGATGGAAAATCAGGAAGACCTGTATTGACAATAATTGGTATTAATAATCATACATATCTGATTTATAAAAAGTTACTTCTCTGGAAAAAAAAAAACGTACTCTCTGCCATTCTCATCAAAGATACTCTAGGGCTAACTCACTGTGAAAGACTCAAAATTTGCATGATGTAATTGTCCTCTTTATCCTTATAGTAACCTCAGCTAAAACTAGTTCTTTTTGGCTGTAAAATTTAGGTTATTTGTTTTGTCAGTGTTCAACATAAAATGTATTGTTAGTTCTCTAGTATACCTTGAAATACCAAAATTTAAGGCAAGGTACTTAAACAAGACAGCATCTGAAGTCCCTCTTTCCATTTTATTGTTGTTGTTTTTAGGTACACTGCCATAGCTTTGGGAACAAAAAAATAGCTATTAAAATATTTTAGTTGTATAATGTTTATGAATGTGGGTCTCTCTGAATCAAGCTTAGAATAAAGTCTAATTGTCTTAGGTAAACAGTATCTTGTGCCAGTTAACTCTCCCCAAAAATTCTCATTCTTGTGTTAAATTTCTCATGGCTCAAAGGGTCCTGGTTACAAAAAAGGAGTAGCAGGTCCCAGCATCCCTAACGAATGTTCATGCAACCAAGTTGAAGTAACGTTTTGAGTCTAACCGTGGAAGCCTTCATGATTCCCTCAGCTTGACTGAACTTTACACAGAGTTCTTCCTGACTACAGAGCCCTGACAAAACTTTTCTTAGAATATTTATTTTAGAAAACTTGCAATCATAAATTATTTTTCTGCCCTTTGAAATGTATGTAAATCTTCTCCCAGCTTCTTGCCAGTATTAAGGCTCAGGAATGTCCTTCTCAGTGACCCAAGACCTATCTCTTTGAAATATAAACATTGTAGGGAATAGCACCCTTACCTCCCAGTCTCCTTGGGAGAGCAGGAGACTAACTTCCATGGGTCCCAACTAGCAAACACAAATGGCCTAATCACAGAAAATAAAAATGCAAGCTCAGAATAACCAATTGTGCTGGACACATTCCAGTGATTAATCTCCTCCCTAAAGCCCTCCAGTACTTTTCCATGTGTTCACTCCAATGTTTAAAAACCTTCTCACCTTTTGCTTAAGTGGAGTTGATTTCAATCTCTCTCTTTTTGCAATCATCTTGAATAAAGTCTTCTTCACCTGTTTAACTTTGTCCAGTGGAATTTTATTTTACAAGCCCAAGATGAGCATAGTCTAGGCAGAGGAATGCATTTACCTATTTGAACATGGCTTTGTAAAGGATATAGTTTTTGCCAAATGTTGATTATATATCAAACTTGTTTTACATTTTCAAAAAATAGAAAGTTTCAGTCTGTAATCTCAGCATTTTGGGAGGACAAAGGAGGAGAATTACATGAGGCCAGAAGTTCAAGACCAGCTTGGGCAAGATAGTGAGACCCCCCCAACCTCTACAAAAATTTTTTTAAAATATGGCCCGGCGCGATGGCTCACGCCTATCATCCCAGTGCTTTGGGAGGCCGAGGCAGGTGGATCACCTGAGGTCAGGAGTTCGAAGCCAGCTTGGTCAACATGGTGAAACCCTGTCTCTACTAAAAATACAAAATTAGCTGGGCATGGTGGCACATGCCTGTAATCCCAGCTACTTGGGAGGCTGAGGCAGGAGAATTGCTTGATCCCAGGAGGCGGAGGTTGCAGTGAGCTGAGATTGTGTCACTGCACTCCAGCCTGGGCAACAAGAGTGAAACTCCATCTCAAGAAAAAAAAAAAAAATTAGCAGCCAGGCATGGTGGCACACTCCTGTAGTCCCAGTTATTTGGGAGGCTGAGGCAGGAGGATCACTTGAGCCTAGCAGTTTGAGGCTGCAGCGAGCTATGATCATGCTACTGCACTCTAGCCTGGGCAACAGAATGAGATTCTGTCAAAAAAAAAAAAAAAGTTTCTAAACTATTTGCTTATACAAAATCTGTGATAACTAGAACGAATGACATGACTCTATAGCTGGTATACCTGGAAAAACTGCAAAATAAAAGAGATGTAGCAACATGCTATGAAAACATGGACAATGGAAATTGTGTCTATTCAATACATTTCTGAAAATTAGTAGTAAAAATATCAGTGAACACTAGAAAGATGCTTTATAAGTTTGGACTTGTAAAAAAGATCATGATACTTGAAAATTAGAATTTTGACAGCTTGGCATAAATTATAAAAACTAATACACTGCACCTGTTAAGAGTAGAAACACTTTTAACTATGGAAAAGTATAAGACTAGCCAAAAAAAGTATTTGAATTATGATTTTATCACTATTAATTTAAAAAGTAACAGAGCAGCCTTGACATTTAGAACAGTCTCTTTACCTATACCCGTTTGCTTCATTTAAAACCATATGATGTGAATTTTAATATACATTTGTTGTATTATTCTTCATTTTAAGAATATAAATAAATATGACATTATTAAATTTCTCCAGATTTTCATGGCATCAACAAAAGGATATACAGAAGTATGAAACAATCACTTGGTTAGTAAGTATTCTACATCTTAGCCACATTGATGGAAATGGGACTATAGCTATGGTTAAAGTACACTATTTTTCATATACTAAAGTGCTAAAATGTTTGTAATGTGTTTCATAAATTTAAATAGGAAATAATCTTTCTACCCACAAAGTACAAAAAAATCTGCCAAATAAAAGCTACAGATTTTTAAAAAATGGGAAAACATGCCATGTACATGAATAAAAAGATAATCAGTTGCATTTTTAGTATTCTTCTTTTCAAATTATGTACTGTTTTACTTTATTTTTCATGTCTTTCTTCACTAACAGACTTAACAGCTATTGCTAAGTGATACCGTTACTGGTGGTGAATCTGTACAGGTCTGCAGCAGCCTCAGTTCTTGCCTCCTTAGAAGAAAGAGTTCGGCCGAGGGGCATAAGGCACAATGCGAGATCGATGCAAATCTTAGAGCAGGAGTAAAAATTTATTAACAAGTTTAGAGCAGGAACAGAAGGAAGTAAACTACACTTGGAAGAGGCCAAGTGGGCAACTTGAGAGATCAAGTGCCTAGTTTAGCCCTTGACTTAAGGTTTTCTAAATTGGCATACTTTTGGAGTCTTGTGTCTCTTCCTGATTCTTCCCTTGGGATAGGCTGTCTGGATGTACAGTGGCCTTCTAGCACTAGGGAGGGGCTGCGTGTGCAGTGTGTTCACAGGAGTTGTAAGCATGCTCACTTGAGGCATTCTTCCCTTACTAATCAAATGTCCCTGGAAGGTTATATACCAGTAAAAGTTCACCATTTTTCATGTTAATGCACAAGCTTGAATTGAGCTGACTCACCCAACTCTTGAGATCTTATCGAGAAGCTGCTGATCAAGAGTTTCAGGTCTTTTTATCCGTTGGAAGACTGCCTTTCCCTGGTGCTGCTGGCTGCGACCAGTTTTTATTTTAGAGAGACAGTTTAATACCATGTGATCATTACTTGATGGTTGCTTGACATTTCTGGTGGTGGTGGGGTCTCTCCTACTCTGCTCATGTCTGACTAGCTACCTTCTGTAACATTCCCCCCCGCAGGAGTCTAAGACCCCAATTATTTTGGGAAAATGAACACATGTCAGTCTTCTGTAACTGCTTCCTGCTGACAGAGGGGTGGTGGTGGTTGTTCAGTAGGTCTTAGCCTCTTGCTAGCTCTCAGGGCAGGGTAGCTCCATGGGCTGGTGAAAGCAGTATCTAGCTAGGTCCAAGGGATACAGGGGCAGAATGCCACTTCTGTCGTGTCCCACTGATGGGCACTCTAGGGGTCCTCTGCAGAAGGATGGTTCTTGAATATTGAAAGCATGTATCCTTCACTGAAGATTATCTGGAGCTTGATGGCCTGAAGGTAAAAGGGGCCAAACTGGATTATTAGATTTAGAGGACATGAACCAAAAAAGAGCAAAAGTAGACCAACAAGTGGTCCTAAAAATGGAAGAACTCAGGAGAACCATTTCCAGGTTCCTTCCCAATTTAGCCAACTCAAGAGGCTTGTTCCCATAAACTGGAGGCTTGATTTAGGAGTTGTCTGATGTTGTCTTCTACTTTTCCCAATTGATTTACTCAAAAGCAATATTTTTCATGTAAGGCTAAAAAAATTCCTCCCTGTGCTGCTGTTAGGGTATCTAGTCTTCGACAATTTTGGAGGACTTCAGCTGCTAAAGAGTTGATTTTTTCTTGCTTGGTTGTTAAGGTTTTAGCCATGGCATCAGTGTTGTTGGCTATTTCCTTTGAGAGCTGGCTATAGGTTAAGGAGGGTTTTGTGATTCCAGTAATTCCACTTCTTGTATTGGCTATAATGCTGAGTCTCATGAGAAGGAGAGGGAAATTAATTGGATAGCCTTCCTGGGCAAGATGGAATGCTCATAGACTGGTACTGTAAAAGAGAGATTACCAGGGCCCATAAAGACGTCCAGGGATACATAGCCTATGGTACAAGTTCCAGTCCAGCTAGCAGGGAGGCGTTGGTGAACTAATTAGCCACAAATATAGAAGTCTCCTTGGGTTTTAAGAGAAGTAGGGATGTTAAAACAAAATAAGGGGGTGAGGGAGGTTCCAAAAAATTCCAAGACTGCTGACACACCCAGGTAGTTGGTGGCTACAGTTTTGCCTGCTAATACTTTGATGCATGAGGTTTGGCTTTGTTTAGATCCCTTGATTTTATTTTCCCAAAAAAAAGAATTTTGAGTTTCGTCTAATAGGATCCATTCTGCTGTGGAGCTGAGATTGACAATTTGCAGATATTGGTTATAAACAACAGGCTGGAACCAGAAATTTTGAGTACTGCATGAGATTGGGCATCCCTGACAAAACTGGGTGGACTTATCTAGCAAAGATCCCCAAGGAAAGGTAATATCTGGAGGTTTGGAGAATCTTGGTTGATGGTAGAATTGGCTATGGGTATATGCTTGGTATGTCTGTTGGTTAGGCTCTACAGTGAAAGTAACACTACAAACTGTACTGTTAGAACATGTACATGGAAGAGTGCCTACATTCTTTACATTTTTGCTTTTGGTTATAACACAAATAGAGGCTACTGCCATTAAATCGATGTTAGAAAAGATGGGCCCAAAAATGGGAGGCTCCCTGCAGATACCAATGAAATCTTGCTTTACTTTTGCAAGAAGACTATTTGCAGGTCCAAACATCCTTTTCAGATTAGGTCTCATTGATAGAAACTACGTAATTCCACCTGTATGCTTGTCCAGTCTCTGGGCGAGGCTGGAAAAGCTCTCTCTGGTGTTTTAGTAGAAGCAATTGGTGGGGAAGGGAATCCCGTGCTTTGGATCAATTGCCGAGTATTTTCTCATGGGAAATCAAGATGATAGCATGCTACTCATAAAGTGGTGAGTATGAGAACCAGCAGGAGCAGACCACAGCGACCTATGGTGATTGTAAAAGAGAGAAATTGTTCACAAAGCAAGCTGCTGCTGAAACTTCTGGTGGTGTACAGGTTAGGGTTAAAATAATGATAACAATCAGAGCAATTGCAAGTAAAATTCCTGACATTGGGATCACCTTACTTTGAGGTGAATAAGCATTACTTATCTTTTCACTTAAAGAGGAATTTCAGATCTTCCAGTGCCTTGCAAGTATATTCAGGAGCTGTGGGTGTTTCTTCTGGCTCTGGTGTGTGGGGTCCTTTCCACAGCTTCCCTTGGGTATGATATATCCAGCAGGCAATCTCCGGTACTGTAATGGCTATGGGAGGAGATAATAGAATAGTGAAGGGGCCCTTCCAGAGTGGAGTTAGTTGGGAATTCAGGGTTGCATTCTTTCAGGCTTTAATCAGAACTGGTGAGCTTAGAGGATGCAGAGGTGGGGATTTTTCCCCTTCTGATTTTAGGTTTCCTCCATATTCCTGGAGAGCCTGTTGGAACCCTGCTAAAGAAGAGACATACTAGGTGATTTTGGCAGTTTCTTCATCTGGTAATAAGTCTTAATATAGGAATGGTCTACCATATAAGGCCTCTAAAGGCCTTTATTCCAAGGGAGTGTTAGGGGCAATACAGATGCAAAGGAGAGCTAAAGGTGAAAGGTCCACACTCATGGCTATGCTGTTTCCTGGCAGAGTTTATTAAGGATGCGTTTGAGGGTTTGGTTAGTTCTCTCCACTTTTCCTGAAGATTGCAGTCTCCAGGCAGTGTGAAGGTACTACTTTATACCTAGGGAACTACTAACCTGTTGAGTTACATGGGAAATAAAGGATGGACCATTGTCATTCTGCAATGACCCAGGGAGCCCAAATCAGGGAATGAGTTCCTTTAAGAGGAATTTAGCTAATTCCCATGCCTTTTCTGTCCTTGTGAAGCAGGCTTCTACACATCCTGTGAAGACATCTACACAGACCAAAAGGTATTTTTACCTGCAGAATGTGGGGAGCTGAATGGAGTCCATCTGCCACTCCTCCCCAGGGTATGTACCTCTACTTCGGATTGAACTTACTAATGAAAGGGGATTCCATCTCTGGGGATTATTTATGGTATACAAGGTGCAGGCTTAAAAAACCTGTTGAATAGTTTTGTTTAGATTTAGTCCCTTCCACTGAACACTCATTTACAAATTTGCCTTAGACTGTCCTTTCCAAGGTGCCAGGAGTCAGGTAAACTCTTGATGACTTTCCATTGGGAGGCTTTAAGTAGATGGAGAAGTTCTCCCAACCTGTACAATTTGTTAGTTTCTTCTTTATACCCATGTAAAGTGGCCCAATCTACTTCTTCCTTAGTGTATTGGAGATGGGGAAGTTCACTGGGGAGAGAGGGGAATAAGGCCTCCATGAAGGTATCGTTTGAAATGGCTGTGTCTTTAGCTTTTTGGTCAGCTAACCTATTTCCCATGCACTTTCATCAGAGTTCTTCTGGTCTCCTTTATAGTGCACTACTGTCACTTCCTGGGGCAACTGAACAGCCTCTACTAGCTCTAATATTTGAGGCCCTTACTTAATAGGAATATCCCAAGGTGTTAGATACCCACTTTCCTTCCAGATAACCATGTGCACAGGAAGCACCAGAAAGGCGTATTTGGAATCCACACACATGGCTATTCTTCTTTTTTTGCCCTAGTTTTAGTGCTCTGGTCAGAAAAATCAGTCTGGCTAGTTGTGCTGAGGTTCCCAGGGACAGAACTTTAGCCTCTATAACTTGGTGAAGGGACACTATAGCATACCCTTCCTATCTGATTTCATTCCTATCAAAGCTACTGCAATATGACAACCATATTCTATCTGGATTATCTAGGGGCTGATCCTTTAAGTCTTACAGACTGGCATAAATTTGGTTAAGCATCTCACAATGCGCATGTTTTGAGTCATCCTTTCCTGGTAGTGGGAGTAAGGAGGTTGGGTTAAGGGTAGAACGCCACTCAACAGACTGCTCAAGTTTTCTAACAACAAGACTTAGTACTTGATCAGTCTGTTGTCAGTGAGCCACTGTGGTTCCTTTATGTCCAATGAAGGGCCTATTTTGTGGAACATCAGGAGCCAGATTGACTGTCCCATCATGATTTTGAGGGCCTTCTCAAGTGAGAGGGCTGCTACAGCCACTACCTTGAGAAAATGTAGCCACGCTTATGCTACTGGGTCTAGATTCTTTGAAAAGTAGCCTACAGGATGATTGATTGGCCAGACACTTTGAGTTAGAACTCCTAGGGCTACACCTTGCTTCTTAGTGATGAAAAGATTTGGTTAGTATGGGTGGCCCAAGGGCAGGATCTTGTGAGAGAGCAGTGTTTAGCTGCCTAAAGGCTTGCTCTTGATCCTTTTCTCACTGAAGTGGGTCCCTATCAGTCCCTTCTTTTGGAGCCTGATATAAGAACTTAACAATTCCACGATATCCCAGTGTCCAAAGTCTGCAATATCCTGTGATCCCTAGAAAAGCCCGAAATTGCTTTCAAGTGGTTGGGGTAGGTATTCTAAGGATGAACTTTATCTGTTCCGGAGAGAGCTTATGTTCTCCAGGGGTAAGGATCATTCCCAGGTATTAGACCTCTTGTGTTAGTAGCTGTTCCTTGGCTTTGGACACCTTGTACCTTCTGTCTGCAAGAAAACTTAAAGTCTGGACTAGATGTTGGATTCCTAATGTTCTTGTGGGAGAACAGACTAACAGATCATCTGCATACTATAGAAGACACCCTCTCCCCTTAAGAGTTAGAACCTGCAAATCTCTAGCCATGACTTGCCCAAACAAATGGGGACTATCTCTGTAACCTCGTGGAAGCACTGTCCAGTTGAATCTTTCCTTTTTAATTCTCTCACTCAAATGCAATAAAAGTCGGGATGATGGGTCTAAGGGGATACAAAAGAAAGCATCTTTGAGATCTAAGACTGAAAACCACTGAGCCTCTGGAGGTACTTCTCCTGGAATTACATATGCATTGGGGACCATTGGGTGTATTGAGACTGCTGCCTCATTCAAGATTTGCAGGTCCTGGACTAGCCTGTATTCTCCATTGTTCCATTGCTCTTTTTAACAGGTAAGATAGGGGTGTTACAGGGTGAGTTACAGGGTATTAATAATCCATGTTTTACAGATTTTTCAATCATGGGTGGAAGTCCCTTTTCCTCCTCTGGCTGAAGAGGAAACAGCCTTCTACAGGATAGCAGGAAGATTCTTGAGCTGAATTACTATAGGCATTGCCATTATGGCCTTTCCTGGTATTCCTGGGGGGCAGACCTCTGGATTAATGGGAAGGCCTGTGCACAGTTCATACATGTGTGTGTGTGTGTGTGTGTGTGTGTGTGTGTGTGTGTGTGGCCTAAGATTGTATTTGGAAAAGGGTGTGCTGGTCCTGGAGGAAAGGTTAACTGAGATCCTAGTCTGAACAAAATATCTCTACCCAAAAGGGACATAGGACATTCTGGCATCACTAAAAATGAGTGAGAAAAAACAGTTGCCACACACAGGCCCCACAGAAGAGGAGTAAACCTCCAGGTTATGAGTGCCCCATTTACTACCATCAGCTGAGGGAATTTGGAGAATAATTGCCCAGTAAAAGAGATAAGCACTGAGCAGGCTGCTCCTGTGTCCAAAAGAAAACTTATATTTCTACCTACCACATCCAAAGCAGCCCTTGGCTCCATCTCTTCTATAGTGAAGTTTGATCCAGGAGCCAACCAGAGCATAGGGCCTCTTCAGCTCAAGGCTATCAGGGATTAGGATTCTGTCCCAGGGTTCCTTCAGAGCTCAGGGCAGTCCTGTTTTCAGGGGACGAGCTTGTGGCAGAGGAGCCAAGCTGTTCAGGGCTTTTTCCCATCTATCTCATTGGGGCAATTGGCCTTCCAGTGGCCTGGCTTCCCACACTGACAGCAGTTGCCTGGGAAGATATTCCAAGAGCAACCTCAAGGGGCTTAGCAGACTTGTAGGGCAGCAAGTAGTTGGAACTGCTGCTTTTCCTTTTGCCTCTCCTTTTCCTGAGCCCTTTCCTCTTTCACCAGGTCCTGGTTGTAAAAGACCAAGGAAGTTAGTCTGAGGATGTCAAGCATAGGGATATCAGGGCCCAGTGTGAGCTTTTGGAGTTTCCTCTGAATATCTAGGGCTGCCTGAGTTAGGAAATGGTCCTTTAGGACCAGTTGCCTTTCTGGTGTCTCTGAGTCAATGTTGGTATGTTTCATTAGGGTCTCTTGTAGCCTCTCTAGGACAGCAATGGGTTTTCAAGATGGGCTTGGTCTATTAAGGCCAATCTATTAGAGGTCACAGGCTTTGTTATTCTAGCTTTTACTCTTCTACCAGACAGATGAACATGTGGTCCTTTGCCCATATACCCCCCTGGGTATTGTAATACCAATTGGGGTTGACCTGGGGAACTGCAGTGGATCCCACAGGGTAGCCACCAGGAACCATTATATGCATTGAATTTGCAAATTGTTGGCCCCCTCCATAATGGAGTCATATTCTTAGACGGAGTTTTCTCTATATGACTGATAAATCCTTCTAGGTGAGTTCAAATGTTAAGCCCAGTTTATGGAACCCTTTGATATATTTGTCAGGGTCCTTTATAAACTTCCCTAGTTCTGTTTTAATTTGGCTCAGGTCTTGCATAGTGAATGGAGTCTGGACTCTAGTGGGTCTACTGGGGCCACTAACCTCTTGAAGAGGGCGTAACTTAAGGGGGTGATTTCCAGAGGATGACCCTGGGTAGGGAGGGGAAGTTTCTGGGGCTGGGAGATTTGGATATAACAGGGTAGAAAGGACAGTGGGGTTTGAGCTAAACTCTGCTCTTGGTTCCTCTGGTGCTTCAGCCCTGAGTAAACTCAATAATGGATGTCCTGAACCAATTGCAGGCGGCTGCCTAATGATGGCCACTACCATTGCTGGATCAATTTTATAAGCCTGACAAAGGGCAGGGTTGTTTTTTCGGGCCATGAAGGCCTGTACATAGGGGTTCTGTCCATTTTTCTTTCTGGTAGTAAAACAAATCTAGTTGATAGATCATATTAAAATTTAGGCTTCCATTTTCCAGCCAAAATTCCTGGTCCCAAAGCTTGTATTCAAGCTTGTATTCAACACAGGCTGTGTTACAGAAAAACACTAGTCATTTACTTTTTAGGACACACCCCTCGCATGCATCCTCAATTGAGGATGCATGCGAGGGTTGTGTCCTGTGGTATGGAGCCATAATTACCCATCTGTGAAGACAGAACAGAGGAGAAAAAAAGAAAGAAAAAGGAAAAAGAAGGCATCCCCTCTTAGTTTCATATTATCTTTAATAAGGTGTCCCCATTTGTGACTTGGGTTCTGGAATGAACCTGTCTTACCATGTTCCCTTATCCTTGGTCCCATCTCATCACAACTACCCACTTGAGAAGAGATACCAAAGTGAACAGTGGGCCCTGTCCTGTTCTTCCTTCAGGTTCTGAATAAACTGGTCTTACCATATACCCCTAACCTTGCCTTCATCTCTGTTCTAATGATAATCTTTCAGCCTGGGACCGACCTTCATCTCTGTCCTATGAGTTTCTTCTGCCGGCAACCTTGGGCCAGCCTATATCCCTGTCTCCATCACCTTATAGTGACTCTTACTCGAAGCATTCCAGCCTCAAAATGATTACCTCTTTTCTTAGATTCCCATTTCCCATGGTCTTTAAGCTTCTCATCTGAGAAGCCTGTTTTTCAATTAACTGATGAAAGGGGACTAAACTTCTCTCCCTTCAAATATGACCTTGAATGTCTTGATGAATGTTGGGAAGGGCATGGTAGTAATTAGAGAAATGGAGGCTACAGGAGGAAGTGAGAGGGATACTCATGGAAAGGCTTCATATACTCACAAAACAGCAGCTCTTGGATTTGAGAGATCAATGCTTATTTGTCCTCTTGACATAGAGTAGTAACCTCCAGAAGTCTTGGGGCTTGGGATACGAAGTCGCAAATAGCAAAGGAAGAATTTTTCCCTCCTCCCAAAGGGGTGCTAACTGAAAAAAGCAAGTAAGTGGGATCTTTAAAGGGCTACAGAGTGAGGCCCTATGCAGACAGACAAACGCCTTCAAAAGCCACCAGAAAACTTGGTCCTGGGGCATAACAGGAATGAAAAGCATATGGTAAGTCATAAGTTGTCGGCAGAGCTGGAGTTCCAATTAGTGTCTGTCCTGGCAGCGTGCCAGCAGACAGGGGAAGGGTTGGAAGCCATCTGAGCTGGTAGGGTAAAAACAAGTATAAGTTCCAGGGAATATTTGCAAGTGAGTCTTTGCTGCTGCACAAATGCACCAAGAGCTGATGGCACATGAATAACATGAAGTGTGTTTAAGACGTCACGTGGCATATGAAGTGAAAGCAAAGACACAGATTGGCCCCTGAGTCAGATGGTCCAGTGGGTGCACAAGGCCCATTTTAGAATACCCACAGAGAAAACAGGAAAATAGGCTAGGCATGGTGGCTCGCACCCGTAATCCTAGCACTTTGGGAGGCTGTGGCAGGTGGATTGCCTGAGCTCAGGAGTTTGTGACCAGCTTGGGTAATGTGGTGAAAGCCTGTCTCTACTAAAATACAAAAGAAGTTAGCTGGGCATGGCGGTGTGCACCTGTAGTCCCAGCTACTTGGGAGGCTGAGGCACAAGAATTGCTTGAACTTGGGAGGCGGAGGTTACAGTGAGCCTAGATGGCACCACTGCACTCCAGCCTGGGTGACAGAGCGAGATTCTGTCAAAAAAGAAAGAAAAGAAAAGAAAAGAGGAGAGGAGAGGAGAGGAGAGGACAGGAGAATAGGTGGATAGGTGGTGTGGGTTTATGGGAAAGAGCCAACTTTAGTTGAAAAAGCAGAGGAAACCCCAGACATTTCACAATTTTAGGCTTTAGTCCTAACACTCTCAGAAGCCTCCTGCCCAGGAGGGCCATTAGTGGCTCAGTTATATTCAGTGAAGACTCCAAGGTCCTTCCCAACACCAACAACCACCCATCAGGGTGAGCTGAGATATCAGCTGGAGCAAGCAGAACCACTGTGGCCAAAAGGAGTCATCCTGGGGGTTGGTAAGCAGGAGAGTGAAAGGGGAGAAGAAAATTATTTATGGGGTTGAATGCCACCAACCAAAGATGGTAAGGCATAGAGCTGTTTTACCACTGGGGAACATATGTTACCAAACCAAACATTTGTATGGAACCTATGTAACATACCAAAGTATGTTACGGAGATTGAATCCATATGGGTCTTCAGCAACCTCAGTTCTTGCCTTCTTGGAAGAAAGAATTTGACCAAGGGGCATCAGGAAGAGTGAAAGACCTAGGAAAGTTTTGGAGCAGGAGAAAAAGTTTATGAAAAAGTTTAGAGCAGGAATAAATGGAATTACACTTGGAAGAGGGCCAAGTGGGCAACTTGAGAGATCAAGGGTGCAGTTTGACCTTTGACTTAGGATTTTATATGTTGGCATACTTCTGGGGTGTTGCATCCCTTCTCTGATTCTTCCTTTAGGATAGGTTGTCTGCATGCACAGTGGCCTGCTAGCACTTGGGAGGGGTCACATATGCAGTGTGTTTACAGGAGCTATACGCATGCTTACTTGAGGCATTTTTTTCTTATCAGTCAAATGTCCCTACAAGGTCATATACCACTTAAACTCTGCCATTTTGCCTCTCAATGTGCATGCTTGAGCCCACTCACCCAACTACTGAGACTTTTTTTTTTTTTGAGATGGAGTTTTGCTCTTGTTTCCCAGGCTGGAGTGCAATGGCATTATCTCAGCTTACTGCAACCTCCTCCTCCCTGGTTCAAGCGATTCTCCTGCCTCAGCCTTCCTACTAGTAGCTGGGACTACAAGCACCCACCACCACACCTAGCTACGTGGTTTTCTTTTTTCTTTTTTCTTTTTTTTTTTTGTATTTTTAGTAGAGACAATGTGTCACTATGTTTGCCAGGCTGGTCTCGAACTCCTGACCTCAGGCGATCCACCTGCCTCAGCCTCCCAAAGTGGTGGGATTACAGGCATGAGCCACCACGCCTGGTCCAACTACTGAGATCTTATCCGGAAGTTGCTGATTACCAGCTTCAGGTGTTTCTGTTTATTGGGAGACTGTTCCTGCTGCTGGCTGTGACCAATTATTATTTTAAAAAGACAGTTAACAACTGCCGGACCATCATCTGATGGTTGCCTGACATCTGACATTCCTGTTGTGTGTGTTTTGAGGTGAGGGAGCCCTCTCCTGCCCTGTTCTTGTCTGACTAGCTACCTACTGTAACAAAACTATATTTGGATTCCATAACGTGATACTCAAATGAAATTTCAAAATCTTTCAAGACATTTATGAATCATCAACTTTCGGGGTTGTTCTGCTAGGCTCACTTTAATGCAAGTTCTAGCAAGGACACAGCAGAAACTATTTTGAATTTCGGTGTGCCTCTTAAGAAGGATTTTCTTCACGTTCAAGCAGGGTCAGTCTGGCCATTTGAAGATAAATATATACATAGGTTAGTGGCTACATCTCTCCAAATATAGCTGCAACATCTGTTCAAATAACACATTTTCCATTTTCATTACTCAAGCCATACTGTCTAATAGTGTGTTACAGATGCTGCAAGTTTTTTAGTAACACTATTCTGCTAACTTGTCTTGAAAGTATCACTGTATAATGCATTGTTACTCTGAATTCTTAGTGTCACTTTGATATAAAAGGCATACTTGCAGGTGTATCTCCTGCTTACCATCTTATTTTTAATATAGGACTAACAACTTCATATGCCCCTATGAAGTAACAGACTCATTACACAGAGACAGCAGGGTTTGTAGCAAAGAGTTTAATAATAATAGGGCATCAAGCAAGTAGAAGGGAGGAGACCTTCAAATCCATCTCCCTGAGGAGTTCTGGGCTGGAGTTTTGTAGGAATCATGGAGGGAAAGGGGCTGTGTAGATTTGGGGTTGTTGATTGGTCGGGTTAAGGGGGATGAAATCATCAGGATGCATTTTTTGGTGAGTCAGTTTCTTGTGGCGTCCTTTGGACAACAGCTGATGTCAGTAGGGTCCTTCAGGCAAGTTGTGATCAGCAGGGTCCTTCAGACCAGCCAGTGCCAGTGGGGTCCTTCAGACCAGCTGAGTCAGCAGTTTCATCAGTACACAGTATCTGAAAGAATATCTGAAAGGGAAAACAATATTTTATAATGTTCACATTGTTATCTACACAACAATTAAGGGAAACTAGAGTCTTGTAACAGAGTATTGTGATTCTAGGACAATGGGCACGAAACAGCTATGATGAAGCAGGGCCAAGAGCAAGCTGACCTCATGATTGATGCTGAACGTGCTGCAAACTCGGTTTATTTTCATTTCTCCCCCTCCTTTTTTCCCTAAATAATTTTATAAAGTTTGTGTGGGTGGTTTCATTTTGATGAAGAAAAGTTTTAGTATCAACTGGGCGAGACTCATATATATTACATAATCTTGAAAAAAAATGCTCATATTATTTTACCTGAGTGAAGTAATTTTATCAAGTTTAAATATACCTGTTATATATATTTATGTTATTAGATCATTGTTCTTTCTTCCATTATTTATCAAACCAAGAATACCTTTCAACCTAAATAATTTTTACATTATGATAATAGTATATCTCAGAAATTCAGCACTTTAAAACTTGACAAATATAATTTTAGTTACCTTGGGTCTTTTGAATACATTAATCACAAACATTAATCAAACTGTCTAGCACATTCGTGTTACATTTACTCACAACAGTTGTTATAACTCAGGGTCTTGGAATTAGGCAACTCTGATCTCAGTCACTGAATATAATAAAAAGTCATAGTGTCACTACAATAGGATAATTGGGCAAGTTGATGAAATGTCCAAGTGGGCAAATGTAAGGTGATTTGGACAGGTGTCAGTAACTGAAAAAGTAAAATTCAGGAAAGAGACAGAGAGGTATGGTAAAATAAAGATTGGTGAGAACCAATTCTTGGAGACAGGGTGAGAAGAATGAATGTTCTGGATAGCTGCTCTGTTTATAGAAAGACATATACACAGTTGAAGGTAAAATGTACAGAATTCAGCTCCAATGGAGAAAGGACTATCAAAAGCAAGCAGTGTCAGGTTTCTAGATAACTGGGATATAAGTCATCACAGGATTCTGGATGCCAAAGTCAACCTGAACTGGAAAGGAGAAGTCAGATAGAAGCTTTCTTATTCTGATTTGGCAAAAATGGCATTTAAGAAATCATGAGATGTTATAACATTTAATATCCAAGCATGACCAGGGCTTACTAACAGCAGCCCAATAACAGCACAATGAAATGCAGACCTCAGTTAAAAGGCTCGGGTTACTGATCGGGGTGTACAGAAGTTCCTGAACAGTCAGGAGAGCCAATAATTGTACACAGTGACTTTAGGACAGTAGCTTGATATCGACCATGGTGGGAGTATTTATATCAGGAAAATAGGCAAATGCTGAAAATCAGGGCTCTTTTTCCCCGCTAAGAGCCTGTAGTCAAACACTTACTACCACATTCCTATTATTCATATAGCTGACCCTTTAACAAGGTGGAGGTTAGGGGCACCAAATCTCCACTCAGACGAAAATCTGCTTATAATTTTTGACTCCCCAAAATCTTAACTACTAATAGCCTACTGTTGACTGGAAGTCTTACTGATAACATAAACAGTTAACACATATGTTTTATGTCATATGTATTATATACTGTATTCTTACAATGCAGGTGGAAAATGTTATTTTAAAAATCGTAAAGAAGAGAAAATATGTTTACAGTATGGTAATGTATTTATTGATATCATAAATTATGTTCTCTGTTTACAACATGAGTCATCTATCTGACATGGTGAACAATCTTAGCTTCAGGCCTCAATCTAAGGCACATATCAAGCAATTCAAGCTTTTTTGTGTATGTGTAATGTCATTACTTTTCTCTGCTTCTTGTGAGCATTGTCAGCATTAGTGGTCCTTTGTATAAATCCCATGGCATTATTTAATGTTTACAGTGTTACACTAAATGTGAAAAATTTGCAACAGCTAGGAGAGATCACTTTTTACTCTAATATGCAATTTACTGGCAATAAACTGCTCACATGGAGATGATTAGTGACACGTAGCATTTCAAGTGGACACTCACAGTATGAGCTTATGCCAATAGCAAAAGGAGGTGGTTACGAAATTATTACAGTAATACAATGTATACTACAGTGAATTTTATGCAGTTATGATTTAATCTGCATCTTTACATATGTTTACTTTTCCCTCAACTATGAATGGTGTCATGTAAGGTCTGTGTCTGTGTGTATATGTTTTGATAAATTTTAACCTTTTATTATAGATTTGTGCATATTTTATGGTGGTAAATAATAAAATAAACTAGTATCTACACATAGTTTATGCATTCATGACATACCTAACATTTTCTTAATTTTTAAAGGATACTCCTAAGCTAAGGAATATTATCTGCAGATAATATTCACCTTACAAGGTGTTTTCAAATTGTGCAAATCTACAGAAAAATGTACCAATATGTTTATTGAAAAAAATTTGTATACAAATGGACCCACTCAGTTCAAACTTGTGTTGTTGAGGAGTCAACTGTATTTGTTTACCTCCCCCAGTAAGGGTTAATTCAAGACCTAAACCTACCAATGAAACTCTTCATTCATGATTCAAGTTAGATTGGCTAGAATGAGACATGATTTTCTCTTTTCCCTAACTACTGTTTTGTCAAGCCAAATCAACAAGGAAGTCTATAAAATAACCATGTGAGTGTCTCATGTGAAACAAAAACAAAAAGCAGAGTTACAAAACAATCAGAAAAACATTTTAAATCCCATTAACATTATTGGGTAGTAACAATAGCGTGTATCTTATTAAGATACGAGGAAGTTTGTTTGGACAGATGATCAAGATAATTACATTTAGAGTATTTTAAAGATCAATTATCAGTGACCAAATTCTTTTTTCTTAGAAATATTTACTTTAAGAAGACACAGAGTTAATAGCTCAGGCTGGAGTGCAGTGGCGCCATCTCAGCTCACTGCAACCTCTGCTTCAGGATTGAAGTGATTCTCGTACCTCAGCCTACCGAGCAGCTGGGATTAGAGGCATGTGCCAACATGCCCAGCTAATTTTTGTATTTTTAGTGGAGACAGGGTTTCACCGTGTTGCCAGGCTGATACCAAACTCCTGACCTCAAGTGATCTGCCAGCCTCCACCTCTCAAAGTGCTGGGATTACAGGCATGATCCACTGCACCCAGCCTATTTTCACGTTTTCAATTAAACTTGTCCTACTAGATTCTCTAAGATTAAAAAAAAATCTGTATAGTCAAATATATTTGGAAAATAGAATGTATATGGTTCACTGGGTATTGGTGCAATTACAGACAACACCAAAATCTCAGTAGTTACAAAAAACAAAGGTGGATTTTCTTCTCGTGTCATTTTTTTTCCTGGGCAGCTACAGCTCCCCTCCAGGTCTTCATTCACAGACTCAGAATTAGGGAGCAGCCTCTATATGACACATGCTGGGCTGGTGACGGAGGAAAAAGAGGAACAGTGGAAATACATGATGCATCTTAAACTTTTGTTCAAAAGTTCCATATGTCCACTCAAAAAAAATTTTGGCCAAAAAAATTGATCCCAACTCCAAGTTAGCAGAGTAGGAATCAATCATAATCTCTTAAAGGACTCACAAATAATTAGAACAATAATATATCCTAATTTATTCACCATACTATATCCTCCTCATTGATACTTGTGTTTTGTTAAGTGTTTTGAAGAATTGTGATTAAAAAGCTATTTCCATTTCCACTGGAAGTGTGTTGCCATTTATCAGAGGTTTCTACAATTTCTAATACATAGTTAGGATCATAGAAAGTCAAGATTTCCTTGCATATATGCCACGTTAGAATTCCCATAGTCACATAAAAAATTCATGTTGCCCATTTCATGCAGAACTGAGTTTTTCTTTTTATCAAAAAAAGTTGAACCTTTTCTTTTTTAAGGAAACTTGGAAGTCAGCTAATTCATACCATGCTTTGCTTCCCTATGATATTTACACAACACCCAAAATATGATTTCCCCTAGCCTTTTTCTGGTCCTATAGAAGTTTCAGAGTCATGCTGCTCTGTGCTTACTTGGCTTTAATGCAATCTCCCACTGTTCTTTCCTTCAAAACTTTTTCCTGTGACCTCTTTAGTCCGTGTCCCACAATAACAAATAAATCTGTGTCTTAAACTCATTGGTTGATTTCCTCTCTACCTCCTTGTCTTAACTCATCTTACTTGAAGTTACTTCTCCCTGATAATGTTCATTCACACTCAGCATTATTCCTGCCCACTAAGCATCTCACCACCATATATCATAAGATATGAAGATTGGGAAAATTATTTTCCAAACTTCTTTACCAGCACAGTCCTTTCTGAGTCTAGTGAAACACATCCAGTGGAATTAGTGCTTCCCTCTGTTAATGCCTACTTCAGGTCTGCAAACAGCTAAGAGTATTAACAGTGCTTTCCTCCACTTTTCAGGAGTAATTTCCTGAGTGAACAAAGTGGTTGCTCTGTTTTTGTAAGTTGCTAATTCTCTCCATTAAATCCCTTCTTTGAAATTTCTAGAGAGCCTTCCACTATCCCAACAGATTCCTGACAGATCAAGCACTACTTTTTATATAAAACCCTATTAAGTGGTGTCTTATCCATCCATATTCTGCTTTCCTCAGAGACAGAGCAAGGGAAGTTCAAAACAATATTTCACTTCATGGTGCTAATTTTGGACCATCACTGCTTTAACTTCCACCACTCTTCCTGTATCTGTATAGCTCCCTATCACTCCAATTGATGTATCAAAGACCTTGGCTCCTTGTTTTCTGTCTTCTTTTCTACGCCAACCTCTAACACTATCCTCAGTAAACCTAAGAGCCAGGTGACAAAGTTCTCTAACTTTCAAGCTTTTTCACTTTCTGGTTTTAGAGAATTCTAATTAGTTCATGCTGTTCTATTCCTCCTGCCCACTCTGATGTCTACACCCTGGACTTTGTTATTACCAAAGAATTCCTCTGCTCCTGAAATGTTAGATTAAAAGACATCACTCTGATTAAAACATCCTATTCTTCTGGCACTAGTTTATTTTCATCAAAATTTGGCTCTAAATCAATCTAAGATTTCATCATTTCTATGACTTTCTCCAAGTGATGAGCACGGCAATGAGAAAAATAATAGTTACCCAGACTGATGCTACTAAAATATTATAGTCTTCAATGTTAATAGAGGACAGTCCTTTTTATCCCATCATAATCAGCTTTGTTCTATCTCTCCCTCTCTCCTGTTATTATTGGTTGATATTCAGTGGCTAATGAAAATTTCTTGTTATATTCTCCCAAACTGACATCTACTAAGCCCTGGACTTTGAATTCCATAGTTCTTTGATTCAGCATCACATTCAGGCACATTCTAAGATATTGTTGCATTTTAATTACATATAAATATAATAACTCCAAAGCCTACATTTGAATTCCAAATATATCTTCTGAATTTTTCAGCCAGTTTCTATAGATAAGAAGATGATATGCTGTTTAAAAATATATCTTTCAATATCAATTTCCTCTTCTATAAAGTGAGAGAGATGTTAGACTCTCTCTAAGGTTCTTTATATTTCTAGTCTCCCATGGTTTATTTTAATCAATTACTGTTTACAGCATACCAATCCTATGACTGTGACAGGAAATATTTTTAAGTAATTATACTAAATTAATGGCAATGCTTTATTGTGCATTCAATAGCAGAAAAATGTGAATCGATGAAATATGGCAGTTGTTTTTACACAAAAGAAAAATACTTATTCTGATATTCACTAGATTCAAAGAGTATAGTTTATTTTATTTAACAAATTTTAAAGTTACAGGAAAAATATAAATAATCCCTCTATCGGATGTCTTCTCCAAAAGACCTACCAATTGTTCAAGTTCAATCAGTATAAAATCACAAGGTATTTCCTCTTGGCCTATGAATTTATCTTTTCTATATTGATGTGACTATAATACAAACCCTCATTCCTTCTATCCATTTATTTTATACCTTTTCCTAAAAAATTATCTAATTCTATATTCTTTTGCAACTTTAAGTAGAGAGAAATGAAAATCCTTAACTATTCCATTCTATATGATTCTATTTTGTATTCTAGTGATTATTTTTCCTTTATCAGCTTTTTTAGGCTATCAAATATTTTTAACTCTGCTTTTCTTCTTTTCATAACATTCTTGTATTATTCATGCCAGCTTAAAGCAATTGCTACCTTACAATCTTCAATTAATGTGAGACTCATACCTGATAAGTTTAACAAGTTAAGAGCCATCTGCTGAGAAAATGACAGAACTAGAAAATGACATCTTTGTTAAGATATTTATGGTTATTTCTAACCAAGAATAGTATTACTTCTCCCACTCCATCCCATACTCTACATAGGGGGCATTTGAAAAGGTGTGGTGAATTCATATTTAGTTGTCACCATGACTGGGGCAGGTAGTTACTACTGGCATTTAATAAAGGACAGGAATGCTAAGCTTCCTAAAATTGTAAAATTAGTCCTTCAAAATTAAGAACTATTCTGCTCAAACTTTCAATGTGAGAGACGATGCCATCTATTCCTAGCAGTGTCTGAAGCAGGTGAGAAATTTAAATCGATAAATAATGGAGAAATTGAATTTATTTACAGATTTTCTGTGACTACATCTTCCTAGTACAATATTTATGTAAAATGTAGTAAATTTTTTAACATCAAATTTCTTGATCTATATTGAAACATCCAGGAAAAACAAAAACGATCTTAGAAAGAATTCTAGCAATTTTTTCACTTAGGAAAAACAAAGCATTTCTATTTTTTGAATCTCAGGGTTTTACACCATTATTGCAAATAATACTTTTTAGTTGACTACAAAATCTATATACTATCTAGCCACAATAATGTCTCAGTGATGCTATCAACAGTTGTCAACCAAAACTCTAAAAGCTGAAAGATGTGTGGTTACTATTTTTAATGCAATGTTTCATTATTTAAAGAGAACCATGATATTTGTGGATAATAAAGGTGCCAGAAATAAGACATCTTATCTGACCAAATGGATGTACATGTCAATTACTGTTTGAACCTAGAAGAGATGCCTAGAGACTTCAGTAATGTCAAAACAGGCAGTTTCCATGACAACCATGTCAATGATCTGTGCAGAAGGGTCCACATTTCAAATATATTGTTAATTCTGCTCAGGGCCAGTACATCATGATATTAAGCACATTTTGTTCTCTCTTCATCTAATTGCTTTGTGGTTTACATTAATCATAGGTCTTTCAGTAAACATAATTACTTTTCATTACGACTATAACTTAATTAGAATTTAAGAAGGATTAAAATGCAACAATAGGTTCACAAACCAGTGATTGAGGACTCCCAAATGTTGGCATTGGATCAAACCCCGGAGGTGAGTATAGAAAGAGCTAATATAACCCTCAAGGTCTTATCTGTGAACCGTGACTAGCCAAGGGGGAGTCAATCATGAAAACTTCATATTTTTCTCCAGGCTGTATGTTATTAATATTGATAACATGGTAGCTTTCTTAAGAGTTAGGGCTGGAATTTGAATTTAACTAAAAGTATAAATCTATATGAGGTTGCTCTCTATTCAGTTTGGGGGCAAATTCTGTTACAAGTAGAAAAGGGAATAAACTAGAGCATCACTCATTCAGTCTGGTATTTGGCATGTTTTTCCTTTATACCCTTGTAGAAAGAGGGCATTGGAATAGGACAAGTCAGGCTCCAAGCTCTAACCATTTATAGCCCACCCTAATACACTCCAGTTACCCAGTTATTTCTGCAACGTGTAGCTGGATTCCAAAGTTTAGAATAAAGGGATGTGGTTTGATTTAGTTTATAACCTGCATAAATTAGTTCTTTGGGATATTTGTAAAAATAAAGATGTCAAGACTTTCTTTTTTTTTTTTTTATTATACTTTAAGTTTTAGGGTACATGTGCACATTGTGCAGGTTAGTTATATATGTATACATGTGCCATGCTGGTGTGCTGCACCCACTAACTCGTCATCTAGCATTAGGTATATCTCCCAATGCTATCCCTCCCCCCTCCCTCCACCCCACAACAGTCCCCAGAGTGTGATATTCCCCTTCCTGTGTCCATGTGATCTCGTTGTTCAATTCCCACCTATGAGTGAGAATATGCGGTGTTTGGTTTTTTGTTCTTGCGATAGTTTACTGAGAATGATGATTTCCAATTTCATCCATGTCCCTACAAAGAACATGAACTCATCATTTTTTATGGCTTCATAGTATTCCATGGTGTATATGTGCCACATTTTCTTAATCCAGTCTATCATTGTTGGACATTTGGATTGGTTCCAAGTCTTTGCTATTGTGAATAATGCGGCAATACACATACGTGTGCATGTGTCTTTATAGCAGCATGATTTATAGTCATTTGGGTATATACCCAGTAATGGGATGGCTGGGTCAAATGGTATTTCTAGTTCTAGATCCCTGAGGAATCGCCACACTGACTTCTACAATGGTTGAACTAGTTTACAGTCCCACCAACAGTGTAAAAGTGTTCCTATTTCTCCACATCCTCTCCAGCACCTGTTGTTTCCTGACTTTTTAATGATTGCCATTCTAACTGGTGTGAGATGGTATCTCATAGTGGTTTTGATTTGCATTTCTCTGATGGCTAGTGATGATGAGCATTTTTTCATGTGTTTTTTGGCTGCATAAATGTCTTCTTTTGAGAAGTGTCTGTTCATGTCCTTCGCCCACTTTTTGATGGGGTTGTTTGTTTTTTTCTTGTAAATTTGTTTGAGTTCATTGTAGATTCTGGATATTAGCCCTTTGTCAGATGAGTAGGTTGCGAAAATTTTCTCCCATTTTGTATGTTGCCTGTTCACTCTGATGGTAGTTTCTTTTGTTGTGCAGAAGCTCTTTAGTTTAATTAGATCCCATTTGTCAATTTTGTCTTTTGTTGCCATTGCTTTTGGTGTTTTGGACATGAAGTCCTTGCCCATGCCTATGTCCTGAATGGTAATGGCTAGGTTTTCTTCTAGGGTTTTTATGGTTTTAGGCCTAACATTTAAATCTTTAATCCATCTTGAATTGATTTTTGTATAAGGTGTAAGGAAGAGATCCAGTTTCAGCTTTCTACATACGGCTAGCCAGTTTTCCCAGCACCATTTATTAAATAGGGAATCCTTTCCCCATTGCTTGTTATCCTTGATGAACATTGATGCAAAAATCCTCAATAAAATACTGGCAAACCGAATCCAGCAGCACATCAAAAAGCTTATCCACCATGATCAAGTGGGCTTCATCCCTGGGATGCAAGGCTGGTTCAATATACGCAAATCAATAAATGTAATCCAGCATATAAACAGAACCAAAGACAAAAACCACATGATTATCTCAATAGATGCAGAAAAAGCCTTGGACAAAATTCAACAACCCTTCATGCTAAAAACTCTCAATAAATTAGGTATTGATGGGATGTATTTCAAAATAATAAGAGCTATCTATGACAAACCCACAGCCAATATCATACTGAATGGGTAAAAACTGGAAGCATTCCCTTTGAAAACTGGCACAAGACAGGGATGCCCTCTCTCACCACTCCTATTCAACATAGTGTTGGAAGTTCTGGCCAGGGCAATTAGGCAGGAGAAGGAAATAAAGGGTATTCAATTAGGAAAAGAGGAAGTCAAATTGTCCCTGTTTGCAGACGACATGATTGTATATCTAGAAAACCCCATTGTCTCAGCCCAAAATCTCCTTAAGCTGATAAGCAACTTCAGCAAAGTCTCAGGATACAAAATCAATGTACAAAAATCACAAGCATTCTTATACACCAACAACAGACAAACAGAGAGCCAAATCATGAGTGAACTCCCATTCACAATTGCTTCAAAGAGAATAAAATACCTAGGAATCCAACTTACAAGGGATGTGAAGGACCTCTTCAAGGAGAACTACAAACCACTGCTCAAGGAAATAAAAGAGGATACAAACAAATGGAAGAACATTCCATGCTCATGGGTAGGAAGAATCAATATCGTGAAAATGGCCATACTGCCCAAGGTAATTTACAGATTCAATGCCATCCCCATCAAGCTACCAATGCCTTTCTTCACAGAATTGGAAAAAACTACTTTAAAGTTCATATGGAACCAAAAAAGAGCCCGCATCGCCAAGTCAATCCTAAGCCAAAAGAACAAAGCTGGAGGCATCACACGACCTGACTTCAAACTATACTACAAGGCTACAGTAACCAAAACAGCATGGTACTGGTACCAAAACAGAGATATAGATCAATGGAACAGAACAGAGCCCTCAGAAATAACGCCGCATACCTACAACTATCTGATCTTTGACAAACCTGAGAAAAACAAGTGATGTCAAGACTTTCTAAGCCTTTGTGTGTTTTTTCATAAAGTTAAACATAAGATTTTTTTGAGTTCCTTACTGGAAGGAGGCAGGAGTACAAAGTAAAGTGCTATCTGCAGCCAATAAGCTCTGTGTATTAAGCATGCCACTTAGTGAGTGACAATATACTTTGGTTACATGCTATGTACATAGCATTCTACCTAGAATATTGTAGTAAGCAATACAGGTACTTGTCCTCATGGAGCTTACAGACTGAAAAGAAAATATTCAGAACTCTTTACTTTTGAAAGAATAACAACCCTATATATAAATAAAACATATCTTTTATCTTTCTCACTGGTGTTATGAGAATTAATATGAAATATACCTACAACACTCTCCAAAAAATAAGTACACAGGATTTAGAGTCTGTGACATTGTTGTATCTAAAGCACAAACATGAATAAAGAAGCCAGAATCTTTTGAATTTGAAATAATTTTAGTGGTCAATGTAAGAATGCTCTTGTGTGTCCTTAGTGGATAAACCCCAACTGCTACTCAGACCAAAACATCTTTCTAATGTCTTTTTCTGTCTTGTCCTTGCACTAGGAATATAACATGTTCCTTCCTCATGACATCAGTGTCACTTTTTAAAATAGGAGCACTTTTCTTTCACTTTCCCTTTTCTATTTCTCTACAGAGGGCTATGCTTGTTCCTGAGTTTTATTGCTATTAGTTACAAGGAAATAAAAGAAAATAATAAAAATCATAAACATCAAGGAAATCATGAGGCTTAAGAAATGTTATAACTTCCTGTAGAAATGATTCCACATGAATTGTCTGTGGTTCCCTTGCTGTGATAGTGACAGGAAACTTCCTCTGATTTCTGTGCTCTACTTTTCTTCTTTGTTTAGTAGGATGAGGTGTTTCCAATTTCCTCTTCAGCATCTGCATTAGTCAGGGTTCTCTGGAGGGACAGAACTAATAGAATATGTGTGTGTGTGTGTGTGTGTGTGTGTGTGTGTGTGTGTGTGTTTAAGTATTAACTCACATGATCATAAGGTCCCACAATAGGTCATCTGCAAGCTAAGGAGCAATGAGAGCCAGTCCGTGCAAGCTAAGGAGCAAGGAGAGCCAGTCCAAGTTTGAAAACTGAAGAACTTGGAGTCTGATGTTTGAGGGCAGGAAGCATCCAGCATGGGAGAAAGATGTAGGCTGGGAGGCTAGGCCAGTTGCTCTTTTCACATTTTTCTGCCTGTCTAGCCATGCTGGCAGCTGGTTAGATTGTGCCCACTCAGATTAAGGGTGGGTCTGCCTCTCCCAGCCCACTGACTCAACATTAATCTCCTTTGGCAACACCCTCACAGACACACCCAGGATCAATACTTTGTATCCTTCAATCCAATCAAGTTGACAGTCAGTATTAACAATCACAACATCCCAGTGTTTCTGACCTCGTCCTGAATTTAACACAAAAACTGAAAATGTAAACAAAATAAACTCTAATTTCCTCCAACTCCCTCAGTTGGTCAATTTTCTTGATGAGGATTTCAAGACTGAAAGTCACTCATCTTTCTGTGCATGTAACTTAAATAACACCATAAATTAATTTTCACAACTTTATGATAATATTTGAACCATTTCAAACTGGAGCAATAGAAAAGTTGCTACTGGAAAAATTATCATTACTGCCAGACAATATCATTGCTCCATAATATTTCACATGTCTCTTGAATTACCAGTTAGCAAGCAGCCAGGAACCAACATTTATTTCTCTGTTATTAGAAAAAGATGTTGAGGGTTAATGGGACTAGGACAGCTAAGAGACCTGCAAAGTTTAAAAGTAAAAGGAAAACAAACACACAACAACAATGTAGGGGTGCATCCAGCTACAGACAGAAGGGCATCCACTTAGGCAGAGTCAATTATTTAGAGATTTAAGCCACAGATAACAAGCAGGCAGTATTATAGGCTAGTTTCAATAAAATGTTAAGTGACGGATTCTGCAGATCAGTATAATATAGTGACAAGGAACCTAAGATTATACCAGGCAAAGAACCATTAGTGGATTCTAATAGTGCCTTGCAAGACTCTAGTTAAAGACTTGGCATTAGAAACAGGGTGTTTGTTGTGTGTATACAGGGGTAGAGGTGGGGGCAGAAAAGTCAGAGAAAATAGATAATTATTCACAGAGGAAATTAGTGAGAGCAAAGAAGAGACATAAAGATGGAAAAATCAGTGGTGAAATTATGAAGAGTCAAACGATTTTAGCCAAAGTGCCCCCCCACAACATACATGTGAATTACAAAGAAAATATTGGCAAATTTAATTGTTTACATGAGCATCATATGATACACAACAACTGAACTGTATATTTAAAAATGCCAATGTTAGGAAATAAAAGAAGAAACAAAGAATGGCACCAGATTGAAGACAGCTAAGGAGATATGACTGATGGATGCAACTTATGATCCAGGAATTTCTTTTGCTAAAAAGATCAAAATTGAGACAATTGGCTAAAATCTCAATAAGGGGTGCAGATTAGATAATATTGTCTATGGTAATTTCTTGATATTTCTTATTTACTTCATTATATAAGATGATGTAGCTGTATTTTAGGAAGTACACACTAAGGAATTAAGGCTCAAAGGGCATCATGTATGCAAAATAGTCTCCATATGTACAAATAAATGTATAGAGAGGGAAAGAAAAGGATGCAGCAAACATAGTAAAATGTTAACACGAGTAATCTGAGTGTAAAGAAAACCCTTGTACTATTACAGCAATTTTTATAACTCTTTTCATATTTCACAATAAAAATTAAAAGGTCTACTAGGCAATTTTTCAAAATAGATACTCAAGCATAGAACACAGGACAAGAGCCCACTTACTAGAAAAGTCTCAAGAACCGAAGAATGTTGTCAATGTCTCTTTGTATTGTTAGTGATGGAAATGTAACTATAATTCATTTAACAAACAATAACAACAACAAGCGTTTTGGAAGGATACTGGCATATGCCACAGAATCAACAAATAAAAGGCTGCAGAAAAAAGGAAACATTCAGCACTCTCGATGCCTGAAACCTGCAGACTTCTCTATAAATACATTCCTCAAGCTCTCACCTTAGCTTATCGCTCAGTATCAAGCTTTTATATAAGATGACTGTCTTTTGCTTATAAGTATTATATATATCTAAGGGATAGACAATGATTTAACTGACATTGGTCACTCATTGCACCAATCACTTTAGATGGGAGGATACAGCATTGTGATCAACCCTCTGCATCTTATATCTAGCGCTGGGTGGAGTATTGGAGGTAGTAGTGCTATGATTGGCAGCTTCACAAGCAGTCACTGCATTAAGGGTCAATTCCCCAAAGGTGAGAAGTGAAATAAACATTATAGGTGTTACAATCAGTGCTTTGGTTTGAGTGGGGATTCACTCCAATCCTACATTAAGGATGGGTCCTAATTTTTCTAGTCTTATGAATTGGATAGCATGCTCTGGACAGGATATTTTTCAGCATCAGCAGATTATGCAGTCAGATTCATTATAGTACAATGCAAATTCTGCTAAAACTCCAAGGATACTAGCAGGTACTGTCTTCTACTGAAGTTGACCCAGAAAGTCTGTAATTGAGAAGCTGCTATCCCAAAAGCAAAGGCACTGATAAGAGTTGAGTAAGAGAGGGAGAAAAATTGATCTTGATGACACTGGTTGAGTGCAGGGAACCATGCTTGAAGCCAATTATACCCCTGAAGTTTTTAATCAGAGTCATTAATTTCTTTTTGCTTTTTGCTTATATCTACTTGGGTTTGGTTTACTTGTCACTTATGTCAGAAATATCCTGATACAATACTATTAACAAAAGAAAGGGGAAACAAATGCTTGACACCTAACACCACCACCACACACACACAAACACACACACACACACTTTTATGTGCACACTTCAATAGACTTTCATCACTATGAATGGAAAATAAAATCAAAGCAAGATAAAAAAGTAAACTTATTTTGATAGTTAACCAAAGTAACTCAATTGTTCTTAAGACCCATTTACCAGAGACTTAGTGTATGAGGTAAGGCCATTTTACAAGTGAGAGGAAAAAAGTAGAACTTTAAGAGCAAGAAACCAAACATGTGACACCATTTCAATTTGAGAGTTGAATAATTATTATATTCCTAGATTTATATGAGCCAAGGAAACTTACATAGAAGGCTGCTAAGAAGTACACACTTCCCTTACCCTGTTATCACCCAACAATTTGTACAAGAATTCAGATTAGGTCTCAATGAGTATATACATTGAGAAAGTTTAAAATAGATATTCATTTACCTCATCTCACTACCATGCCAAAAAGAGATTCAAATGAACTCATGATTTCAACAGTGTGATGGTTAATTTTATGTCAACTTAACTGAGCTAAGGGATGTCCAGATAGCTGGTCAAACATTATTTCTGAGGGTGTGTCTGAGGGTGTCTCCAGAGAGTTTAGCATCTGAATCAGTGGAATGAGTAAAGATCCCTCTCAACAATGTGGGTGGGCATCACCAATCCATAAAGGACCCAAGTAAAACAGGATGGCAGAGGAAAGGCAAATTTGTTCTTTCTGCTTGAACTGGGTCATCCATCTTCTTCTGTTCTTGAACATTGGCACTCAGTACTTGGGCCTTGGGACTTGGACTGAGACTTATCCCATTGGCCCCATGGTTCTCAGGCCTTAGAGTCTGGACTGGAACTACACCACTGGATTTGTAGACTTCAATCTTACAGATAGAAAATCATGGGACTTCTCAGCTTCCGTAATTGCATAAGCCAATCCCTTGTATAATAAATAATAAATAATAATAATAATAATAATAAATATATTAATAATATATAAATATATATAAATATAAATATAAATATAAATATAAATATATAAATATAAAAATAAATAATAATAATAATAAATATATTAATATATTATATATATAAATATATATAAATATAATAAATAAATAAATCCCTCATAATAAGCGAATCCCTCATGATAATATCTTTCTATATATCTATAGGTGTAGATATCTGTGTAAATATCTACAAAGATAAAGATATATAGATCTATCCTATTGGTTCTATTTCTTTGGAGAACCCTGACTAATACAAACAGTTATCAAATATTGGTGCCTCTTTGTTTTCAAGGCTTAATAATCAGATTGAGGGTTAACATTTTAAAAATAATAAATAATTGATTTTACTACATCTCTCTGAGCTGGCTGTTTAATGTCTCTCTATTCCCATTTTTATCTGTACAAGGTGTTAATTATACTTCCTTATCTCCCATAAGCACTGTGATAATTACTGTTAGTAAAGCACTTAGGTTTATATGGATAAGGGAGATGGTGTACGGGCAAAGCATTATCATCATAATTATCATTGCCCTGGGCATCTGCTCATTAATGGCTGCATTTGACTAAAAACCCATGAAAGGTTTAATTGATATGAGACAGAAATTGGTCAACCTTACTCATATTCATTGCCAAAATTAAGTCCAGAGAGAAAAAACTTTTCTCTAAATAGATCATCTCAAATTCCATCACAGAATGGAATCCAGTAGTTTTAAAGCATTTAAACAATTCAGAATTCATTCATTTAACAAAGATTTATTGAATATCTAGTGTGTGCCAGACACCGTTCTGGATTCTGAGCATATACTGGTGAAGAAACATAAAATTGCCTTTGTGGAGTTTACATTCTAGGGTTTAGAATATGCACCCGGGCTATTGTCTTTCTCTTCTGATCCAGATCATCTTTTAAGTTCTTCATCACAGACTCCATTCCTGATGCTGTCTTTTGCAACACATCGCAAGCCACTTGCATTTTTTCCCTCTCTGGAAGGTAAGTTCTAAATATTTATTTTCCTAAACAATGAATTGCTGCCCATTATGTAAAACTGCTCTATATTTGCATGTTATTTTTTTTCCCCTAAGACCACTGGAAGTTTAAATTGTCCATGGCATTTAGCACAGTGCTATACACATAGTGTGCTCGTAAGTGATTCTTTAATTAAATTGAACATGTAACATCTGTTATTAATTTTTTGGAACTGTATACTTAGAACTGATTTCTAGACACAGGCAACCTATTTGTTATTCGGCCAGGCAAAACTAGGGTTTGCAAAAAGGTCAGATTTAGAAAAACATACTTCATTTTCTGTCTGTGCTACTACACTGTCCAATGCCACTGCAGCATCTCCAGTTCTTTTAAAGAGAGTGCCTGCCAAAATCACCCCAGTTATCCTATCCTACAGTGTATTTTCTGGATACTCATGACCATGTCAATTAGCAACCACAGGATATCCAAGTATCCAAGTATTATTTCTTCAACTCTGACTCTCTTCAGTGCTGTCAACTGCTGAGTTTCCAACTGTCTCCAAAACTGCAGGAAGGCACTTTATCTCTTACTAGGTTGAGATTTTTTTTTTTCCCAAGTACTATTGGCACTACTTCTGCTAAGCAAAATACCCTGGAGCACTGGTGATAACAAATCCATTTTCAATTTTTTCCAACATTAGGGTTCAAATCCAGGTTGTAGATTCAATACAAAAAAGGAAAAAATCAAATCCAGGTTGTAGGTTCAGTAGTGTCCCAAGAACACTAAGAAAATACTGTTTTTGAATCCCAAAATTTTAAGGATTCTTGAAGTGAAATATTTCCATCAGTTTCTGTGTCCCTTGGTCAATTTCTCCATTTTCTCTATCATCCTAACTTCTCTCCCTGCTCTTCAGAATAAATGAATGAAACCCTAGTGGCTGAACTAGGAATAAATCTAGTCAATAAACACCATAACGTGAACAGACTCAATTCTGGCCTCTACAAGGGCAAGCTTATCTAATTTTTTTAAGGTGTAACTGTCATCTCAAAAGTTCCCTCATGCAAAGAGTTTTCTTGTAGCATCCTCATTATCTGTCCTGAAGTGGGCATATCTCTGGTTTAGGCTAAATGAGACAGAGGCTTTCACACAATGACTTTTTCCCCCCTTTACTTCTTTGTAGGATCAATGGACTGGGAAAGTATAAACCAAGAAGTCACTCTGTTTTGGTCACTAAACCAGGCTGATTTTTCAAAAACTTAAAGGTCGTGGAAAAGAAAGTAAGCTTTATATTGCTTTCAATACATGGAAGCTATAGAAAAGCGAATTTAAACTAGTTTTATGCTATAAAGTTGTAATTAGGGCTGGGCACAATGGTAATCTGTAATCCCAGCACTTTGAGAGGCGGAGGTGAGAGAACTTCTTGAGGCCAAGGTTTCAAGACCAGCCTGGGGCAACATAGTGACTTGTCTCTACAAAAACAATTTTAAAAATTAGCTGGGCATGATGGTGCATGCCTGTAGTCCTATCTAATCGGAGGCTGAGGCAGGAGGATGGTTTTGGCCCAGGAATTCAAGGTTACAGTGAGCTATGATCACATCACTGCTCCCTAGCCTGGGTAACAAAACAAGACCCTGTCTCAAAAAAAAAAAAAAAGTTGTAATTAATGTTATAAACATTAGTAATAATGGTGGGTTTGGGGTGAAGTTAGCTGACATTAAAGACAGGAATGGAAAACTGTTGCTCTTGCCAATTAAACCATTGCATCCCCAAATTCCACCCATAAACTCTCTGAAAGCATTATCCTAAAGGAACAGCAGCAAAATGAGAATCAAATACTGCCCAATACCCTTATTATGCACTCTGTTAATAGCTAAGTTCAACACATGCTTTAGTCTTGGAAGCCAAACAGAGACTTCTACTCCCTGCATCACTTTCACATTTACTCCTTTCCCAAATCCAAATCTTGAGATCTTGCCACATTCTTAACAGTTGCACAGGGGAAATAAATCAAGGATAAAGAAGATGCAAGATGGTTGGGCTTAATTTCAACAATGCCAACTTCTTGGATAAGTCCTTAACTTATCTGTGTCTCATTGTTCCTGTCTGTGAAGTAGGAATAATCATCATATCTACCCCATACTTGAGTTATGAATAATAACTGTGCTAATCTATGTAAAATGCTACAAAGCATGGTCAAAAGTTTCAATAAATATGAGTTATCACAATGATGATAATTATTATCATCATCATGCTATCTTCATCATGACATATCAGGCCCTCCCAACCTTATCACTTATTTTCATGTATAGAGAAAGGAAGAAAAAGAGAGAGGCCTATTTTAAATTCCTTGATCCATTCAGTCACAGAAAAAGGAAGTAACCATTCATAAGAGGAGTCTTCCCACTTAGACAAAATATACACACCAATGTGGCTCAGTCAATTGTTATGAACTTGAACTAACCAAATTGGCATGTCCTCTTTCTTTAAAGAAAATAAAATCTAGTCAAGCAAAGGGGTGAGTTGTTGTGAAGAGGGACTGGGGAATAATCTTTCTCTATAAATCAAAGCTGTCAAAGACATGAGATGCCTCAAAAATATTAAATTAGAAATTGGAAGACCAACTTAGGAATTCTGAGGGAGAAATGCCTGCAGTGATATGGCACTAAATTTAATGTTCTTAAGAGGGCATATGGGAGAGGCAGAGCACATAACCAGTGGAAGGCTAGGGCTAAGTGTGAGTGAGGGAAAGAAAGTGGCAAGGAGAATACAGAGAGAGCAGTCTAATGATCAACATTAAACACAAACACAAAACATATGTTGATCAATCTACAGTTTTTTTAGCAAGAAGTTTTCAGGTCATTAAAGACCTCAATATTTTATGAGAGTCACAAATTTTATTGCAAAGCATATTACACTATTCCAAGGATTAAGCTGATAATATCTTCACTGTTTTTAGTCACCCACAAAATTATATAGCCCCATAGGAAATAAACAGATTACTTTTCACTAGTCAAGAAGAGAACGTGCAGATTCCAGTTTCTTTGACAGAGGTACATTTCTGAAAGGACTGGCTGCTCTTCAGACTCTTATAGAATGGAACAATTCATATCACCTCTGGGATGAATTGCAATGATGTTAGGACTTTAAAACAGAAGAGTGCCCATTGTTACCTTACTAATGAGTAATCCCAGGGAAGCAAAATCAGATTAATCATTCAACTTCTCTTTGAAGAACTCTCAAGGGAGCTCTGCTTAAGGAAGAATGCTAGAAAGATCATGATGGAACACTCATATTTGCATTATTCTACACAAGACAAAACAAGCTACCAAAGTAACAATAGAACCTAGCGTCAAAAGTGAAAACTGCTCTAAAAAGGGGTGGAAGTGACAAAGATGAGTTGTTATATTTTCTTTGCATTTGGGCTGGCTCTGTTTTCTCATTTCAATTCCTTCTTGGAAAAGTGGTAGCTTAAGTGCTGTGTGTGTGTGTGTGTGTGTGCGTGCGCGTGTGGTTCACGCCTGCATGTGTCTATTCCTAAGGCAATCGTAGCCCATTCACTTTAGTGACTCATATTTTGAAAGGCACCAATTTTCTTTTTCTCTTTAATAGGAGGGTGCCTCTTTTCTTTGGTTTTTGACCTCTTTTATGCCATAGGAAATGTGATTTTTGGACACACTGAGATGGAACTATTATTGTTATATTGTTGGGTAGTAGTGATACAGCTGTGGACCATCATTAGGCTAAGATGTTTTAATAACCATACATTTTAAAAAATAGCCATTTGAAAATAAGGCATAAGAAAAAATTTCAGCATATTTATCACAAGATGTAAAATCTTTTTTAAACCAGTAGTATCATCAGTAATTGATATCTAGTTGAACAATAGAAACATATGTATTACTGTGGTAATATGTGATTAAAGATGTTTTTTTCTTAGTATTCATTGCCAAAATCTTTAATTATTAACTTTTTGTGTATTGAGACAAACTGACATCTTAAAATTGATCTACTGAAGCCTTTCTTTCTTTCTGAAAGATGTGTGTACATTCTTTTTTAAGTAAAATTCGACCATTTTTAAACCATCTGTTAAGGCAAAGTATGTTTTTCTCTCACAGGCTTACTACATTTTCTGTCAATACTCACTCTTGTCTTCTGTGACTTTCTGTCCCTGGACTATCATCATTTTCTCTTAGGGAAACTAATACAGACAACTGATTTAGTTACTAGGCCTGCTATTACCACTTGACTTTAATTCACATAAAATAATATGCTTTTTACAAATGATTTTAAATCAGAATTTCAGGTCAAGGGAAGCATATTTGAATGATATGTGTTTCATCATTATCTCTTCATAATTTTTAGGCAATTGCTGAGAAAATTTAAGATATATATTGCATGCTAAAATACATATTGCATGGTAATCTTAAGATTATCTTCCTGGTATTCTGCAACTTGGTAAAGGGTAATTAATAGTACTCAGCCTCTCTTATAGATACGTTTTACTAACCCAAACAGTTGGTAGAAATGACTTTTTACATTTTGTCACAATCCAGTAATAGGTAACATGGTTCAGTGTATGTAATATGAAGTAGTAGCTACTGATAGCAACAGGAGACAGACAAATTCCCAGGTAGACAGGGACAGACCCAGTGAAACCTGACCTTCGAGCCAAAGACAGTTTAAAACCTGAAAACCGAGCTGCTAGTTCCAGATAGAGTTCAAGACCAGAGTGAAAACATCTATCCCTTGTTGGAGGCCGAAAGACTGAGGGTCGTGATCAACTCAGTATACCACTGGAGGCTATATGACTAAACAGCAAACTGTTCTCATAAACACAGAATGTTGGCAAACTGACAAACTACATCTGCCACCCAGAAAGAATGCTGAGGGCAATCATGCCCCAAGTCCAATGTTTCTTGTGATTAGGTACATCTGAAGCCTGTTAGTAATAATATGAACCTGTGATCAATTAAGCAGCTGACCAATCATTACCTCCTCCTCCTTGCTCTTGTTACCCGATAAATATGAAGGGCAGTGGAAGCTCAGGGGCTGCCTTTGCCCACTAGAAGCAGGGAGCTCTCTTCTTCCCCTGGACCTTTCCTTTAAAACAGTCTCTTTTGTTTTTTATTATCATTTTCTATGTTCATCCCTTTGTTCAGTCTTGTAATGATGGTCTCAAGCAGTAACAGTAGTAACTGCTGTAATGACAGCCTCAAGCAGTAACAGTAGTAACTGCTGTAATGACGGTCTCAAGAAGTAACTGTGACAGTCTGCCACAATCCCTGTCTTACTCTCTTTCTCTATTGTTTCCTTCTGGATGATGCCTTTTAACCAATCAGATGGTTCTTTTTCCAAGACCACCCATACATTCCCCCATTCTAAGCCCATAAAAACCCTGGACTCAGCCTCACAGATGGCTACCTGTTTTCAGGGTCCCCTCTTGCAGCTGAGAGCTTTTCTTATGTTACTCAATAGCATTCTTCTCTGCCTTAGTCTCTCTCCCCTGTCTGCATACCTTATTCCTCTTGGTCATGGGACAAGAACCTGGAACTCACCAAGCTGTGGGCAGTGGGAATGAAAGAGGTGTAACCCTCCTGTTTGCCAAGCTTCAGGGGCAAAAAGGCCTCTGATTGCCACTCCCTCCTGCTTGCCAAACTATGGGAAAGAAAAACCTGATGAGTCCCACTCCCTCCCACTCACTGAACTACAGAAAAGAAAAAGCCACAATATTTTCATGATGGAAAACAAGATGAAATTAGTTCAACTTGCAAGAAATAAAATCTTGAATGGATAAAATTATAACTATTGTCCATAAGAATTGTTAAATGTTGCAAAAGGCCAGAAAAAGAGTCAGTCAGGGTGCTTAAAGAAGTAACATGTAAAGATTATGAGAATCCCATTTTCCTATACTTTTTAAATAATGTATACATTTTAGGAGTTTTTCATATCCAAGAACCTTTAATATATGTTTTGAATAAAACGACTTATTTTTCTAGAATAAATTTAGTTTTAAAAAAGGAATTCTTAAATTAATACAAAACATAGAATATCAAGTATCATTAGCCATAAATAGAAAGTAATTAAAGTAAACCAATGCAGTGAAAGTGAAAAAATGTTATTTACTTTATTTACTTGAGTAAAGAACTATCACAGATAATTACATTAATATCATTTTGTGTTGGCTTTAGATCTCAAAATATGACAAGTATTTACATTGGCCCTAATTCTTAATTGCAAGCCACCAGGTAATCTTGATTAAGTTTCTCAGTGAGCAATCTCTATAAACTCTTCTGAAACTTGCATTGCTGTCTCTAAACACTTACCCATAATGTGGTCATTTCTTTTTCAGTAAAGTGATAGCACAGGTTCTCTTATGGTATTAAATAAATCTTCCAAAGAAGAAATTAAATTTTTTCCAAGATGGTAGATTAGAGGATTTTAGCATGCCTCAACCGTTTGGAAATAGCAAGCAATACATAACGATAAACTCTGTGGGGTTTAATTCGAGAAGGAAAAACAGGAATCCACCAGAATTGTGAATAAGACCCCAGATCCCAGGGAGGATGAAGGAAAACAGCTCCCGTGATGACATCCAGCTAGTAGAAGTGAATGAAGCCTCAGTATGTGAGAGTGGCAGAGAGCCTCCCTCTGTAGCTTACCTTTCCACTGGAGACCTGAGCAACCCAGGCCAAGGGAAAGCACTTGGTCTTCTTATAAGCACTGGAGCTAACAGGGGGATAGGATTGGAGACACTGTGAGGAAAAGACAAGGAGGAAAGCTGCAAACATGTTCTCACACCAGGGATTTAGGGCAAGATGCCAATTTTAATCCAGGGACATATAAAGTCAGCCATTCTTTGGCAAACTGGCAGCATGGCTATGCAGGCATTTTAGCCTTGGGCCAGAGATTGGAATCCCTGCACTGGAGTGAGGGTAGGGGTCTCAACAGCCAAAACTGAAAACACCTCAGCAGTAGGTGCTGGAATTCCTGGGGCAGGAGGAGAGCTATTAAAGCTGCTCTTTCTCCTGGATGATGAGACTTGCATTCAGGGCCAGCTTGGCGACCTAGAACTGGTCTATAAGTGTCATTGCTGTGTGCCCCAGCCAGCTCCCCTGAGATCATGGTACAGTGGGACCCTCTCTGCTCCATGTCCAGGCAGGTCTTCAGGTATTCAGAATACCTCCTCATCTGATTCAGCAGCCAGACCCACCCCACCCTTCCTGTACGTAGCTGTGGCACAGTGGCTTACTCTTCACTCCAGATTTAGGCAGATCTCCAAGCATTCGGAGCACCCACTCATCTAAACCAGCAACCCGGACTGTCACACCCTTTATGTGCAGAAATCCTATTCAGGGGGCCCCTCTGTACTTCACACTCAGGCAGATCTCCAGGCATTCAAAGCACTCACTCACCTGGATCAGCAGCCTGAACTGCCCCACCCTTTGTGTGCATAGATCATGGTGAAGTAAGGACTTCCTTGCTCCACACCCAGGCAGATCTACAGGCATTCAAACCACCTTCTTTCCTGGATTGGAAGCCTGAGGTGGCCCAACCTTTCTATGAAGAGATCAGGGTGCAAGGGGGCCCACTCTGCTTCATGCCCAGGCAAATCTCCAGGCATTCAAAGCATCTGCTGGCCTGGTTCAGCAGCCTGAGTCACCCCATCCCACCTGTGCAGCAATCTTGGTATGGAGTGACCTTCTCCCTTCCATGCTCACGCAGGTCTCTAGATATCTGGAAAACTCACTCTCCTGGATTAGGAGTTTTGGTTGCCCTCAAATCCCCATGCAGAGAACTCAGGGCTGAGGTTTCCCAGCTCCACACCTCTGGGCACTTAGTGGCCACTCACTGGATTCTTCCTTGGCAGTGGTGTTTGTGGCTACCACAGGAGACATGTAGGTGGACCTGCCTGGTCTAGCCCTGTCCATCTTGACCCCCACATCCTGGGAATGAGGAGAGAACTTAGATGACTGTGCACTCCATGAATCAGCCCATTTCCTTAGGCAACAAAGAGCTTCTCTCAGCAAAAAAGGATTAAGTAATTACCCAGAAGCATTGGCCAAAGCTGTCTCTTACCCATAAGCACCATCAAACTGCACAGCTCAACATAAAACCTGCCAACAGAAATGCATAGGGCTACAGAAGCGAAGTCAAAAGACCCTACCCACCATTCTCTATGGTCATATCCCCTAGGGAGATGGGGAAAGGGGAAGGAAAAGGGAAATCAGAAAAAAGACAATAATATTACAGGGAAAGGAAGAAAAAGAAAAAAAAAGTTCTACCTGCACAAAAATAGTTACAAAAATTACAAGTACCAGCTTCTCCAGATGAGAAGAAACCAGCACAAGAATTCTGGCACCATGAAAAATATGAATGTAGTGATACCATCAAAGGGCCACACTAGTTCACTTAGAACAGTCTATAACAAAAATGGGAACTCAGAAGTTACAAAGAATTCAAAGCATGGGTTGCACTGAACTCAATCAGATCCAGGACAAGGTTGATAATCAAGACAAAGAAACTTCTAAAGCAATACAGGAAATGAAGGAAGGGATAAAAATCTGAAAAAGAAATCACTTGGATCTTCTGGAATTGAAAAACTGCATTAAGAAATTTCAAAATATAATTGAAAGCTTAATCAATAGACTGGACCAAACAGAAGAAAGAATTTCAGAGCTTGATCACTGGTCATTCAAAGTAACTCAGTCAGACAATAATAAAGAAAATAGAATTTTAAAAAATGAAAAGTCTTCAATATATGTGGGATTATATAAAGTGACCAAACCTATCAAATATTGGTATTACTGAGAGACAAAGAAAAAGAAAATAAACTGAAAAACATATTTGAGGTAATAATTCAAAAAAATTCCTAATGTTGTAAGAAAGGTAGACATCCAGATAGCACAACTCCAGAGAGCACCTGTGAGATACTACACAAAAAGAGCATCACCAAGGCATATAGTTACCAGACTGTTTAAGGTCAATGTTAAAGAAAAAAGTCTTAAGGACAGCTAGAGAAAAATGTCAGATCACACACAAAAAGAACCCCATCATGCTAATAGAGGACTTCTTATCAGAAACCTTACAAACCAAGAGAGATTAGGGGCTTATTTTCAGCTTTCTTAAATAAAAGAAAATTCCATCTAATAATCTCATATCCTGCCAAACTAAGCCTCATAAATGACAGAGAAATAAAATCATTTTCAGATGAGCAAGCATTAAAGAAATTTGTTACCACTAGACCAACCTTACAAGAAATCCTTAAAGGAGTTCTAAACACAGAAATGAAAGAACAATACCTGCCACCACAAAAACACACATAGCACACAGACCCTATAAAACAATCATATAATAGAAACTATAAAATAACCAGCTAACAGCAACACAACACAATCAAAACTTCACATATCAATGTTAACCTTTAATGTAAAAAATTTAAACACCCCACTAAAAAGGCACAGAGTGTCAATTTGGATTAAAAAACAAGACCCATCTGTCTGCTGTCCTCAAGATGCCTGTCTCACATATAATGACACTGAAAGGCTCAAAGTGACAGACTGGAGGAAGATCTATCACCCAAGTGAAACACAGAAACAGAGCGGGAGTTGCTAGTCTTATACAAGATAAAACAAACTTTAAACTAACAAGATTTTTTTTAAAAAAGTCAGAGAAGGACATTATATAATGATAAGGGGAATAAGGGATTCAAATCAACAAAAAGATTTAAGTATCCTTGATATCTATGCATACAACATTGGAGCACCCAGAATCATCAAAAAGTATTTCTAGACCTACAAAAGACTTACGCAGCCACACAATAAAAGTTGTGGATGTCAACACCTCAGTAACAGGATTAGACAGATCATCAAGGTAAAAAACAAACAGAAATTTTGGATGTAAATTAAACACTTGACCAATTGAACCTAAGAGACATCTTCAGAATACTCCATCCCTCAAACACAAAAACATGCATTCTTCTCATTTTCTCATGAAACAAACTCCAAGATCAACCACATGCTTGGCCATAAAGCAAGTCTCGACAAATTTTTAAAAAATCAAAATCATGCCAACCATACTCTAAGACCCCATTTGAATAAAAATAGAAATCAATACCAAGAAGATCTCTCAAAACCCACAAAATTACATGGAAATTAAACAACTTGTTTCTGAATGACCTTTGGATAAAAAAATTAAGGCAGTAATAAAAAATTATTTGAAACAAATGAAAATGAAGACACAAAACACCAAAATCTCTGATGTAGCAAAAACAGTGTTAAAAGTTTATAGTGCTAAACACTTACCTAGATATCAAGATAATGGTCTAATATCTCACCTGGAAGAGCTACAAAATAAGAACAAATAAACCCTAAAACTAACCAAAACAAAAAAAGAAATAAGTAAAATCAGAGCATAACTGAACAAAATTGATATCCAAATATCCATACAAAGAAAGAATAAAATCAAAAGTTAATTTTTGAAAATATAAAGATTTATACACCACTAGATAAATTAACAAAAGAAAGAGAGAGAAGATCCAAATAAGCACCATTAGAAAGGCCAAAGGTGACATTATAACTGATCCCACAGACATACAAAAGACTCTCAGAGACTGCTATGAATACCTCTATGCACAAAAACTAGAAAATCTAGGGGAAATGGAAAAATTCCTGAAAACACATACTCTCCAGGTATTGAAACACAAAGAAATTGAAACCTTGAACAGGCCAATATTGAGTTCTGAAATTGAATCAGCAATAAAAAAAACCTACCAACCAAAGAAGTCATGGATCAGATGGATTCACAGATTAATTTTAGACACAAACAAGAGCTGGTACCAATCCTACTGAAACTAGTCCCAAAAATCAAGGTAGGTCCACTCCTCCATAACTGATTCTATGAATCCAGCATCACCCTGATATTAAAATCCAGCAAAGACACAATGAAAAAAGAAAACTACATGCCAATATCCCTCATGAACAGAGACACAAAAATTCTCAACAAAATACTAGCAAACCAAATCCAGCAGCACATCAGAAAGTTAATACACCATGATGAAGTAGATTTCATTTCTGGGATTCAAGGGTGATTCAACATATGAAAATCAACAAATGTGATTCACCACATAAACAGAATTAAAAACAAAAACCATATTATTATCTCTGTAGATGTGGACAAGCATTCTACGAAATCTTATGTTCCTTCATAATTAAAATCCTCAACAAACTAGGCATTAAAGAAGATATCTCAAAATAATAAGAGCCATCCATGACAAACCCACAGCCAACATTATAGTGATGCAGGATTTTTTGCTCTTTAGCTCAGCTAGGTCTGGGCTCTTGTCTCACAATGAGGAATAAATAGACATATGGACATCAAAGAGTGAGCGGAGTAGAATTTATTAAGAGAAAAGGAAAGCTGTCAGCAGAAAGAGGGGTCCTGAAGGCAGGTTGCCAGTTGCCTCTCTTCACAGTTGAATACAAGGGCTTCTATATATCCAAGCTGATGGGGCTGGGTCCCCTATTTGTATAAGATGTGAATTCCTGGTGGCTCCACCTTATCCTTCCAGTGTGCATGTGGGCCCTTAAGTCTGAGTCACTCCACATTGATTTATATTCCTTACTGCACGTGTTAAAGGATGGAGTTTTTCACTGCAGGCAAGTTTAGGCAAGCTCTCTGTGCACAATGACCTTGTCAGGTTGTAGGTTCTCTGAGGACCCTCACCTATCTGCCTTGGAGAGTTCTCTGCCTCCTACTTCTATCAATATTGAATAAACAAAAGCTGTAATCATTCCTCTTGAGAACTGGAACAGGACAATGATTCCCATTCAGATTCAATATAGAAGTGGAAGCCAGGGAAATCAGGCAAGAAAAGATATAGAAAACATCCAGTAGGAAAGAATTCAAATTATCTTTGCTTATAATATGATCCTACACCTAGAAAACTCTAAGGAGTCTACCAAAAGATCCCTAGAACTGACATATATGACTTCAGTAAAGTTTCAGAAAACAAAGTCAATGTACAAAAATCAGTAGCATTTCTATACATCAATAACGTTCAAGCTGAGAGCCAAATCAAGAACACAATCTCATTTACAATAGCTGCAAAAAAAGTAAACACATGGGAATATATCTAACCAAAGAGCTGAAAGATTTCTACAAGGAGAACTACAAAACACTGCTGAAAGAAATCATGGATGAAACAAACAAATGGAAAACTATTCCATGCTCATGGATTGGATGAATCAATATCACTATAATGTCCACACTGCCCAAAGTAATTTATAGATTCAACTCTATTCCTATCAAAGTACCGAAGTCATTCTTCACACAATTATAAAAAAGCTACTATAAAATTCATATGGAACCAAAAAAAGGATCCCAAGTAGCCAAAGTTTTTATAAACAAAAAGAACAAAGCTAGAGGCATCATGCTACCTTACTTCAAATTATACTAAAAAGCAACAGTAACCAAAACAGCATGGTACTGCTACAAAAACAGACACATAGATCAATGGAAAAGAATAGAGAACCCAGAAGTAAAACCACTGACCTACCACCATATGAACTTTGACAAAGCTGTAAAACAGAAGCAACGGGGAAATAACTCTCTATTCAATAAATGGTGCTGGAATAGCTGACAGGCCATATGCAAAAGATTGAAACTGGACCCCTATCTTTCACCATACACAAAAAATTAACTCAAAATGGATTAAGAATTTAAATGTAAGACCTCAAATTATGAGAATCTAGAAGAAAACCTAGGAAACCCCATTATGGATATCAGATCTTGGGAAAGAATGTATGACTAAATCTTCAAAAGCAATCGCAAGAAAAACAAAAATTGACAAATGGGACCTAATTAAACTAAAGAGCTTCTATACAGCAAAAGAAACCATCAACAAAGTAAACATACAACCTACAGAATGAGAGAAGATATTTGCAAACTATGCATCTGACAAAGGTCTAATATCCAGAATCTATAGGGAACTTAAAGAATGGAAGAAGCAAAAAACAAATAACCCCATTAAATATAGGCAAAAGACATGAACAGATATTTCTCAAAAGAAGACATACGGCCGGGCGCGGTGGCTCATGCCGTAATCCCAGCACTTTGGGAGGCCAAGGCGGGCGGATCACGAGGTCAGGAGATGGAGACCATCCTGGCTAACATGGTGAAACCCTGTCTCTACTAAATACAAAAAATTAGCTGGGCATGGTGGCAGGCACCTGTAGTCCCAGCTACTCGGGAGGCTGAGGCAGGAGAATGGCGTGAACCCGGGAGGCGGAGCTTGCAGTGAGATCACGCCACTGCACTCCAGCCAGGGCGACAGAGCGAGAATCCGTCTCAAAAAAAAAAAAAAAAAAAAAAAAAAAAAAGAAGACATACAAGCAGCCAACAGCCATATGAAAATATGCTCAACATCACTAATCATTAGAGAAATACAGATTAAGACTACAATGAGGTTATCATCTCACACCAGTCAGAATGGCTTTTATTATATTAAAAACTCAAAAACAACAGATGCTGAGGAGGTCACAAAGAAAATGTTTACCACGTACAGCGTTGGAGAGAATGTAAATTAGTTCAGCCACTGTGAAAAGCAGTTTGGATATTTTTCAAAGAACTTAGAAGTAGCATTCGACCCAGCAATTCCATTACTGGGTATATATATACCTAAAAGAAAACAAATTGTTCTACCAAAAAAACACAAGCACTCTTATATTCATCACAGCATTGTTCATAATAGCAAATACATAGAATCAACCTAGTTGCCCATCAATGGTGGATTGGATAAAGAAAATACGGTACACATACACCATGGAATAGTATGCAGACATAAAAATATATCAAAATCATGTCCTTTGCAGCAACATGAATGTAGCTGGAGGCCATTATCCTAAGTGAATTAATAATGCAAGATCAGAAAACCAAACACCACATGTTCTTAATTATAAGTGGTAGCTAAACATTGGATACTTATGAACATAAAGATGGCAACAGTAGACACTGGTGACTATTAGAGGGAGTAGGGCAGGATGAGGGAAAGACTTGAAAAACTAACTATTGAGTACTGAGCCCACAATATACCTGGTAACAAACCTGCATATGTAACAACTGAATCTAAATAAAAGTTGAAATTGTAAACAAAAGATAACAAAACAAAATTCAAAAACAAAGAGGAAATCCATTGTACTATCCCTACAACTAAATTTAGAAAATAAAACAATTTTAAAAATTTCTTCCAAAAAATGACACAATAAAAATAACCTCCTTCTACAGACAAATACTTTTTAAAATCTAGCTACAACTAAAATAGCTACCAGTTAATTTTCTCAATGGATTTTCATATGTATTTTAAAATTCATATTTAGAAAAATATTTATCTGCTGCAAATAAAGCAGGCCAATTTTTCACTACTAGTTATTGGAGAAACATATTAACCCCAGCCACACTAAACCTGCTATATGAATATGTATTCTATTCTCCAGAGACTAGGCATCTTTATCAATGGAGATCTGTATAAATGTATCTACATATCTGAAAGATAGACTTTTATCTGAAGAAAAATTCAAATTACGTGGAAATTTTCTTTATCATCTCCTTTGTGGGTATAGAAACATACAAGTAATAAATCAGAACTAATACTATGTATCATTCATTTACTCATAAGTTATATATTAAAGGTTTTCTGTCAAGAACCATGCTATGGGCCCACATCAGATAACTATTGCAAAATGTTAAACTATGTGCTTTCTTAGAACACAAAGTAGTATAATAATTCAATTGCTATTTAAGAAAAATAGGATGTTCACTTTTGCCTCATCTAAGGAACTTATCCATGTGTTTTTTTTAATCAAATGAATCATAGGCAAAAACTCTCAGCATTGCTAAGGCAGGGGAAAAAAGTAAGAAAAAGAAGCATCTAAAAGAAATGGAGCATAAAGTGAAGCAAGATCTTTGGAAAATTCAGTTCCCAAAAGGTTTCATGGTATGTAATTTATTCATGGCTTCTGCCAGATGGAGTTAATAGCAGTTGCCTATCCTCTTGGTTGTGGTAGTCATCCCCTAAAATGTTTCAGCTTATATCCTAAGAAAGAAGGCATCACTGCTCAATTACAATATTATCCCTGCTGCACAATATTCTATAGATGAAGAGGCTATGAAACAGGCATGTAGATGTGTCTGAGGCTAGTCAGTACTGTTTAGGGATTGTATTTCTACTGCTGGAATTCACACGGCCCTATGGACTCATCTCAATGAATCCCTCATCTGACCTATGCCCCTTATTTTATATTTTTGTTTATTTGGAATATATATGCAAAAAGGAAAGTCAAAATAATTGTTTGATTACATAAAGAGAGAATAAGGATTCACAAAATACCAGATAAGAGTCTGAACTTCCACTTACATTTTGTGAATTTCTTATATATCATCCTCACGCATTTAGCCTAATTTTATTTGATTCTTGTAGCAACCCCGTAAGAAAATATTTGTATTTCTAAATTTTAGCTGAGATAATAAAATCTCAATAATATACTTAGTAAGTAGTTGGCCTGAATTGGACTGACTTGATCCAATTCACCTACATTCCAATCTAGTCTATTTTGTTACAGCTGCCACTCCTCTCTGACACTTGCAACAAGATTCAACATTGAACAGAAACTGGATAAGTGGGTGGGCCAGGTAACTAAAAAGTCTGTCATTAACTGATCTGAGGTATATAAATTGCATCCACTCTAGATTTCCTTAAAGTTACCATCACCAGATCACAGACAGGAAATGAGAGTTTTAGCTTTAAATTTGTAAGAAGCTATCTGACACAGTCTTGATTCTATGTGTAAAGTGAACGAACATCAAGACCACATGATGCCTACAGAAACCATGACCTACATCATTTAATGACAGCTCTGAGTAATAAATGCTAGCTTAGACAAAATGGGGATCACCCTTAGAAGGTGTCATTGAATATAAATATCAAAGATACATCACTCAGAGAAGATAAAATATAAGTACACGCAGGATATTTATGAGACTGAAGACTAAGAAATATTAAAGGGCAGTAAAAGCAGCATCTGCCACATTATACAAAACAGGCTGATACCTAAGGAAGTACAGATATGTAGTTACTTTTCAGAAGAAAAGTGCGCAACTCATGGAAGATCAGAAGTCAAAAACCGACTTGCAGGGACAGATGGGTCGTGTCAAGAATAGGTCTGCAGGGACAAGTATAATCAATACTAAGGATTGGGTTAGAAAGCAGGGCCTGAGGACAACTGAAACTTTCATCAAATTAAAAAATATCTGCTCAGGAATTCTACCTAGTACTAAAAGATTACATTTCTTTCTTTAGCAATTAAACCAATTCGGAAATCTCCTGCATATGGCTTTTTAAAATGGGTGCAACAATAATATTACATTCACAACTTTAGTGGCTTTACTCTTTTACTTTCTTATCAGTAAAAATATCTAGTTAATAAAATTGTCCAAGTTAATACTTCAGTATTAGAAGAAACTAACTGCTGTAACAAATCGACCTCAAAATTTATAGTGAGCTAATCGAGATAGAAGTTTAATTTTCACTGACATCAACTATCCAAAGAAGTGTTCCTAAACAGTATTAGCTTAGTTTTGCTCAGTGGTTCAAGGATCCAGGTTCCTTCCATTTAGGAGTCCTGCTATCCTTTAGGGTCCCATCGTTATTTGCATTTAGCAAGTGAAGAGGCAAGACAGGAAAGAGAAGGCACAGTCTTCTTAAAAGGCTTGAGCAGAAAGTGCACACTTCTCTTCTACTCACAATTCTTTAGCTACAGGCCTGTCATATGGCCACACCTAATAGCAAGTAAGACTCGCTATATGTCCAAAGAGAGGAGAAGAATGTGAATTTTGATGAACATGTAGCAGTTTTTGCCAATGAATCATTTTCCACTTACATATATGGGTATCCAGTGAACACCAAGTGTGATAGTAGCAGTAACCAAAGGCTGAAGTACATTTAAAATGAGGAACACCCAAACAAAATTGAAGTATAATATGGTAGGTACCAACCAATTCAAGAGAGCTAAGCAGAATTCTAAAGCCTAGAAAACAGTCATGTGCCACTGAACATGACTAGATCTTATTCCTTCTAACTGTATTTTTGTACCCATTAACCATCTCCTCCTTATACTCAATTCCCAACTACTCTTCCTGAACTTCTTTTTTATTCTAACATAGATACTTGCTTTTCTTGTTCTCCCCTCGTATGTTGTATTTTAATATTCATGGATAGGGATATTCATAGATAAAATATTTCTTTTGATTACATATGTGAATTTTTCCAATTTGATTTGAGGAATAAAGACAATAACCTGGACATTGGAGAATACATATATGTCTAGAAATAGCCTAGAACTATCTGTGAAATTTCCCAGCATTTAAGAGTAATAATCATCTTACAATTTGTTATGAGCCAAGAAGAAGGAAAGAAATATTTAAATGAGACCCACAGAGAGCACACATCTCCAAATGGCAGGCAAGGTGGTGGAGTAGAAAAAAGAAGGCTACATTTCAGGCTGGCTTTCTTGTCTTCTGTCATAATCCTGTGTCTATTGAAGTTGATACTAAATGAGAGATTGGTGAGTAAAGTTGACAGGATTTTATCTATGTGAATTTACTCCTTTAAAGTAAACTTGACAGATTGCCTTGCTCATTCCCATGACAACAGCAAGCATCTAAAGGTCAACAATATTTCCTAAAATTCTGAAAGCCTATTGAACTCCTTCTTTTCAAGGGCTTTAAAGCTAAGAAAGGCAGCAAAGCTGGGCACTGTGGCTCACGCCTATAATCCCAGCACTTTGGGAGGCTGAGGCGGGTGGATCACCTGAGGTCAGTAGTTCGAGACCAGCCTGACCAACGTGATTAAACCCTGTCTTTACTAAAAACTACAAAAATTAGCTGGGCATGGTGGCAGGTGCCTGTAATCCCAGCTACTTGGGAGGCTGAGGTGAGAGAATCGCTTGAGCCCGGCAGGGGGAGGTTACAGAGAGAGGAGATTGCGCCATTGCACTCCAGCCTGGGAGAAAGAGCAAGACTCCGTCTCATAAAAAAAAGCAATCCAATAAAACAGAAAATTTCCAAAATCCAAGAGAACTAATGAATGCAGTTTAAGCAGAGAATAGAAAATCAGTGGTCAGAGAATTGAGAACAACTGAGGATGCCAGCCTCCCATTGCACTGAATAGCTCACTTACACATGGGATTTTGAATCATGTTTCCACTAGTCCCTGGCCTGTGAATCTCTCTGGTCAGGAATACTAGCCTAACTAATAAAACATCAAGAAATAACCCATATACAAATTTAGAAACCTTGCTTTCAACACACAAAAAGGTATTGAAGAAATTGAGTCAGCAGCAATACCTAGTCTTTTACTCTCTTATTTCTTCTTATGTGGATAGAATTACTATTGCGATTACCAACATTTTAGGGAATTAGAATTAATTTTCTCATTTTTATTTTTCCCTACTCTATTCTTAAAGGGATAGAGAATTTTTTTTAATTACAGTAAATTTGATGTTAGTTTCAGGGCAGCAGATAATAGAATTTGGGTCACGGGAGTGGTGATTAGTGCATATGATAGCATTCCTAGAAATAAACTGAGTCACCTTGAGGTGCCCTCTTTGAATCACTTGAGTTTGATTCAATAGTTAGATTCCACATCTTGAGTTATTTTTCTAAGATTTATCTCTTTTTAATTTCTATGTGAATGTTACTAGTCAGTTTTAGGGAAATTAGACTTTTTCCTGGATTGCCCTGAGGAAATGTTTTCTCAGGATGGTCTTCCTTGAAGTTGTTCAAACACATGTCTATGGGAAATTCACTATATCAATATGTATTATTAATTATGTATATGAACTGGAGCACAAAGAAACAGTATACTGGCTCAAAGAAGTTGCATAGTTTGCTTTGTCAAGAATGGGTACGGGTCTGATTAGAGACTGATCGTTCTATTCTAAAGTCATTAAGAGAATAAAGACAGCAAAGAACAAATCTAGCAAAACTGGGTTTACCAACACGGATAATGGTTTTGTCAAAATATTTAAAATGACACTGAAATAGCTGCTTTTTACATTTTTTATATTTTACTTTGAAACAACTGCTTTTTGCAAGATACTTGTTTTATTTTTCTTTAATTTTTATTTTACTTTCCTAGAAAATCTCACATGGCAGAATCTATTTGAAAGGGACCAATATTCTGCCATTACAGAATTATAATATTTTTAATAAAATTCACTGCTTCAAAACAATTTGAATTTTTGCAGTCTTTAGTAAATAGTCTAAGGAAGGATTTGAGCTTAGTGCTTTAAAATTTCAAGTTTTCATTTGGCACATGTTGGGGCATAAGAGCATACGGTGCTATGCTGTGTAAGTTTGATGGACATCATTGATAACTGCATAATGGACACTATCTTCAGCTTCTTCATTCACATTACATTAAATAAATATTAAAATCTTTATATTTACTTTTCACAGTATTAATTCTTGATCAAAGCAATAAAAATATTATTTGCTTTTCAATTTACATGTTCTTTTCTAAAAGGCTTAGGTTATTTGAATGGAAAGTATAATGATTCAAATGCAAGTGAGAAGAATCTCTATTACCAAAATACAAATTCAAGAAGGTAAAACAGCATGCCTTATATAATAAGTAGATATTGACACATAGAAGGAAATATACAAAATGTAAATATATTCAGAAGCTGATTTAAAATTTTAAGTTAATTTCTACATGGTTTTGAACAGCATTTCATTGCAGCAGAATACACTCTGTCTCCCTAGAGCTATTTTTATCATTTAGCAAAAATATTAGTGTCATATACTTCTAAGTTACTAATTTTAAATAATATAAAGAATCTATAACCCTGTCCCCCATTTATTGTGGTTATCTGTACATTTCAATTTTGGCAATCACAGAAAATTTTCTCTAATATTGTAAGGTAACAACAGTTTTGCATTAAAAACCTTGCATTAATAGTATACCATTTTTCTTTTTGACTTTCAACTCATTGAAGCATGAACATCCTTTTGGCTGGATAATTGGGTTTTTGTATGAGAAACAAACTTTTTGAATTGGCACTAGAGTACAAATTTAATTAAGGACACAATTCCTGTAATAATCAGAACATCTGTGCCATGACCAAATAGTTCTCACTGCTTACATTTTTAAGGCCTTTATTTTAGACTCTACAAAAGGTTCATTTGGCTTCTGATATTGAACATCTATTTGCAATTTTTAAACTTTCTGAAGCAATTTGGTGACTATATATAGTTCATGTGAAGTTAATTATAACAAGTAACTAGAAATTTTTAAAGTCTATTTTAACAAAATGCAGATTTTAAAAACTTAAGAAGGGAAATTTTGTTAAAAAACACTAATTTAGAGAAGTTGTACATATTTAAAAATCAATTTCCCATAAAATCATTAGTGGAAAAACAAGACTTTTATATTGAGAATTATTTCTTCTTTCTTATATCTTTATAATGGAAGAGAGAGACGTTAACATGAATATACAAATGAATATAGATTTACCAAACGAGGGACATATTCCTATAACCCCCACAACCATCAAGTTAAGGTTAAACTTTGAGAAAATATTAAAATGTCATGTACAATTTTTGGCTTTGAGAAAAACAGGGAAGGCAGGGGTATTCAGAGGCAGAATAAGAAAGACAGCCACCAAATCTTTGAGGACAAAGACATTAGACAGAGAACATGATGAGAGAACATGTACCACTGTTTTTTAAGTTTCTAAAATGATTTGTCTTTTTTTTTTTTACTTTTCAATGCAGTAGACGAGAGTAGACATGTTTATAAATAATAATACTACTAAAAATAGTAAATGAGCAATTGAGAAATTGTAGAGTCACATAAGCATGGATGCATATGTGTTATCAACATAACTAAAGCAGTAACATAAACAAATGGAGTGTAAAAAACCCACCAAAACACCATCAGTTGGTTTCTACTTTGTTGTAAGAAAGATTTTCATTATACCAACCATAAAAGAGAGTCACACAGAAAAGGCTTTGATATATTTTTCTGCCTAGTACCATCCAAGGCATAAAAGTAGAATTCAACAAACAACTTGAATTAAAATAATTTATTTAAAAAGCAAAAACTTATTTTAAAAAATATTGACACTGTATGTCTTTTTTTATCCCAGTAGAATGGAAGTTTCATGAAGTCATGTTTTGTTGTCTGCTTTCTTCATTGTCATATCCTTAATCCATAAAAGAGTGCCTAGGATTAAATACAAGTACACCTCCAAGATATTGTGGGTTCAGTTCCAGACGAACACAATAAAGCAAATCACAGGAATTTTTTGGTTTCCCAGTGCATATACAAGTTATGTTTACACTATACTGTAGCACATTAAGTGTGAAATAGTATTATATTTAAAAAGAGTACATACTTTTAAAAAACACTTTGTTGCTAAAAAATGCTAACAATCATCTGAGCCTTCAGCAAGTCATAATCTTGGTGGTGGTGGAGGGTCTCGTCTCAATGTTTGTGCTTGCTAACTGATCAGGGTAGTGGTTACTGAAGATTGGATGGTTGTGGAAATTTATTAAAATAAAACAGTAATAAAGTTTGCCTCATCAGTGAATTCTTCCTCTCACAAATGATTTCTCTGTAGCATGCAATGTTGTTTGATAGCATTTGACCCACAATAAAACTTCTTTCAAAATGGGACTCAATCCTTTCAAACCTGCTGCTGCTTTATCAACTAACTCTAATATTCTAAATGCTTTGTTGTCTTTTCAACAATGTTCTCAGCATCTTCACTAGGAATAGATTCCGTCTTAAAACCATTTTATTTGCTCAGCAATAAGAAGTAACTCCTGATTGCTTCAAGTTTTATCATGAGATTGCAGTAAATCAGTCACACCTTCAAGCTCCACTTCTAATGCTAGTTTTCTTGTTATTTCTACCACCTCTGTAGTTACTTCTGCTGAAGTCTTGAACCATAAAAGTCATTTATGTGTACTGGAATTAACTTCTTCCAAACTCCTGTTAATGTTAGTATAATGACCTCCTCCCATGAATCACGAATGTTCTTAATGGGATCTAGAATGATGAATTCTTTCCAAAAGGTTTTCAATTTACTTTGCTCAGATCCATCATAGGAATCATTATCTATGGCAGCTATAGCCTTACAAAATGTTTTTCTTAAATAAGACTTGAAAGATGAAATTACTCCTTGATCCATGGGCTGCTGAATGAATCACTATCTATGGCAGCCATAGCCTTACAAAATGTTCATCTTGAAAGATGAAATTATTCCCTGATCTATGGGCTGCTGAATGAATATTTTGTTGGCAGACAGGAAAACATTGATCCCCTTGTACTTCTCCATCACAGTTCTCAGTGACCAGGTGCATTGTCAATGAACAGTACTATTTTGAAAGGAATCTTTTCTGAGCATTAGTTCTCAACAGTGGGCTTAAAATATTCACTAAACCATGATGTAAACATATGTTCTGTCATCTAAGCTTTGTTTTAGTTATGGAACACAGTCAGAATAGATTTAGCATAATTCTTAAGTGACTCAGAATTTTCAGAACGGCAAGTGGGTATTGGCTTCAACTTAAAGTCAATAACTGCATTACCCCTTAACCCATTTACACCTAGTGTTCCATTATTGGAATGCTAAGCCTGTGGGAGTTATTTATATCCTACTGTTCAAGGTCATCACCACGGTCTGATTTTTCGTACAAAAAATTTGCAATCTCCAGCTATAAATGGGTTAACAAGGGAATCACCCTGTCCTTGAAGCTTTGAAACCAGATACTGACTTCTCCTCTCTTGCTATGAAAGTCCTAGATGGCATCTTCTTCCAATAGGAGGCTGTTTCATCTACATTGAAAATCTGTTGTTTAGTGTATCACCTTCATCAATTTTCTTTGCTAGATCTGGATAACTTACTGCTTCACCTTGAACTTTTATGTTATGGAGATGGCTTCTCTTTTTAAACTTCATGAACCAATCACTGCTAACTCCAAACGTTTCTTCTACAGCTTCCTCATCCCTCTCAGCTTTCAGAGAATTGAAGAGAAATAGGGCCTTGCTCTTGATTAGGCTTTTTCTTAAAGAAATGTTGTAGCTGGTTTGATCTTTTTTCCAGACCACTCTAACTTTCTCCATATCAGCAATAAGAATGCTTTGCTTTGTTTTCATTCATGTGTTCACTTGAGTAGCACTTTTAATTTCCTTCAAGAATTTTTGCTTTGAATTCACAGCTTTACTATTTGGTTCAAGAAGCCTAGCTTTTGGCCTATCCTGGCTTTTGGCATGCCTTCCTTACTAAGCTTAATAATTTCTAGCTTTTGATTCAAAGTGAGAGATATACAACTCTTCTTTTCACCTGAACCCTTAGAAGCCATTGTAGGGTTATTAATTGATCCTATGGTATTATTGTGTCTCATGGAAAGTGGATGTCTAAAAAGAGAAAACAATATGGGGGAATGGCCAGAGAATGTAGAAGTCAGAACACATACAACATTTACCAGTATAGTTTGCCACCTTACATAGTGCAGTTTGTGATGCCCCAAAATAATTACAATAGTAATACCAAAGATTACTGATCACTGATCAATATTACATTTATAATAATTCAAAAATTTGAATACTGGGAGAACTACCAAAAATGTGACACAAAGACATGAAGTGAGCCCATGCCATTAAAAAAATGGCACCAATAGACATGTTTGACACAGGCTTGCCACAAGCCTTCAACTTATAAAATGCACAGTATCTGGGAAGCACAATAAAGTGAAGTGCAATAAAATGAGATATGCCTGTAGATGCTCAATAAATCTTTTTCTTACAATGAAGGAGCAAATAGCATGCACACTTAGAGTACAGAAAGTGCCATTGTCTTTACCATGGCCAGGATGAAATATATCTTTAACGTGTCATCTACCCTTGATGTGATTCCATGCTAAGCAAAAACCATCCAATTAATGAGCCATTCTCACAGACAAAAGTAATATGTATGGTCGCTGAAAAGTTATACCCTCCATTACAAGATATATAATCTCTATTTCATTCAATTACTCAACAATTCAGAGAAATCTCCTCTCTGACCCCAACGAGGCATCCTGTTGTTGGTACATGGCAACTTTATACACATCAACAAAGCCAAGATTTCCAAGCCAACACCGTTTGTGAGGGAAAAGCTGTGATAAACAAAGAGTTCAAAGAGACCATGTAAAATGATTATTGTGGAAAACCCTGGAATTTTTCCTTTTACTCACTTGATTTCACATTCTGTGTTCAAACTATTTTATCGCTTTTGGTGATAGAATTGAATGATTTAGATTTATAAATTTTAAAAGTGATGGCATATTCTGTTAATTCACAGTACACCCATTTGACCTGAATCATTATCTGTCAAAACAGAGACTTGGATTAATGACAATTTCACATATCAGATCTCAAAGGTTTGTGGGCATATCTAGAATGCTCAGTACATACTCTAAAAAGTTTCTTCATTATTGATGATAAAGGAATCCCAAGACAGATAACAATGAATGGCCTGCCTGTTGATAGGTCACTTAATGAGATATTCTTTTGGGTCCAAGTATCCCAGTATACCAACAAATATGGAGAGAGCTCTTACCTGCCAGTTGGAAACCCAGTGCCATAGACTAAAAGTCTCCCCCAAAATTCAGATGTTGAAATTTTAATCCCCAATGTGATGGTTTAAGGAGTTGGTAACTTTGGGAAGTGACAAGAGTATGAGAGTAGAGCCTCATGAATGAGATGAATGCCCTTATTTAAAAATAAATAAATAAATAAACAGCTCCTTCACCCTTTTTTACCATGTGAGGACAGAGAAAGAAGGCACCATCTCGGAATCGGAAAGTGAGCCCTCACAAAACATCAAGTCCATTGGCAGCCTGATCTTGGACTCCTTAGCCTTCAGAACTGTGAAAAATAAATTTCTGTTGTTTATAAAACACCTAGTTTATGGCATTTTGTTACAGCAGCCCAAACAGACTAAGACACTGGTAATTAAACAATAATCTCATATCCAAATGGAAAACTTAAATATTTTGATAAACTAATTGGGAAGCACTACCTTAACATCATACTATCTAATGAAAAGTCTTCATCGAAGTTCAACTTTTTGCTATTGAAATAAAAATAATAATTAATTCATTAAAAGTGTTATAAAAAGCAACAGTCTTACAGGTTCCTAAATACACCAGCCTCGTTCTACCTCAAGTCTTTGTATTTTCTGTTCCACTGCCTGGAATACTTTTCTCCCAGAGTTTTATAACTTACTCTCTTGCTTTCTTTAGATGATGACTGTTGTAATTCTCGTTCCAGTTTAACTCACTCAGTGAAGACTTCTGTGGACATCCTCCTTATAGAAAAAATGCCACATGTTCTCTCCTAAAATACATTGTTTAGCAAAATATGAGGATACTAAATACATTTTCCAGTGTTATTTTTTCTAAAAATTAAGTCAGTTTTAGCAAGTGTTTGGTTGAATATTTTATAAAATATCTAATGACTGGAGGCTATTGTTCAGGCAACCAGATAAAATACCACATGCTCACCATACCCTGTAATATTTTTCTCCACATATCTAATCACTGTATAATATAGATTATGTTTTTATTATTTATTTTGTTTATCCGTTTCTCCTAATAAAATGTAGTTTTCATCAGGATAAAAATTTTTGTCTACTTTGTACTCTGCTGTATCCCTAGGACCTAGACCAAAACCTAACAAATAGCAAGCACTCAGCAACATTATTGAGTGACTAAATAAGCAAATAGATTTATGAAAGTGAGTTGTCCCTTGAGGATCGGATTGCTTTTAAGTGAAGCAACTGCATCCCTGTCTGGATTTGTAAAGGCATGGCCAAACCCTGCACTATAGGAACAACTATATAACCAAGTTATTACCATTCTGTGAAGCATCTTTATCTAGGGTGCTATTTGTCTTCCTTATGTGAAATCTCTTTCTTTTTCTTAACTTTATCAAATTATATTATACTTACCTGGAACCTATATGTTTAAGTTGCTTTTGAAATGTTAGTTTACTGTTAGTCTTGATTAAATAATGTGAACATGGGCATGTTTCTTAATGTGTATGCATATCTAGTTCTCCATTTGTAAAACACGTAATAAGAAGTTGTTTTGAAACTCAAGTGAAATACTGTACATAAAAGAACTTCAAAAATATCACAATAATGTATTAGTTTCCTATTGCTGCTATAACAAATTACCACCAATTTAGTCACTGAAAATACAATTTTATAGCTTTTTTAGGTTGAAAGTCTGATACAGGACTCATCAAGCCAAAATCTAGGTGTTGGCAGTGCTGCATTCCTCTCTGGAAGTACTAGGAGTCTGTTTCCTTGTCTTTTCCTGCTTCTAGAAGCTTCCCACATTCCTTGGTCCGTGGCTTGCTTTCTCCATTTTTAAAATGAACAATATTTTTCCTCTCTGATCATCTTTTCATAGTCACATCTCCCTCTGACTGCAACTAGGAAAAGTTATACACTTTTAAAGATTCATGGAATTAGATTGGCCCTATCTGGATTATCCAAGATAATCTCTGCATCTCTGTGTCCTTAATTTAATTACATCTGCAAAATCCCTTCTGGCATGTCAGATAACATATTCGTAGGTTCTAAGGATTAGAATGAGAACAATTTGGGGAACCATTATTCCACCTACTCTACCTTCTCAGGGAGTGAAAAGGGCTGTGAAGTAAAATAAAGCAAGGTCAAAACATCCAGAAGGTGGAGTGCTGGGGGGCATATGTCCTTTTCTTAGCTCTGGTAGGAATATCTGAAATGTCAGACTAGCACTTTTCATACAGATTAATTTTGACTTTAATAAACAGAAAATATGATGACACTTATAAAACATTTAAAGAGTAGTCTGGTTATAATCATAGCCTACAGTTTCATTGCCCACCTTTAATAAAACTTGTCCTGAGTGCTGTTTTGGACAGTAGACTCCCCATGATGTCCATACCATCATGGACCCCAAAACATTTACTTTTGTCCTCTTCAAGACATTTCTACCTTTGCGCACAGAGCAATCTCCTGCACACTTACAAAGAGAGCTGCTTTGGTGGCTACCTGGCAGAAGAGCTAAAGTTCCTGCTATAATTTCTAGGTGATTATTTCTATCTTTTTCAAAACACACCAACAAACCCTTGCTAATTCTGCATGGATGGGAAAAATACCTTACTATTGCTTGACATCACTATGCTTCTCCCAGTTTGCTTTTTTATTTGCTTTTTTAACTAGAATATTGTCTTCTCTCCTTAGTTTCTCCTAGTGATTGTTCACACTTTAACCAAGCACTCTATTCTATAATTTTGCTCTATAATGTATTGAGCATTTTTACAGTATGAAAAGCAAGAGTCTTATTATATCCCATATGACTGACCATGATCAAAAATTAGAAGATTTCACCAATGTAATTACAAAGATAGCTAAAGCTTAATTATTATGTACCTAATTTTTAAATTGTTTTTAATTTAAAAATATAAAATACATTATGTATTTTTATTTAAATTGAATATATTAATTAAAGACATTATTGCAGCCATTCATTACCACCATATGCTGCAATAGTCACGTTTGTTTTTCACTTTTTTCCCATGGTGTTATCATATCTGCTGATATCATATCTGCTGCTATCATTTAGTACTTACCTGAGTTTTATAACCTTCAGTTTCTAATCTGCTATAACCTGAATAAATGTATAAACATGTGTATCAAAATAGTTTGAAAAACTCCGAGAAAAATGGCCTTAAAAATGTCATATAAATAGAGTGTATGAAGTTGAATGTACACAGCTCTCTACTGTGAAAAGTGGAGTTTTATTATTTCATACAACTCCCATTGTTAAAAGTGTAGAGTGTATATTTACTCCCCCTGCTACATTAACCTGAAATGATTATTTTCTTTTTGTTTTATGAACTATGTGAATAAACTCTCTCCTATGTTGCTACTTTCCAAAAAAACACAGAGGGATAGAACTCACCAGAAGGAAAGGAAGCTCTCTTTACTTAGAAAAGGAATGATCAGCCATGGGATAGAGAAATTAAGAGATTTGTGGAAGAATTGAAGAGTAGAGACTATATGATGATAAGGATAGGCCAGTATGGAAAAACTAAAATGAATTGAACTCTTGTTAAATTATAAATGTTTGGCTAACTTTCCCTAACTTGTTCCACCATTTCAAGATAGACTAGAGAATCACGGTAATTTAGAAATTGTTAAAAAAATTTAAAAAAGAAGGAAGATTTTGGAAAAAGGTAAATGACATTTCAAATTTCCTTCTAGCCTTTTCAATTCATATTACCTTATGTGCAAAACTGGCAAAATGATCCAGGAAGCATTAAGTGAGATGTGAGATGCTGAAGTTCTGTAAATTCCTCTAAATCTGGGTCCTCTCTTACATACTAGCCTATCCACCACATACTCCCTCTTTCTGGAATGCTTCTTACTTGCTTATCTTGGTAACCAGCAAAATTCTCAATTATCTGATGGATAAGTGAGAACTGCCTTTGTTTTATTTCCTCATTGATCCATCACCCCAATTTTATCACATGAATTTGATTGCTTTGCCACTTGTTTGTCTTTTCTTACAGAATGGATGCTCCACGAGGGCAGGCACAATATTATTTCTTCACTGTTAGCACCAATAAACAGTTGCCCAGCAACTGACACACATTAAATTCTCAATGTATAGTTTTTGACAAAATTAACACTATGATAAATGTTTATGCTCCTGCTCAAACTTGGATTTGGCCTTAAGATGTACTACAGCCCACTAAGCAAGGAAAAAGAGACATGTTGAAAGCCGAGGTGCCTATTATGAAGAGGAAGCTTTGACATGTTTCTAAGATTTTTTTATTCCTATCATCATCTTTTCTTGTGCCAAGAAACATTGTGAAGAACTGTGTAAAGGATGAAAAATTTGCCTTTTATTGCCTATGAACTATTTAAAGATTCTTTAACTTGTAGAAAACAGGTAATAATGCAAATAAATTGGGTTCAGTGGACTAAAATTTATCATTTCCCTATGCATATGGGCCAGGTTTACATCTACTTATAAATGCATTTATTATTTCTGATTGCCTACCTTAAAATATCTTTCAGATTGAACTAAATGAAAGATAAAAAAGAGTATGTTATAAAAAATATTTTTTCTGAACGCCACATGATGCTGATTAAAAAAAAAAACACATGAATTTGACACAGTAAGCATCCTCCTGTCATTCTCAGCTTGTTCCTTATAATCACCTTCTTTATCTAATAACAGCAGGCTGGAACACGTTTTTTAATGACAACATGGTATTTAATCTTTCATTTTTAAAAGGAACATTAATTATGCAGTTTCATAAAAAATAAACGAAGGTGAAGATGTATGCCAACATCAATTTACAGCATTCTTTTGTTTAATTAATATTATTTCATGTTTTAATTTGAAGTGGGTTTTGCTCATCAACATGAAATGTTTAATTTATATGAAACTTCATTCAGAAGACTGCCTCCGGAGAAATAACAATTTATTCCAGGCTATGTACACACATTTTCAATAAAATATTCAGTTCACGGGGGATTTTGTTGCAAGCATCATTCACAGTTAACTTGAGCTCTCAACGATCCAGGCTAATTCTAGATAAATACATTACTTGGTAATTTATAGAATATGCAAATAGAGTGATTTTCAGCCTTTGATTGTCTCCAGTTCCTACCAATTTAATTTCCCTACATTTGTCAAATCCACGGTCCAACTGATTTGAACTGGCAACATCCTTATTCAAGGTTCTTATTGTCCTTATTCAGATCGTAACAGTAATCTCCGAAGCTGGTCTCCCCAGTTCTTTTTACATCATCCGCAATACAGTCAGAGTAACCACTTCATTTAACCCAGAACCTTCTACATTCTCTTATAATTCCTTTTTTTTTTTTTTACTTTTAGAGAGCACAAACTATGCAATATTAATATTCTACTTAAATATTTAAATGAGCCCTCTTGTCACTTGCCCCCAACTCCACTCACACCCTGTGCTGCATAGTTCTATTTGCAGGTCTCCGAAGCTTTCTTAAATTCTATCCACACTCTTTCTGTAATATTCTTCAACACTCCATATTCCTTCCAATTCTGACTAATTCCTATTCATCCTTCAAATCCCAATTCAGAGCAACTTCTTCATGAAATCTTCCATGATAACTGCCTGATACAGATTTATCAGATTTAGTCTTCCGAGCTTCCAAAAAACTCCATTTATATGTAGTTCCTCACTATTCTGTAAACGTCTTAAGATCTAGGACTTTATTTCAGTTGTAATATTTTGACTGATTTACCTGGATATTACTGGGAAATAATAAAATCCTATGAATGCACTTTTTGTAAATGTGAACTTGTTATGTTTTATGCAGCCCAATTAAAGTCCCCAGTTGTAGTTATCCATACATAATTAAGAACACCGAATAATTTCAGGCATTTTTGGGGGGAATGAACACTAACAATTTCAGAAATAGAAAACTAGGAGAAATAGTGGATTTATTTTTCCACACATTTTATTATCTCCAGGAGACTATTTGTGGAAAATTATATTTAAGTACGAAAATTTTATTATATCCAACAAATATTTAATTTCACCAAAATATACCAAGACCTACCATTAATCAGATATTCAGGGTGTAAAGATCATTAAGATACCTCTCTGTCAGTAAATTTTCTTCCAATATAATAAATTGATCTGCATGAAATTGCCATTTTAGTAAGTCAAAAATAGTCAAGTATCGGCGATTTGTACAATATTAATACTCGGGACAATTTGATATGGTTCAAAGTAGTATTATGGAAATAGATACAGAACTTAAAATATCAAAAGTAGAATGTCTAAGGCTTTGAATAGAATAAGAAGTGCACTAAGAACAAAGGTGTGTAAAAACAATACTAATTTGGGGTGAAATTTCTAAAAAGTCACAAATAGGAATTGGGCTAGATCATAAAGCACCTTTACAATTTCAACAGATAAATACATTGGAAAAGCCACACTGAAAAGGTACATTAAAAATGAAAATGTTTTTCGTGGAAAGTAACAAGTCTCACTAAGGCTATTTTGGATGAAACAAGTGAAAATATATTCAAATTAGCACTAAAGGAGGCTATATCTTATACAATATATCCTCAAAAAATCAAAGATAAGAAACAAACTATACCTAGGTCTGATGGGAATTTGAACTGGAAGTTGGAGTGAAGTCTTATGTCATCATATCTTGGATATTAGGTATTAATTGTTCCAGGATAACCAGACTGCTTGCATTCAGATCCCAGTTTACCCACTCTACAGATACATGACTTCGGGTAAATCATTCACCTTCCTTTTAAATGCAGGAAAATTGTTCAATTCCCACCTATGAGTGAGAATATGCGGTGTTTGGTTTTTTGTTCTTGCGATAGTTTACTGAGAATGATGGTTTCCAATTTCATCCATGTCCCTACAAAGGACATGAACTCATCATTTTTTATGGCTGCATAGTATTCCATGGTGTATATGTGCCACATTTTCTTAATCCAGTCTATCATTGTTGGACATTTGGGTTGGACAATGAGATCACATGGACACAGGAAGGGGAATATCACACTCTGGGGACTGTGGTGGGGAGGGGGGAGGGGGGAGAGATAGCATTGGGAGATATACCTAATGCTAGATGACGAGTTAGTGGGTGCAGCGCACCAGCATGGCACATGTATACATATGTAACTAACCTGCACAATGTGCACATGTACCCTAAAACTTAAAGTATAATTAAAAAAAAAAGTCATTCCTACAAAATAAAAAGCAAATTAAACAAAATAAATAAATAAATAAATAAATGCAGGAAAATTTTTGTTGTGAGGATTAAATGATGTTAACATATGCCAAGTGCCTAGATAGGGTGAGGCATACAGTAAGTGCTACAGAAGGATTTACTAATCTTATACTTACTGGGCTGCTCCATTTTACCTTTTTTTCTCCATTGACTGGATTTCACCAACTCATCTTGCTTGTTCCTCAGCATGGAAGCCTCCTGTACCCTCTCTATAGCATGTAACTGCCTTCTATCTGGCAAGATACTGCACTGGATTTAAGTTAAATATATGTTTCAGGTCCTGTTGATCACAGATAGGAAATGAATGAAAAGCTAGGATATGAAAAGCTTTAAGAATCTCTGTGGGTCAGACAATGAAATATAGCTTAAAAGAAATATGTATGGTTTAATATTTTAAAAGTACTGAAGATAATGACTTAATGATTAGTCCAGGATAATTTTTTAAGTTTGTAAAAATGTGCAGGCAAATTAGAGGCCAATCCTCAGGTCTGTGACTATCCTAATGAGAAATGTACACTCCATTCCATGAGTAATAGGGAAACATCAAAGACTTTAAGCAAGACAGTGTTTAAAGATAATAACTTTGAAAGCAATGCGGAGATAGAAATAGATGGTTCAGAGATAGTAGGATATGAGAGGAAAGAAGACAGGATGAGAACCTAGTGCAGGGTTTACCCTACATGGTCCACACAGAAAAATCAGTAGTCATGAGAAAAAGCTGAATTCTATATCATTTTACTGATGTGTGAACCAAGAATTACCTATAGCTGTGTAGCAAAGATAGTTCTCTTTTCTAAAAGTATATGAAAATACATTAATGTGTCCACATCACCAGGATGGCTATAAAGATCAAATTGGATCACATATATGGTCATATATATGCATATATTTGTATAGATATATGTGTGTAATAATATTTACATGTGTATATATGTGTGCATGTGTATATATATGTGTGTATCTATGTGTTTATATATATATATATATATATATAATTTTGAAGACTGTTAGACTGAAAGGCATTTACTAATGCTTATTTACTATCTGAAACCTACTGTCCAATAAAATCAATTCCCAAGGAGAATGTTTGTTCTGTAATGTACTCAGCAGTAGAAGCTCAAGCATCACTCGTATTTCTACACCAAAAACCTAGTTCCAGAAGATTTGTAGCACAAATTCTAGCTGAAAACAAATCTTTCCTCTTCTCAACAAAACTTTTACTTTCTCTCTTCCATAGCTGTAGTAGCACATTTAGATTTTCAAAAAACAGGTGGTTGAAGCTAGCAGTGTAAAAAGTATTTTACATTCTATCTGATTCAGCTGCAGTGATTGCAAATAAATTAGCTTATAAATCTTCAGAGTTCAGCCCTTGATAAACCCCAAATATGCCCTGTTACATCTAGAATTTCTTCTGCTTCTGGGAATCCTTAAACTTTTCAAATATGACTGGTTTTAAAATCACTTGAACCTTAAATAAATAAACATTCAAGGCCCAAAACTATTCTACTCTATTTGTTCAGTTCCTGAGTTTTGCTATCATCACTTCATTCTTTCCATTCTTCTCCTGCATTTTCTTAAAGACTTTCCCTTCAGGATAAATATCTTCTGTTTCATCATTTCTTTTTCTCCTATGTCAACAGCCCTAAAATATATTGCTTTAGCAAAATACAAGAATATTAAATACATTTTCTAGTGTTATTCTTTCTAAAAATTAAGTCAGTTTTAGCATGTATTTGCTTGAATATTTTATAAAATATGTAATGACTGGAGGCTACTGTTCAGGCAACCAGATAAATCACACTAAGAGTATATGGGAATATATATTTCATTGACAGTTCTTGAAAGTCTTAAGACTTTGTTGAAGTCTAATTCGATAATTATTTGTGGAACAATACCTATATAAGGTACACAGTGCTCAGAAGTAAAATCCCCATAAATAATGTCTTTATTATTATTGCTACTGGAACTAAATCTCACCATTTTGCTGGAGAGTGAATAAGAAAAAAAGTTATTTTGATGTTTAGCATACAAAAGCATACTAAACTAAAACAAGCACAAATTTGTGGGTCATGGCCACCTTATAATATCTCAAACTTACCCAAAATGCAGGTCATCTTAAAAGGATTAATAGTCATTTTTGGCCTTGCAGCTAACATATTATTTTGAGTTCAAATCAAATTTAAACATTTTATTGCAATGATTTTGTGCACCTGAAGGTCTGCAGAATGCTGAAAAGCTATTTTTAACAAATCAATATTATTGTTCTCCCAAATTTGGAATCTCTGAGAAGAGTTGATAAGCCATGGTTTCTGATTATGCATTCTTGCCTAGTGTTTTGAGGCTTTAATGCATTCTTGCCTAGTGTTATGAAACTTCAAATCAGCAAAACAAAGTTTGCCATAATGTCTCCCTCCTCCTGTGTTGAAAATGTTTGTGCTGCTTGCATGTTTAGTTCTTGCAGGAAACAGTTAATACAGTCTTTTTCTCGGTTTACAGGGAATATAATTTTCTGATATTATAGATGGCTAATATATATTATGTGTCAATGTTCTAAATGCTTTTACATATATGAATGCATTTAATACTCACAAAAATCCTATATAAACAGTAGTATTAGTAGCACCACATTATGTATAGGAAACAGAAGCTAAGTGGTGTTAAATAACTTGCTGAAGGTAACACACCTAGAGCTCAGACTACAGGCTTCAGTGTCCACATCCTTACCATTCACTCTGTACAACACTTCAATTAGCACAAAGGATAATTTAGTTAAGATACAAAATATACTCAAGTAATATTACTAAAGATATTGATAACATTTTCTATAACCAAATGCAAAAGCACAAAATAAGAAGGGCACCTTATGAGATATGCCAAAAACATGGACTTTTTGACTATGATTCAATAGCATAATAATGTTGCTTATAGTTCTGTATTTGTAGGATACAAAAATAAATTATTATATGCTTTAATCATTTTTGTTAAATCTTGACTAAATATATGTTTGAACCAGAGGCCACAAGTCTTAATTCTTAATGAAAAACCTATTAATTACCACAATATTTACATTACATTTATTTTTTGTATCTTGCCAATGCAAGGTTAAGTTTCTTTCTAAATCTATCTAAAAAGGGCAAAATTCTATGTTGTCATCTAAGGACTATTAACATGTATTCTTGAGACCATTATTTCACTTAGTAAGCAACTACATTTGTTAAAATGCTTGTTCTAGAAAAAATATATTTGTTCTCTTCAATTTGTAAATCTCCTTTGTCATAGAGAGTTGATTTTGTTCACTAAGCTTGTGAATATTAGCCTATTCACTCTCACCTTACTGATCTTTTCATGATTAATCAATTATAGGAAATCATGCTGATTCCCACAAAATAGGAGAAATTCCTTAAGGTCCTTCTCCTTGAAAGAAAAAAAAGGATTCATTTGATAAGTTTAATAAATGAGTGGCTCTAACAGATGAACCTTAGAACCCAATGCAGAATCTTGATTGATTTTTCCACCTCAGGACGACACTAACAACATAGAGGTGACTTGAAATAAGGGACCCAATGAGGATAGACACAAACCATATTCTTTGCTAAAGAGTTAAAATAAGTGGAATTATTTAATCTAGGGGGAAAAGAACCTCAGGACAAAGAATAATAACATTTGTGTAACATTTACAGCTCTTAATGAAATCTATTTTCCATTATTGTTGAACATGCTATGCTTCCTTTGGTGAAGTCTAAAATTAGCATAGCCATTTTTTTCTATGTGTCCATGTATGTACACACGTATGTATATGTATATTCATTTATTTAACTTGAAAACCCCTATGTGGTAACTATTTTTATTACTAATATTATCTATGACAATGACAATGATGATCCTTTTATGAAAATGTAAACTAAGGTATATAACTCATGTATGGAGAAATTTGGATTTGAACTACACAGTCTAGTACAGAGTCCACATTTTACATGGCACTGTCTCACATAACAGAACTGTTTAAACAGTTGAAGGTCTGTTATGTCAAAAGGGTAGTAGATTTTATAAATAGGACAACTTATGCCAGCTCATCTTAGTTTCAGAACTAGATGGAACCCAAAGGAAGAGAAACAGTGACCTGTTGGGGCCAGCCTGTCTGACCAAGAAAGCAGGATCAATACTTTGGGGCAAGGTTTCTCAACATTGGCACTACTGACATTTGGGACTAAAAAATTCTTTGCTGTGGAGGTCTCTATGTACTTCAGGATATTTAGCAGCATCTCTTTCCTCTAGCCCCTAGATTCCAGTAGCAACCCCTCAATCATGATAACTAAAAATGCCTCCAGACATTGCCAAATGTGCCCTAGAGGTCAAAATCACCTTCACTGAGAATCATTGCTTTAAAGACAAGGACAGAAAAGGTTCCCTTTCAATGCAAGAGAAAGTTTACCAGAATAGAAGGTTTAGTTAGAAAGAATGAATAAGATCTAGTATTTGCTAGGACAACAGGGTGACTATAGTCAAAAGTAATTTAATTGTATATTTTAAAATAGCTTGAAGAGTATAATTGGATTGTATGTAACACAAAGGAAAAACACTTGAGGTGTCGTGTACCACATTTACCCTGATGTGATTATTACACATTGCATGCCTATATCAAAATACCTCACGTAACCCATAAATAGATACACCTACTACATATCCACAAAAACTAAAAAAAAACACTACAGAAGACAAAAACATACAACAAAGGAAGAAGCTGTATACATCCAAAACCTTGATAAAAAGTAAAAATTACCTAAAGTAACTGATACACATCCAGAAGAAAAAAATAAAAAGGTGTATTTTGAAAGGAAAGGTACTATCTCTCCAATTTCAAGGTCTCATTTCCCATTTCCACTCATCCCCATCTAAGAAGAATGACAAGGGCACAAACTTGGTTTTTGCAGACTCTTAATAACCTGTTTTTATTATACCAGTAACATTAACTCATGTAGAACAGATAAGCCAAAATAACAAACAATTGTTAAAGTCTTTGTATACATATTACCAGAGCAAGACTTCTCTAAAATGTCAAAAAACAACAGATGCTGGCAAAGATGGAGAGAAAAGGGAACGCCTATACCCTGGCAAAAACAATTTTTAAGAATAAGAATAGAGCCTGTCACAAAAAAATAAAGGTTCCAAGTGTTCTATGAACATTATACAGCAAACAGGGTTTATTCTATCATCTCCCTCATTCTCCACCAGAAACAGCAAGTGTATAAAATTGCCATTGCTCCCTGCTGTGGCCATAGCAGGTGTCATCAGTTGATGGCAATATTTTCCTGCCAAGCTTAGATGCAGCTTCAGATTCCCCTCAACGTCGCACTCTAGGCAAAACTTATCACTAATCAGAGTTGACATGTGAGACAAAGTCAATTTTTCATATCTGTTACAAATGCTGTGATTCTCTTGATGCATTCTGAGACTAACAGCCATTTTTTGGCAATCACATAAAACTGTTATCTCATGGTGAGTTTATTTTTCTACCAGATATCTAAGCATCGTTTTATCCATGTTGATCCAAAAGCCATACTAGTAAGTTCAGGACACTATAAAATGTTATTTTACTAGAGAAGCTCTTGTTTTTAACTTGCGGTTAAACCCATGGAGATATTTGAACCTGGCTCCAAAACAATAGAATTAAATTACATTGCCATGAATTTGATAAGAATTCTTATCTCTTCATTACATCAATTAATAAGAATGTTCAATTCAACAGATTCCCATTGCTTGAGAAACCTCACACTTTTATACCAGTCCACTTTTGGATACCATTGACTCCATATTTAATCAACAAACATCTGCCAAACAGAAACTCTTAATAGTTTTCTCAAATGATTACAAACTATCCAAGTATAGCTTCCAGTCTATTATTTGATACCATAAATCCTTGTCAAAAGCTCTGGTGAAGTCCAGAAACCTTATCCACTATGTTTCCTAATCTACTCTCAAAGACAGAAGCAAGGTTATTATAACATTACTTGTTTTTAATGATTATTTTTAATAAATCCAATTCTTTACTACTCCCTCTTGTCAAGGTTATCAAAACTCTAAGTTTATACAAAGGTGTTTATAATCTGAAGTGGTGTTTCAAATATAAAAACATGTCAATTTCAAATGAAATCTACCAGAGATCTAAAATCTAAGTAAGATCTTTCCAAAACACCGTTCTAAATCATGTATAAGACAAAAGGCCTCCGTACTTTGTCTGAAGTTTGGGGGCACTGACATTATTGACATTTTCTCTGGTTTCTAGCTTTATGCTTCAGTGGAAGGCACTCAGTGAACTATCCTGCCATCTGCTAGGGGCTAACAAACTGGAAACTGATGGTTAGATGACTCTCCAGCTGAAATGACTAGTGGCCTCTAACATTAGGAAAGTTTCTTGGACCAACCCACCCCACATTGTGCTTCTACTTCTACAAAATATTTTAAAATTCTCTCTCCCCTTCCTTTCCACCCCCTTCCTTTTCTTCTCTCCCTTCCTTCCTAGAAGCAAAAATCAAATTCTTTGTTTTATCTCTCAAATAAATAAATATATATATATATATTTGTTTTGGCTTCTGCCCTCAAGATATCTATTATCTTTTATAAAGACACTCTTCTAAAATAGAAGGTGAAAAAGAGGGAAATTCATATAATTACCAAGAAGACAGGACACTATGAATTACTAAAGTAAACTGAATGTCAGAAAAAAGCAATGCAAATCTATTGAAATATGACAACTGACATCCTGCTTTAGTGTGAGGAAGATAACAGGAACTGATCTGGACCATGGCAAACTGAAAAGGGCATGCCGGCCTAAAAGGGACAGCTGTTATTTAGCTACAAAAAAAAAAGTGTTTGACATGTGAGCACACTGATCTGGTCTTATGAGAGAATCTGGGAATCCAAAATGTATGTAAAATCTCCTAAGTTTAAAATATTGGTTTATTTTAATATATGATTCATGTCAAAGTAAATATGTCTGTGGGCTACATAAGGCCTGGGAAAACCAGTGGGCAACCACTGTTCTAAACAAAAAAATGTGTCTTTTTAAGTTAATTCTTGTGCCAGCTGTTAAGAAAATAAAATTTTCACAAGCACCCACATTATCTACATTTTAAATGCCACAGAAAGCAATTCAGAGAGATGTAGCTAGTAATTTGTAAAATTCAGAGCTGACAAAAGAAGGAGCCAATATGAAATGGCCATTGAATTTCCAAGTTTGCATCATGCAATTCAGCTTATTTTATATGTATCCAGCTTTAGGCTTTTCTTTAAAGAGGCACATCGACTATTAGCATTGTTATCACAAAGATGCATTGGCATTAAGGGGAAGCAATAAGGCAAACTGACCACTCTTCTTGACATAGTTATTTTTCTCAGCATTGAAAGTTATCACTGTGCAACATGCGATTATTATCCCTAACAGGATTGTTGGTTAAAAAGTGAACAGCTTTCAACTGCAATAATCTAACACACATTACCTCCTTCACTATTACACAGAGTACAACTTTTCAAATATGAGAAGAAAACTAAAAGATACTCTCTAGTACCTCTTAAAAGGTACTTTTTAAAAATTCTTTCCATTGTTCTGTGCTTTTCTACATTTATTTTGCTCGTTTAACACTCAGTGTGTCTTCTCCCCCATTTAGTCATCATACTCTTTATGGCATGAAAGGAGAATTGATCTTCCTAGAAGAAAGCACTGTGTGATTTTAATAAATGGGCACATTAACTATCTGGAATGAATATTCTCTAAAACTTTTGGTGTAATTTATAACAGGCTTTCATCACAGATAAAGCTGAAGTCAATCCTCAAAGACTCAAATACCTTTTGTTAAAAAAAAAAAGTCACACTAAAGATGAATTTGTACCACCAGAATTACTTTTTACCTGAAAGTGGAAATAGAACAGACTGTACAAACATCTCTCAGTCCATAGGAGCTACATTGAAATTCATATCCTATAATTCCTTTGCGACATACTATTTTTATCCTCTCTTTCTCCCTGAAATATCTTTTGTATTTTTAAGTACCCTGATTATTTTTGTAGCTAATAATAATTACAGTCATCACAATGACAAAAGTCTTAGGCAGTAAATGAAAGATAAAATTAACTACTGAGTTTCTGGAAAGGGAGTGTATTGTTCCTAGTTAAAGATTAAGGAAAGATTTGCTCTTAATAACAATGTTTAACACAGCTGTGCACATTTTTATGCCTACCTGCACAGTGCCAAGAGAAAAACGTAAGCCAAGGGGAAATCCAGCAATAAGGCTAAGTTTCACTAAAGCCACATTTATGTTTGTTAACATTTTGCCAGGTTTTCGCAGGGATTTCTATTATGTGATAATATCAAATATGTTACAGAAAAGCATTTTATTTTTCTCTTAGCTGAATAAAATGACAGACAATTTAAAGGAGTAAAAACTTGGTTTGGGTGGCTCTAGGTGTGTTCAGCTCTACATGTTTAGGAATCCCATTTTCTGAGCTCTACAGTCCCTCTTCCACTGTCAGTTAAGTGTCCTGGTTGAACCCTCAGGAACCCATCTATTGTTTGGGTCCAATAAAATACGGTACCTGAGAATAGAATGAATTCTGCTTATCGTTGTGCTACGGAAGGGAGTCCTGGTGGTTTTGGAGGTTAATGTGCCACAGCAAAGCCCATAGCTATTTAAGCAGAAGTTATTATTGCCATAGTGTAATGGTCTGTCAGCATTTGTCTGGTCCTAGCCTCCATCCGTCTGTTCAGAATCTGCATCCAACTCCATAATGGCCATCCTGAGCATGTCCCAGAGACAGAGGGAATTGGTCACTATTTCCATAACCCTCACCCCAAGTATACTAGTTGGGGAGATGCATTTAAAAATAGCTGTTCTTTATCCAAAGACTAAACCCTTGTTCGTGTGATTAAGACCCTTCTCTACTACCAAGCCTCCCAGACATAGACAGATTTCCTGGAGCTTTATCTATTACTTGTTGCCAAATGCTTCTCCTTCCATGTTCCACTAATCTGCCAAAAGAGCCACCTGTCTGCCTGGCCATCCCTGGACTTCCTTGTGACAATTGACCTGTCTGCACTTCCCTTCAAAAGGCCTTCGGTGGCTCTGATTCCCAGGCTGGATCATCTCACTACCAGTAACAGAGTCTAGATACTAACATTTAAGGAAAACCTGATATTAAATTCCTAAGACGTGGCTAAAAATGTATTAGAAGTCTTGACTCCCAGAGAGGCCTAATTTTGCTGTTAAGGTGACTCAGCAACAACTCAAAGAATCAAGTCAGCTCTTAGCACATAATTGATTTTAAATTTATACACCTTGTTTAGAATCTTGTTATAAAGCAGCAAGATTTTCCTTTAGGGAAGTATGACTAGCATTTTGAGAAATGATTATATCTATTTTGAATAAAACACTTTCCATTAGGGAGGGTGTTTTTGTTTTTTATGGTTTCTACAAATAACCTACAGAATAAAAAATGCATGGATGCATTCCATGAATACAATTAACAAATTGCAGAAGGTTTTGGAAACACATATACCAGACTTCCTGAAAATGTCAATATCAGGTCAGATAGGCAAAAAAAAAAAAGGTAAAAAGAAAAAGAAAAGAAAAAAATCCTGTCTTGTCCTATAGTGCCACCAGGTGGACAATATGAATAAGATAGTCCAACTACAGCAAATTCTCACCTGCTTTAAAACTCAAATGACCATACATCCCTGCATGCCTGAGACTAGCCAGGTTTCTACCTTCTGTCACAGCATACTCAATAACGAAGTTATTTTTTTACTAAAAGTTAGTTTAGTAAAAAAGTAACTAAAAGTTAGTTTAGTTAGTTTTTTAGTAAAAGTTTTTTTACTAAAAGTTTAGTTTTTTAACTAAAAGTTAATCTTTTACTGTCAAAAGATTCTGGGTTTAGATGAAAGTTCATAACTTGGATAGAGGCTTAGCTCAAAAGACACTACCTCCAGCCATTGTCTACTTGAGCTGTCGAATCCCCCTTGTTCACGATACCCCAGCCACGCTAGCCTTTATTTTCCTCAAAGATTTCAAGCCATTGTCACTGATGTTCCTTCTACTTGGAAGACTTTCTCTCTTTCTTCAGATTGAAATAAGGCTGTTTCTGCTCATCACTCAAGTCTCAGCTCAAATATAGTGACTTCCCTCTCTATATTCCAACTCTGCTGCTACTATCTGCCTTGAATCCAGCAAGACTAATCTCATTAGGCTGTTTATCCCTTTTCAAGACTATCTCTTCAAGAAGCCCCCAATTCCAAAGCACCCCTCATCTCTCACACTCTAATTCTCATAAGGCAGTTGGGGCTATCATGAGTCCAGGTGGGGCTGAAATAGTTCCGACTTATGCTTACTGTCCTGGCATTTACATCAGTAATATCCTTCTACATTTGCAAAAACACTCTGCTTGGAAGATAATTTATATACTCACTGGCCTATTCTGTATCCTTCAACCCTCACTCAATTTCTAAAAGCATCCATTGTACCCTCTGAGATACATGGCTCATCATCAACAAAAATCCTCTCAATTCATTCTCAAGCGCTTCTACCAGTGTTTTCTTTATTTTCCTGCCGAAATTAAAATCTAGTTATTACTTGAGAACTATGCTTTCCTACAACTCTCTCATGGAGCAATGGTTCCCTCCCCCTACAAACACAGCCTAGTAGGTATGAAAGTAAAAGAGACTAAGTCCTTATTCCTGCTTTTAGACATTTTTGCTTCCTCTTTCCTATTAATACCAGAGCTTCTAATTACATGTCATCCGATAACTCACTGTTGCTGTCATCTAATACCCTAGAAGCTAACAGCTTCTCAAATTTCTCAACAATTATAATCATAACTACCACCTTGATCTGAGCATGATGTAGCTCCTATAAATACTTTGATATTTTATTGTCAGAAGAGTTCAGTGGAACGTTACATGCTGTGTGGGAGAAATATCTTATATGCTATTGTCTTTTGCTTGGATTAGTGAAATAGCCTTCCACCTTGTCTCCATATTTCCACCTTTGTTCACCCTCAACATAGAAGCTGGAGTACATTTTGTAAAACATAATTTAACAAAACTACACAACAATTTCCATTTCACTTAGAGAAAAGTTAAAATCCTTAAAATGGTTTAGAAGGTTGTTAGCCTTGCTCTACCTCTCATTCACTTCACTCCAGTGACAATGGCCTCCTTGCTGTCACTTGAATAGGCCTCACATGATTCCAGATTACCCTCCCCCTCACTCTTCCCTCAGTCGGGACTGCACTTCCCAACTATCTGCATGGCCGACTCCCTCATGAATTATTAAAAAAAACAAAGGCTCAATTCCACCTTTTCAACATATTCTCCTTATCTCCTATTAAAAACTGCAGCCACCTCAAGCATCTTCTAATTAGCGTTGGCTTTTCCATGGTACTTTAAAAAATCATTTCTGTTATTTACTCATGCCAGAACAAAAACGCCACAAAGAAATTTTCATCTAACTTGCTACCAATGTATCTCAAGCACCTAGAACTGTCCCAGGACATAGTAGGTGTAAAATAACTGTTTTGAACAGATTAATATAATATTACTTAAGATAACTTATAGGTACCATCCCAATGGAGCCATACATATAAATATAATTTATGGATTTGTTAAATATATTCAGTTTTTGATTAGTCAATTCTGCTAATCAAAGATAAAAATTTAATGACATACACATCAAGTTCTGGGGTCTTCATCAGTGCTTTAATTGGATGGTCATGTGTTTTTGCATTTTATATTTGAATTCCTTTAAGTAACATATTTTTTGACTCAACATAGTTCCCCAAAATCCACCTTGTCTTATACCCAATTGATAGCACTGATTCTTTTTCTTTTGGTCTATTAGGCCCATATATATGTATTTGTGTTTGTGAACCCTGGTTTAAATTCCCAACACAGTGGCCAGAGGAATATTTCTTAAAGCATTATTGGATGTTCACCTTCAGCAGTCTTCAGCAAACTCTGTGAAAGGGCAAGTACAGGTCAGTCTTCATCCCATATACAAGCAATTCTATGAATATATATAGATGAGAAAGCATCACCAGATTATCCTACCTGAGGCTTCTGAGTCTGCAGACTCAAATGTAGAGTCTATTATCTTATTCACCTCCAAGGACTTTGCAGCCCCTAGAAGAGCATGTGATACCTAACAGACTTAGGTGGGGGCTGTATGAGGACTATGCTGTCCTATTCACTATGGTATGTCCAGCACCTACAACAGGCATGGCATATGGGAGGGGGGATACTTGCTGAATGAAGGAAAGAATATTTGCTAAATGAACAAATCTACCAGTGTGTGTCCTCTGAATGGAACTAAATGCCTTTTTAAATGCTGTCCCCAAATTGCCCTTCTATCAACTTTCCTCAGTTCCTGAAAATACTTTGACACTTTACTGCAAAAGGAGTTCGGTGACAATGGTACATATACCTGGGAGGAATATCTTATAAGCTATTGTTTCTTATTAACACCAAAGTAAGGATTCATTTACCCAATTAATTCACTGTCACAGCTAATGATTGATAGAAGTGCTCTAATAGAATACAACATGAAGCAGACATGCTTGATGAAGATGCCATGAAGAGGGAAACAGGAAGACGGAGTTATCTGAGAAAAGGTCTGCATTAGGGAGAAAATGGGTGAGTCAGGTGTGAGACTGGGAGCCAATGTGGAGTGATACCATGGGCAAAGTGAAGGTTGGGAGTTAAGGAAAGCATTTATCAGTTTTGTACAGATCTGCTTTTGTTTTTTGTTTATTCCAATATACATCTGTCTCAGTTCAATTGATAACTTTCTTTGTTTTTCTTTAGAGCCATGTCTTTTCAAGAACCAGGGAACCAGACAGATTATTCTTCTAGCTCTGGCATTTGATACCTACAGGTACTCAATAACTGTTGTAAATATAGTTAAATAAATCATTTAAATGTATGGTTCGATTGTTTTTGTAGGTGACAGATCATCGCTTTTCTTTACTAATACATTGAAATGTGTTGTGGTGAGGATTAATTGAGATGTTGTATGTAAAGCATTAAGCATGGTGCTGAGCACACAGCAGATACTCAAAAAGCAGTAGTTACTCATGGTAGTATAATTTTTTTTTCTTCTTACATTGACTTTTTCATTGGACTTCTGAATGAACCCCCACAATTCCATATATATTGCTGTGACTGCTCATGACCTAACATCTTAATTTTTCACTGGCCACAAAATGAAGTACAGTGCAGTTCACATAGTAAAACATGCAGTGTGGTTCACATAATAAAACTTTGGTAATGTTAACAAGAAAAAATAAAGGAGGTGAAAGATTATGTTTTCTTCTATAGAATTTTTGGCTTCACTTCACTTTGTTTTATTACTAGATTCAGAAGAAATTCAACTTTTACAATAGTGATGAACATAGAAGACTCAGGTAACTAAAGTAAAGGACAGCTTGGCCCTATGATTTTTACTATATGATTCTTCTAAGAACACACCAAAGATAAGTTGTTAGGGAAAGGCAAAAGGGGACTGTCTTTCAGGTAGTTTATAAAGAGATGCCTAAGTTCCTTAATGCTCCACACCTTGGCTACCACAACAAAATAAACTTCTGAAATGTGTTAAGTGAAAATAGTTAAATAATATCATTCTGTATTAATTCTGACTTTCATTCTAAAGCAAATTTGTACTTTTCATTAAATATGTGCATATGAAAAACTATTGATTCCATAAAAATACACAAAAATATATTCAAGATAATTAATAATATTATCATTGCCAAAAGAAATTTTTATCAAACTGAACATTACCTTCTATTTTACAGAGAAAATTCTCAAGTGTAGAGTTAGGGATGAGAATTGTGAATCATTTCACTTTGACTATGTCTATATGACAAATTACCAAGTTGGCTATTTAGCATATAAATTATTTCATTTATTTAGAAATAAAAAGTACAGAAAAGAAAATACATTATTTAAAAGACTTGTTATATTTAAATATATACTCCCTCCTTTGTTCTTGATAATTTCACTCCAAGATCACGGTAGCAGACTGAGGTAAAATAACAAGCATTTGGTTCTCTCCAGAAGCTAGTCTCACTAATTTTCATTAGGTTTTAGTAGACATCTGTCCCAACATTTTATTAAGATGATGAATCCAGAATTACTTAACAATCAGCATAAAAATCACTGTAATTTTAGTTTTCTGAAGAGTACAACAATTCTTGACTTTTGGAAGAGTAAAGCTTATTAAAGGGAGGTTGTGTCTGTGTATTATAATATTTAATTATGGTAAATCTAAAAGGATAGAAATAAACACAATTTATAAGCAGTTTAAAAGATTTTTTTTTTGTTTCAGTGGTTCATTTCAGGGTCCACCCCATATTCAGATAAATTTTAGCTTAGTTTTTGTGTCTCCGTTGTCCATGTTCTGAGTAAAGGCAGCCATGATCCTTGATCTAAGGAGTTGAGAGTAAGACCAAGGAGACGAAGAGATGAGAGAAAGTGAGCATGAGGTGAAAGGTAAAAGCGAATCCTAGTTAATCCTCTTCTCATGCTCCTCCTCCCCCTCCTTCACTCACAATCATTGGCAAGCACCCTGTCATTCCTTTAATTTATCTCTACATCTGACTTGGCAGGACTGCTTCTGCTTAAGAAAGCACTTGCTATTTACAATATATATTTTTTAAGTGTGTGAGGGAATATGGAATACGGTTTGAATGAAATGTATAAAGGGCACATTCTTTTACAGTTCTTTCATAGTTGTGAATGTTCCAAAATATACAAGGGGAAGGTGGAGTCTTCACAGATATTTTCTGGAGCATCTCATTACGTTTTGGAATTGGGGAAAGAGAAAAGATAAACAGGCAAAGGGACAAGTTTTTGAAAGAGTGATGTGATTCATGAGAAGGGCCCACACTAGAGAAATACCATTAAAATGGAGGGAAAGAAGCAAAGTAGAGAGACTTCTAAAGTGGAATAACAGAGAGAGAGAATACCTGGGGAGGAACGGGTTAGGAAAGGAGAATGAGTTCTTAAGTTTCAGACAGACCGATTGACAGTCTGACACTCAAGTATGGCTTTCTGGCAGTTAGAAACATCAGCCTGGAGCCTGGGAAAGAGATTGGGGCTGTAGTCATCAGTCATCAGGGCACGGGTGACAGCAGTGTGGGCACCATGGTAAGCACTTCCACCCAGGACTTCAGCTCAAGAGTCGCTTAACAGAAAACGGGCTCTCTGAACTCTCAGCTAACTAGAAAGGCAACATTTTTCTCTAATAAAACATCGTCAAAATACAAATACATTTACTTCAAAAGCCTCATTATATATGAAATTCCAACTATGTTTGAATCATATCTGCCTATAAAATGGTTCTGTGTTTTAGAATATTAGGTTAAGTGGTTATCAATTGTAAAAAGATTTAGCTATCATCCTTATTATTTAGTTATATCAGTCAGTATTAGGAATTCACATTTAAAATGAGTGATTTCCTCTTAGCAATCATTTTTATTGAAATTAGACCTATAGATTCTAATATTTTTAATGTGGTCAAATCTTTTTTCCCTTTGGTAATTTCTTTCATTGGTTTTTCACTTAAACAGGCTTTCACAAATTATAAATTAGAGATATCTTATGGTATCTTCTTAATTTTTTCTTGAGTTTTTTTTTTTTTTTTTTCTTTATACTTACCTCTTCAATCTGCCTGACATGGACTTTTGTGAAAGGATAGAGTAAAGGGTTAACACCCACTCCAATCTCTCCTTCCCATTCTCCCTTACCAAAATAATTTATCAGCATCATTTATGAAATACTTATTTCTTTTCCCAATTGTATAATACCACAAATCAACAGATTATTTTTTTGTAAATGCAACACACAAAAGGTTAAAAGCTTCCATCTGTACAGGACTCATATAAGTCAATAGGAAAATTATGAATAGCACAGGAAAATATAAAAAAGACAAGAACCACACAGGTCTCAGCAAATAAATATAGGGATAATATATATGTTAATAATATATTATTTATGTAATTATTATTAATTATATTATGTATGTTATATAATATGTAATATATTATAAATTAATATACATATAATTTATACATATATAATAGACACATAATTTTATATTAGACACATATTATATACAATTTTATAATAGACACATTATATAATATAGAGGTATAAATAAATATAGTTTTTCTTTCAATCCAAGAAATTCAAATTTAAGTAACAAGTACATTTTTAAAGACTACCATAATGGCAAATGTTTTTTAAAGTAGATGACTCCCTACTGTGAACACACACACAAAATTATAGATAGGGACATTCATTTATACATTAGCTCTGAAGGGCAATTTGGCCACATATATCACAAATTTTTTATTTTTAATCTAGCAAATAAAATCCTATGGATTCTCAGGACTAAGTCAGATCTGTACACAAATACATATATGCATGGAGATTTATAGTAGTATTATTTAAATATTAAAACGTTTAAAATGTAAATATTTAATAATAGGTAAATTTTTAAGTAAACATGTTTATATAACCTTTGTTGAATATTATGCAGACATTAAGAGTTCTAAGGAATATTTATTAATGGTGATATATGAATAATAAATTAACAGAAAAGCTGGATATATCTTTGTATATTCTAGGTAATTTTCATTTTAAGTATATACATATGCTTAAGACAAAAAAACACTAAAAGATTGTAAATGTATGCTTCAAAATGAGAGCAATGTTTGCTTCTGGGTGGTGGTATCATTGCTGTCTTCATTTAATATGTTAGACTTTTCTACATGTTATCAGTGTTCTACAACATCTATATTATTTCTACACTCAGAAAAAAATGGTAACTTTAAATGAGAATCATCTAAAAACGAAATGGCTAGTGTAACATAGTAATTAAAGGAATATACTGGAATTGCTGAATCAATATTCCTATAAAATTATCCCTCATCAATTTTTGTGTGGAAGAGAGGGCAATTAAGGCTGCTGGAGCTATACCAATTATGGAATAAAGACTGGAAGTGCTAACAGGTGTTTTGTTGTTTAATAAAACTAAACAAATACACAGATAATACCTAAAAACTCATATAAAAAAGATGTGAATTAAAATCCTAGATGCATTATAAATGCCAATGGAACATAGTGATTCAAATAAGAGTCAACCCATTTTAATCATTTTTCCTAGAAGAAAAGCTTTTAAAGCAAATATCCTGAATGAAATTATGTATACATTTTATTATACACATTGGAATGTATCATAATAACTCCAGAACAACCCAAGGAACTTCCCAGATAATATTTTTTTTTTGCCTGAGACATTTTACATGTTCTTCTATATAAAGTGTTTTCTACTTCCACTCCCTTAGACTCCCAAACCCTTCACTTGAATAACTTGAATTTACCCTTCTGTGTTTTTCTGAACTATCCTTCTCTTCTGTTAGCCTGTCTTTACTCTCCATGGTAAATATCCTTGCTTCAGGTTGTTACAATTGCCCTCAATACATCACAGCATTTATCCTAATGGATAAATTTTATATATTCAATAACTGTTGGATGAATTAATAAATGAATGTATTCATAACTACAGTTTAGAGGTTACTTAACATGATATTTATATGCTTTTTTTCTAACTCGTATAATGGCCCTGTGAAATTGTCAGTAAAATATTAGTAACTCAGTTTTATACGTAAGTAAATAATAAAGAGATTCCATTCTTACACAAAACCATATGGCTAGTATATTAGTCCATTTTCACGCTGCTATAAGGACATACCCAAGATTGGGTAATTTATAAAGAAAAGAGGTTTAATTGACTCACAGTTCTACAGGACTGGGGAGGCCTCAGGAAACTTACAATCATGGCAGAAGGGGAAGAAAACATGTCCTTCCTCACATGGTGGCAACAAGGAGAAGTGCAGAGCGAAGTAGGGGTGCAGGGAGGAAGCCCCTTATAAAACCATCAGATCTCTTGAGAACTCACTCACGATCATGAGAAAAGCATGGGAGTAACCACTCTCATGATTCAATGACCTCCCACCAGGTCCCTCTCATGATATGTAGGGATTATGGGTACTACAATTCAAGATGAGACTTGGATGGGGACACAGCCAAACCATATCAGGTAAGCAGTATGACAAAAATGCTTACCTACTAATTTGGCATTAATTTCAGCGTGGTTTAATAATTCAACCATGCTGCCAAACTCATCCATTCAACGAAAAGTACTTGCCTTTACAAAATGTATTTTCCTTTTACCTATGATAAACACTGCAACATACAAGAATTTTCGGGCACTGAATACAATTTAGAGTCCACTTCTCTGCATTGCCACTGCTGTGGATAATGAAGAGTTCAACATATTTTTCCTGATACCCTTTATTTAGAAAGGAGATTCCCCTTTAATTCCTGCTGAAAAGCCTGAATCTGTGGGCTACTGGGCCTATTTATCACTGTCACAGCACAGCCACTAAAGATAAGGATGTATCCCAAGGGCTAAAAATAGCTTGATCGGATTATTCAATCCAACGCAGAAGTTGGTTAGAAATGGCAGGCCCTACAGCTCAATGACGGTTTTAATCCTAAGTAAAAACTGATAGCTTATGTACCATACGATGTGCAGTGAGAGCCTGAATACGCTCTGACTCCTCCCCATAATCCTAAATCTGAAGAACTAACTATAGGAAAGGCTTAACAAGTTGTCAGTTGTGTCTGCTCAGGATTTTCTTTATTTTGTAGAAGAATGGACAATCTCTAGTTTTCATAAGAACTTATGAACTGTTTTCTTCAGCAATGGACTGTGAACATGGAATAAATTGCTTAGTACTTTTACCATTGATCCAATTTGTCTCAGTAATCAGATTCAAAACCCAATTAACAGTCCTACTGGGATGTGAAAAGGGAATCTGCTCTACAGAGGGAGAGGCTTAAAGAGTCCCTGAACAGGATATCTGACTGTGTGATATAAGAAAATAATAAAGCAAAAATTTTAATATATTGATTTTTTTTGCTTAATTTATCACATGGCATCATTTTTAGATATTTTTATTATAAGTATTTCACCCTGGGGTGAAAAAAGTAGGAGTTAACCTGAAACTATTTTTCACCATCAAATTGGCAAAAATTTGGAGTTCCATACCAAGTGTTATTGACATTATGGGAAAGGGGCACTACACATGGGATTGTTATTTAAGATGATCCCTTTGTGAAGATATTAAGAAACATCCATTATAATTGAGACTATGTATGCCCTATAACCTTCCATTTTCACATCTCTATATACATTCTTGAGAAACACTGTCACCTGAATCTAAGGAGCCATGTTCAAGGATACTTGTCCAGCCTTTATTTGTAATAGCAAAGAACTGGAAATAATCTGAAGACCATTGATAAAGGAATGGACAGCATATTATGGACTGCAGTATAGTAGTTAAAAAGAATGAGGTAGATCTTTATGTTCTAGCACAAACATATCTTTAAGACATATTGTTGAAATGGAGGAAGCAAACTGCAGAACATGTATGTTTTAATTTCAACAACAAAACAATACTTTGTTTTTTCTATAGTCATATATATTTACAGAATTCAAATATAAGAAAAAGACACTAGGAGAGTACACATGAGGAGTTATTTCTAGAGTTACTTCTGGAGGAGAATGAAGGGGACCAAGATTGCACTCACGATAAAGGGAACTTAGATTTATCTATCATGTTTTAATTTTAACAAGGGCAATGCAATTAATGTGTTACTTATTTAATACAAAAGAATTAGTCTCAATATAATTTGGTTTTGAATGTATCACTTTGAATAAATGCCTCAGAGAAATTTTTGAGCTGGTCATCAATAACTGATACAAAAGTAACCTGGTTTGTACTTTTTCTAAAATTAGTTTCCAGAAGCAATATAAAGCAGTTTATCTAAGCATCATAGGAATTCTGCTTCCCTGAGTAGATCCTGGAAGAAAATAAGAGAAGTCATTATTTTCTAGAGTGCTAATCCTAGGGAATTGGACCAGTCAGGATCAACTGGTTCTTCTGGGCAGAGAGAGAGTGGGATTGGGGGGAAGGAAGGGGCCAACAGAAACAAATCAGTGGGCTAAAGGGGCCACAGTCAATTCTAACTATATATACCCTGAAGGAAAATATCTGCAAAACCGTTTTCTGTCAAGATGCCAGAATAAAAACATCAGGTAAATAGGCAACTTCAAATTTCCTTTCTCTCTCTTTTCCTTAATCCTTCCCTACACGAGAAAAAAACAATGGACCTCTTTTCTTGTTTTGAAGTATTGCTAATGATGATGAATTTAAAGAACTCATGAGGGCAAGTCAGGAGAGCTGGGTCTTATCCTGACTTCTCTTGTTAACACAGAGAAGTATTCTACGACGAGAGTAATCATCAAAATTTAGATTTTCAAAATCTTTTGTGCACACTTTTATATCAAAGTCACGTCTATATTAAACGCTTTTCTGCAATGGATCTATTTGGGAGGCCAACAATTCAAGATTGAATTACTGCATAACATTTACTAAGAAGCTTAACATTGTCCAGTTACAAAACTAGTTTCACTTTGTTTCAGAGAAAGGGGTGGAAACGGAGCATTACTCCCTGACATGATGAGCTCACAGGGCCTTTGTAAGGATCAAAGCACAGAAGAGCTTTAAAAACTGTAAATCACTCTACAACTTATTATTAATGGTCAGTCAAATCCAGCAGTGTTTCAGAAATATACCAATCAGGAAAGGAGGGGGTAATAGAAAGGAAATATTCTCAATATCTTTCTTTCTCAAGGAACAGAAAGTAGGAAGATAGTCAATGTTTGTAAAATGCATTTTAAGTTCATAAAATAAAAATGCAAAGAATTCGAACACATTTATTCTGCTTAAACAATTTTTAATGTAATGACCATTTATTTACTTTGTAAATAAATGTAGTAGGTATAATATAATGAATATAGTAAAATACAGTAAGAAAAGCATGTTAATGAGTATGTAGAAATGGAGATGTAAAGTATGTGTAGAGACACCTGTTGAAGTAAAAATATACCTAGAGTTCCTGAAATTTATTTTCAGTTGCTTAAGAGGAAAAGCAAAGAAATAAATCAAGAAAAATGACACTGGTTAATTTTTTTAGAAAATTTCAGATAAAAATTTCAAACAGCTTTTTAGTTCAGAAGATGCACAGCTGCAATTCTGAAGCTTTTAAAAACTGACATGAGTTTGCCACTAAGAATAAAGCCCCTTTTTGAGTGTGACTCCAAAAAGTAAACTGTCCTGTGTAGACAAAGAAACAACAGAAGGGTGATGGCTTTTTGACTGCAAGCACTGACACACAATCTTTTTAGTTTGACCTGCCATGGATGCCAGTTTCAGTCTATTGATTCCCAAAGCACAAATTGTTACTATAATCTATTAGCTTTGATGACTAGAAAATAATGTCTTATCTCTTATTTTATGTAGGAGTGAAAAGAGAACATTTGCCTCAACCAAAAAATAATTATAAATCACTGATCATCCAAATATTAACAAAATTTATATGGTGTGTTTTATGTTCCAGGTACTTCTCAAAGAAGTTTATACTTAAGTGTCATAATGCTATGAAATATGTACTATTTTATATATATATATACATATATACACACACATATGATTGCAAAATGTACATGTATTATTGACACATATATAATTATATATTTGTTTTGTAGCTTAAAAATATCTTCCATTCATCAATTAAAAACTAGAGCAGATTTTTCGTACAAATGAAAACATACATAAAACACATAACAAAATATAATGCCACAATTCATAGTATACAAGATGACATGGTTCTTCATTTTAAATTTTCTCTTAATAATACTTGCTGTAAAAATTAGTTGTTACCTTACCTTTTCTATTAAAAATGATAAATAAATAATATATTACATTCAGTTATTACTAGGAGTGAGACTTGAAAATTATATTTGGAATTAGCAATTGGTAAACATTCCAATAAGCTTTTAAAAAACTACAAATGTTTCTTCACTTGCTTTTAACCACTAAATTCTTTGGCTTTCAAAGAAGCTTTTTCTCCACCTTGAATGAAAAGAGCTTGTAAAATCTCAGATTGTTAATGTACTGGTCCATTATTAGTGTTTACAAAGTATAAGGCTCTTTGCTGGGCATTGCAGACTTAATAAACAGAGGACATGGAGCTTGAAGAACAGTGAGGAGATTTTGCACAGTAATTGTACAGTGTGCTAAGAGCTACGATAATGGAAGTACAAAGTGCCATAAAACCACAGAGCAAGGAGCCTGACCTCCTGCTTAAAAGCTTTTGTGCATGAGTGTATGTGTCTATGCAAAAGCAATGTCTTCTCCTGAAGGATAAGTAATTAGGGGAGGAAAAAAGATGAGAAGGCAAGTGACCTTCGCAGAGAGCACAGTTTAGGCAAAATACTACTTGGTCCTGGGAAGGTAACTCATCTGTCCACACAGAGGTGCAGCCCTTCCACTTACTGGCAAATGCTGAAGCAGATGAGATAAACATATATGGTGGCTCAGAAATGAGAGAATCTGGAAAATCCAGAAGTCACTACAGTGGAAGACGTAAGAATCCCATGTATTCTCAATGGCCAAGATTCTAGGAACTCAGGTTTTGATAATTACTTTTCATTTTGTTTGAAATTCTGAATAAAATAGTCATGTTTCTTGCCTAAAGGACTTCTATTGAGACATCAAGTTATATCAGTACAAAGTATAGGGAACTCTACTACAGATGTTGTGAGTAAGAGTGAAAGAAAGATGTAGAGTAGATGTGTGTGTCATGATTCATACTGTCTCAACAGCAGATGCTAAAAAGAATAAAACATAGAATTAAATTTCTGCTATCTCATAACCTGAGCTGCTTAAAATATTTGATTCTTGGGCTTCAAACAACTATCACTTTTAAAATACATATTAAAACTGGATTATGAAATAGTCAAAGTATTTAAGTTGGGAAGATACATACAAATTAATAAGTAAAAATCTAGACAATGTAGTAAAAACCAAATCCTACTTGAATGTGGTGGCCAGTTCAAAATGTCTACTGTGCAATGACTGGATATTCACACTTTCTGGCCCTCATCATACATGTGAATTATGAGCAGCCTACTTTCCATTAGCATGCATGTTAATAAACGGAGTAGATTAGGATATAAAATGAGAAGACCGCTTGCATTTTCAAATATTTCAATTTCAGTTTTCAGGCTCATTTTTAGCCTAGCTTATATATCTAGTCTTTTACTCCCTCAAAATACAGAGGAAGTCTGAATTTTAAATTAACATATAAATTACTTTATGTTGATTTAGAAAATCTAAGCTGACCCTCAGGTCTTTTAACCATCAATAAAGATTAGTGAAATAAAGAGTAATATAAGTTATGGGGAAAGCATTACCAAATGTTCATTGATTCATTAAGAATTCACAGGGCATAGTTCTGGGGAATATAAGATTCACTACACAACATCCCTATCATGTAGTTAAAGATATAAAAATCACAATTATAAAATGCTAATATCAGTTTTATCAGTCAAGGTTCTCCAGAGAGACAGAATCAATAAGGTATATGTATACGTGTATTGTATTTCAAAGAACTGGCTTACGTGATTGTGGGAAACCAGAAAATCTGACACTTTTAGGGGAGGCTGGCAGGCTAGAAACTCAGGCAAGAAAGACCCTGCTTTCTCTGCAGCATTTTCTTGTTTGAGTTTACCTAGCTGCCACAAGGCTGCAGGCCCCACTCAGGGAAGCTGTAGCGGCACTGGCTGAGGAGCTTTAGCCTGATGAGCAGTGTGCAGATTTTGCAAATGAACTTGTAATAAAATAATCAACCTCAAAACAGGGCATTTTTGATGATGACCCATCATGTGGTTTGAAAATATAAAGATGACAAAGGAAGGGCTGTGACCATGTTACTGTGGACTGGTTTGGGGTCACAGGACCAGATGGAGAAGTACCAGGAAACCAAGAAAGACAGAGGGAATGGCATCCACCCAAAGAAAAGTTCTCACTCGTGAGACAGTCTGGGCAAAGGCTGAGCTTGTAGAAAACACAGACTTTCAGTCCGTGTTCGCCCCAAATGATTTCTTAAACATGCCTCACATATTAAAAGTTTCCATAACAATTTAGTTTTAAACAATCATCTGAGGGGCATGAACCAGGAGAAGCCATTTAAAAATCATGAATATAGAGAATTTCCCAGAATGTTCTTTTTATTCAACTTAGAAGGACTCAGTCAGAAGATAAATCCTGTAAGTGATGAACAAGGTTTAATCTTTCATCGCAAGGGTACAATCCTAAATTTTCTGTGGAAATTTGTAAGGAAAGAAAACATTTGATAGCTTTTAAACCACAGAATGTGTCTTAATGAATATCAGAAATTTCCTGTTGAACAGACTCAATAGACAGATAGTGCAATCTCCCAGAGCACACATTCTCCTGAAAACACAAGAACTCCTCTTCATGGGAAATTCTGTGGATGGGATCAATCCTTTGTTGCACTTTCCATCTCTTGCTATTTTATTCTCACCGTATTTTTGCAGGTCCTGCCAGTTCATGCTTTTTCTCCTTTGTCTCTCCACCTTTCCCTGAGCTCTCTTGTCTCTCTCTAGCCTTTGTGTATTGACTTCATATGTTTATATATTCAACATCACTTTTACTTTCCACTTAGGACCCACATTTTTTTTCTGGTGTTTTGTTTTTTGGTGAAGGAGTGTCTTCATATCCACTCAGGTTTTTTTTTAAAGTTTATCAACATTTTATTTTGTGTAATATTAAGGAAGGACATCACAAAAGTACTATAACTATTATTTTGTAAAAGAAAGAAAACTAACTTCAAGATGGAGGCAAGGAATAATCGAAGATAAAGGACAGTTCCTTCCCAAAATAGGACAGTTAGCAAACTTATGTCAACATCCCACCCCCTACACACAGACACACACACACACACACACACACACACACACACACACACACCACAGGAGTGACTTTGTCTTAATATTTCACATTTTGCTACAGAATAACAAAACCTTTACCTTGGACTGGTCAACAGATGAGATGATCTCTCATGCTTTTAGGGTCTATGATTTTATAATTTTAATAATGTTTTATTTTATTCTATTCTTTCTACTTTTTTTATTCTATGCAGTAATCTACTTCACTTTTAATTATTTATTTCCTAAACATGGATTATCATATAAATTTTCAAATTCCAAGCAGCCTCCCTCTTCCCGTGCTACTTTTTAAAATTGAAATTCTTATAGAGATAGTTGTAGATTTATGTGCAATCGTAATGAAGTTCACATGCAATTGTAAGAAAGCCCATGCTCACTTTACCCAATATAGCATAATGACAACATTTTGCAAAATACAACCAGTATATTAAATGAATACAATCCACATATCTTATTGTGATTCCCTCAGTTTTACTTGTGTTTATATGTGTGTGTGTGTGTATGCATGTCTGTTTAGTTCCATACAACTTTATCATATGTGTAGGTTCATGTATCCACTACCACAGTCAACATTCTGACCAGTTCCATCACTGCAAGGATCCCTTGGGTTGCCTCTTTATAGCCACAGCCACTCCACCTTTCCCTGCTCAGTCTCTGTTCCTAATGCAGGCAATTTTTTCATTTAAAAACTTATATAAATGGGATAATACAATATTTACCCTTTAGGACTGGCTTTTTAAAAACAGAATATATCCTGGAGAGTCATCCAAGATGCCATGCCTGTCAATACTTTGGTCCTTTTTGTTATTTAATAGTATTCCATGGTATGTATATGACATGGATTGTTTGGCCACTCATCCATTAAAGAATATCTGGTTTGATTCCAGATTCTGGCTATTAAAAACAAAGCCACTTTGAATAGTTCTGCCAAAAATAACAGAAGTACAAAGAAAATCTTTAACGGAGCATTGTCATCATACGAAAGGTAGAAGACCATTACTCATATCTACTGGGTTTATCCAGCTTAATGTGCTATTTTCATACTAGGCACTATTTAAATGATTTTAAATCATTTAACTTTCATAAAAATCATATGAAGGAAGTACTGTTATAACCCCATTTAATGAGTTAAAAAAGTGAGGCAAAGAATGGTTAAGTAACTTTCTCGAGGTCACATAACTTGTAAATGGTCAAGCTGAAAATGAACCCAGGCAGTCTTACTCCAGAGGTCATTATAATAAACACAACTCAATACGAAATCAGAAGGAGCAGAAGAATTGAGAAATAATTTAATTTTCACTATTCACAACTATTTTTCAGCTTCCATTAGTTTGATTTTGGGCACATCACTTGAGTTAACTAGATCTAAACATATTTAAGGATAAAATGGGGTAGGTATTTTTCATTATGTATGTGCTGTCTTTCAGAGCTCATATTTCAGCTTTTACCAAGGTTATAGGAACGCCTAAAGCTGAGACCTTTGACTGCTGGAATTGGTAAGCCCCAACGATTTCAGGGCACTGGGATTTATTTTGAATACAAATCAGCAGAGCACCAAACATTCTATATTTCATATTTACTTTAAAACAGATTATTTTACAATGCTCTTATCTATGACAGAAATGCATTTCTCCTGAGGAGTACTTTAGTTCTTACTTTAAGGAAAGAATTTTACAAATATTTATGCCAATGTGCCCTGAAATAGCATGTCCAAAATTTTATGAGCTATTACACTTATTGCAAAAACAGAATTAGAACAAAATCTTCTATTTTCCAATCTACCCAAAATTGAATTTAAAAACCAATAAATAATAACATATAAGGATGTCTTTCATACCTCCTCATATATACCTATTATCCTTCGTTTACACTAAAGATTCCGATTTTGTCTTTTTAAGTTATTTTATCTCAGATTGTGTGGTTTCTTTAGGGTGTTTTTTAATTCAAAGTTACTTCAATTATATTTTTAATCTGAAGTATAATACTATACAAATGATACGCAAATTGAAGTTTCTGTGTAACACAGTAGTAGACATGTTTATCTGTGTCAAAGCAAATGAATATTATAGCCCTGGAGTAAAATGTCATATTTTAAAATTTAATGGACAGTCAGATATTATTCTGAAGGAGCAACAGTAAATTGTATCAAAATTTGTAAAGGTACTTTACTTCATTAGTTTATTTTTAAATCATTTTTCAGATACAGTATAAGAAAGAAGTTACCCTCATATTACAGAAAATAAAGTTTGAAATACGTGTCTCATATTTATGTTAGATACCTCAAAGAGAAAGGCTTTTCAAACAGCTACCCTTTATTCTAGTCCCATGAAATTTGATAAATCATTGGTCAGGAGATGATAAAGTCTCATAAAATAACAGAAAGAAAAATTAATATTTTTTCAATAGTAAACAATTTGACAGGCACCATGTAGAATTAATGCTGATTTCTAGAGTCTTTTATAAAGTTGTTTCTAAAACATACACATATACAAATTATAGCAATTTTATGCTATACAGTTGTAGACACATAAAAAATTGTTTTTTTCCCAAAGGAGGCTCTTTTTTATTAAATGTTATGCCCAATTAAGTTCAGTTAATTGTTTTGGTGTAAAATGAGTTGCTGTGAAGTTGTTTTCCCTGAGGGAGTAAGCAGCTCTCTAGCTTTGGAGTATAGGACAAACATCTGAAAGCAATCAAATATTATTCCAGTTCCACAAGAAGTTTTTCCTTAATATAGGATCATTTTGCCTAGATACAGTTGGTTTTAATAAGGCTAATAAAGAGTTTCTTTAAATGATAATATAACCAATCCAAGCCACACCACATTCTAAGTGCCTAAATGCCCTACAAAGTGCAGTTGCCTACAAGGTAGGGAGTCACACGAGTTCATAGCACTTTGTGAGGCCTCCTAAATAGCAGTGAAACGAAGGCATAGTCTTTAGCAAATTGAATCTTGCAAATAATGTAAATGTATGCTAATTATAAATGTATTTATTTCTCACTGGTCACTTTTTGAGCAATAGATTTTATATCAATCATAGCAAATAGCAATGATCCAACATTGTTTTATATTTGTCTGAGAAATTAGGACTCCAAAATCTTTTTAATTTTATGCAGCATTTAAAGGGTTCTTAAGTCATCTTAACTATAGTAATCAGTCATAAATAATTGAATAATACGATCTTCAAGGACTGGAGGTTAAAGACTAAATTTCATTTTTATTCTAACAATGATGGAAGCCTGAATAAGAAAATTGCTCCTGACTAACCTCTAAAAAACATGTACAGACATCTTCCAAAAACAACAACAAGAACAACAACAAAAACCACTACTTCACTATGTAGAATCATCCAAATGATAGCATTTTTCCTTATAATCCCTAAATTACCATATGTAAATAAGAACTTACAGAAGCAATGCATAATTTTTATATGTAATCTTTTTAAGGAATTATAGATTAGTCAGCATTCTTCAAAAGATCCTGCTAATGTTCTAATGAAACCAGCAGATGCTGGAATCCTGCAAGAATATATTGGAAATTCTATTACGTAAATGGAATTTCAACTAATTTATATTTTCATAAAATGATTCATTTCAAATTAATGCACTAGAATAATCTACTGTTGTCAGAATTAAAATACAGCAAAATGGCATACAGATGCAATAGAATAATAATGCTCAAATTTAACGTGGATTTAAATAGCCATATTGTCATGTAAAAATATTTGTAAAGAATTTCTAGAGTGGTCTCTACCAGAAGCCTCAAAATTTCTTAATTCACTCCATTGTGTAGTGGCCAGATGGAAGTGAAAGAAATTATGGAAGTCAGAACATAAGATAACTTGAAGAAATCAGGAGGGGTATAAAAACTGATATAAGGCTTGAACACCTGAGTGAGGTGTTGAGACAGATGATGCAGTCTCAGTGGCAAACTCTTGAGGATCAGCCAGAAGTTAAGACATGGTGCCTGGAAGTTGTAATTTCAGGCAGTATTCAGGTAAGGATAAACATCAAAACATCTAATGAGTGCCATATTAGTATAAATTGGTAGCTAATTTAAAGAGAGAAAGACTTGTTATAAAAATACAAATGTTTCTCAGGGAAGCAAAAGGCAGAACTTCAGCAGGAAGGCCTAGGAAAGACATAGAAGCAATCACTGGAAAACTACAAGCTAACCACAAAATCATCTTTCTCTGTCTCGATCTCCTCTGTGCTGATCTGCTTCACTCTTCTCTCATTCTGAAAATGAGTTTTATCTGCTCTATAGTGTACCGGATAGAAAATGATCAGCACTAATAGCCCTCAACTCATTATTTCCCTTTCAAGAGCGTTGCCAGACTGATTGGAACCACCTGTATTCCATTTCAAAGTCCTCCTGGAAAAGATTCATTAGCTTAAGTCAGCAGTTCAATTAATTGGAGCTATAAGTGGAATAACAGAGATGTACAATCAATGAAAACTACCTGGAAGTAAAGTAAACAACCTGTGATTTCTGTATTTCTGTATAAAGGAGAACGTTACCAAAAGAATGTGTCCTGGGACAAAGATCCAGAATTGAGAAGAGAAATGACAAAAATAAGGAGGGTCAACAAAACCCACATCACTTGAATAATTATCTGCTAAGATCATTAATCCTAGAGTGACACCAGGGTATTCAGCAAAGATTCCTCGATCCATCAACTCTGAAAGAGGACTACTGGATTTGGGGTAGAATAGAGGATAAATAAATGGACAAGAAGAGTTGGAAGAGTTGACCTGTGGAGGATAAAACCTAGACCCAAGGTTTCTATGTATGTGGAATTAAGAGGCAGGTGCACAAAGTCCTAAAATTGAATAAAGGTCACTCAGAGAGACACCTGGAAATACAACAGTGTGATTAAACACCAAATATCAAGTTTGAGAAAATAATTTTATTTCTCATGAAATAGCAGGATTGGAAGCTATTCATATACACTTGTATGGCTCAGATAATAGAAATTCCTTGAGCCAGCCAGTGGTGGTTCCAGTGATTGCATCCCTGAGAAACAAGTAGGCAAGAACAGAGGAAATAAACTAAGAGTGACAATTGTTATTAGCTGTATGTTCTTTATTGCTAGTTCTGCAGTTGCTGTTCTTTCAGCCTAGAATGTGCCCCTCCACAATGCTCTTTATCTGTATGGCATTTACTCACCATTTAGGTCTCCTTTGAACAATCATCTCTTCATTCAGGCTTTCCAGACTCTTCTAGCATCTCTCTGCATCTTGGATAACACTGCATTATTCAAATACAGTGTTGCTTTGTAATTATGATTTGTATGTTTCCCCAACAAGGCTGGAGATTTTTTGTATTTACATCTCTTTATGTCTTTTATCTAATATAGTGCCTGAAAAAGTTTTGAGTATACCAAGGTTGAACTGAAAAACAACATAAATCTCACCTTCCTGCTTAATGTCACTAGCCTAAGGCCTAATTTCTATCATTTTACCAGGTTCCATTTAAAAATAAATAATAATAAATTATATGAGAGATGATTAAACCTCAGAGTCTTTTTCATTTTGCAAACAGGTGTTTATGAAGCAGTTACTGGGTGTTAATCATTATTCCACATGAATTAGAAAAGAAATAGGAGTGTTGAGGTGAGTGGAAACAAGTATAGAAAATAATTATGCCATGTGGTCTGCAACTCGGGAGACTAACATTTCCAGAGTAGAGACTTGAAAAATATTTATTCTAAGGCAAATAAAAGGTAAGTGTGGGGCTTCATTTAGGTTTTGAATTATATTAACCCTACATGTTTATGGAACTAATACTTTAAAAAATGTTTTTAAATGAAGACACTCTCAATTCCTTACAAGGAGCAGCAGTAGATAAAATAAGGTAAAGTTACAAGTGTCAATATTGAAAAAGCTTAGAATTAGATGTATACCATAATTTAAGTTACTTTTTCTGATTATGAAAGCAACATATATTCATAATAGAAAACACATACAGTATAATATCTTCACAAGAAAATAAAAATCACCATCACCTGCCAAATTTTCCTTAACATTCTAGAATATATCTTTCTGCTCTTTATCCAAAAATTTTGTGTGCGTGTGATGTAAGTGCACATTAACAAAAGTAAAAGTTAGACTATCCTGTAAAATTACTCCTTCTTACATATAGCAACTCAATATCTCTTGGGGTTTTTCCATTATATTAAATATTATAAACACTATTGTAATGTTATAGTTGCACATCAGATGGTTGGACCAGAATTTATTTAACCAATCCCCAGTTGTAGAAACTTTAAGTCATTTTCTCTTTTGTTTGTTTTTTCTTTGCTCAAATGTTGGTGCATCTATGTGTATGTGGGTGTGTTGAGAATAAATCACTTGAGGTTGATTTATTACATTTAAAAAAAAACATTATAAATACTCAAACCAACTCACACACGCCCTAGTCATGAATGAAAAAAAATTCCACAAATCCTTGCCAACCTCATATAAAATAGAGGGAAAATATTTTGTTTTAATCTTTATTTATGAAACTTCTAGACATGATTCATAATGTTTTGCATGTTTGTCTGTCATTCTTTTTTAGAATTTAATTTCCTGTTTTTCTCTGTTGGAATGATTTTCATTTCATAACGAACTTATAAGAGACATTTTATGTATTTTGGTATAAGAATATCAAAGCATGACTGCCATAAGTTATAAACATCTTTCAAGACATGTACATCACTCAACAGCTGAAGAATACACATTTTTCTCAAGCAGCACACATGGAACATTCTTTAGTATTGATCACATGTTAGGTCATGAATATCTTAATAAATGTAAGAAGACCAAAATCATACCAAGTATTTCCTATGACCACGATGGAATGAAACTAGAAAATGGGAAAACTTACTAATCTGTGGAAACTAAACACACTCTTGAACAACTGGTGGGTCAAAGCGGAAATCAAAAGGGAATTTTAAAAATAATTAGCAAAAACAAAAACACCTCATACCAAAACTTATTAGATGCTGCACACCTGGTAATAACAGGAAGGATTATATATTAGTGCGTTCTAACGCTACTATGAAGAAATACCTGAGAATGGATAATTTATATAGAAAAGAGGTTTAATTGACTCACAGATCTGCATGGGAAGTTCTGCTGGAAAGGCCTCAGGAAACTTATAATCATGGTGGAACGCGTTTCTTCACAGGGTGGCAGGAGAGAGAATAAGTGCCAGAGAAGCGGGGAAAGCCCCTTATAAAACCATGAGATCTCATGAGAACTCACCCACTATCAGAACAGCATGGGGGAAGCCAACCCCATGATTCAATAATCTCCACCTGGTCCTGCCCTTGACACATGGGGATTATTACAATTCAAGGTGAGATTTGAGTGGGGACACAGAGCCACACCATATGTTTATAGCGATAAACATCTGCATTAAAAAGGAAGAAAGATCTCAAATAAACAATCTACCGGCATAGATTAAGGAACTAGAAAAAGAACACACTAATCTCAAAGCTAACGGAAGGAAGGAAATAATAAGAATCAGAGTAGAAATAAATACAGAACAGAAAACCATAGAAACAGGCAACAAAACTAAGAATGTTTATGGCATTTTTGACACAACAAATTCATTAAATGTAAGTAGTCATTTTGATTCCCTTTTGTTTTGTTTCTATATGTACAAGGTTGCAATCTAACCATCACACAAGCTTTTAATTAAGTCTGAGAACAGCTTTTGTACCTAGAATGGTAGAATTATGATTATCTCTATTATAACTAATTTAAGATTTAAAAATAGATATAGGGTGTACATTTGCAGGGTTGTTACATGGGTTTATCCCATAATGCTAGACTTTGGGCTTCTAGTGAACCCTTCACCCAAATAATGAACATAGTACCCAATAGGTAGTTTTTTTCAATGCATGCCTTCTTCTCTCTTGATCCCTTTTTGTAGTCCCCGGTGTCTATTGTTTCCATCTTTATGTTCACGTGTACCCATTGTTTAGATTCCTCGTATAAATGAGAACATCCAGTATTTGATTTTCTGATTCTGTGTTAATTCACTTAGGATAATGGCCTCCAGCTGCAACCGTGTTGCTGCAAAGGACATAGTTTCATTCTTTTTTATGCCTGTACAGTATTCTATGGTGTGTATGTGTCACATTTTATTTATCTAATCCACTGTTGATGGACACAGAATGACTCCATGCCTTTGCTATTGTGAACAGTGCTGTGATAAACATACAAGTGCAAATGTCTTTTTGATAAAACAATTTCTTGTCCTTTAGGTCTATACCCAGTAGTAGAACTGCTCAGTCGAATGGTAATTCTATTTTTAGTTTTTTGGGAAATCTCCATAGTGTTTTCCACAGGGCTTGAACTAATTTACATTCCCACCAACAGTGTACAAGCATTTCCTTTTCTCTGCAGTCTTGCCAACATCTATTATTTTTTACAAAGTCTTAAGTTTTAAATGAGCAGGCCGGGCGTGGTGGATCATGCCTGTAATCCCAGCACTTTGGGAGGCCCATGTGGGCGGATCATGAAGTCAGGAGATGGAGACCATCCTGGCTAACATGGTGAAACCCCGTCTCTACTAAAAATACAAAAAAATTATCTGGGTGTGGTGGCAGGCTCCTGTAGTCCCAGCTACTTGGGAGGCTGAGGCAGAAGAATGGTGTGAACCCAGGAGGCGGAGCTTGCAGTGAGCCGAGATGGAGCCACTGCACTCCAGCCTGGGCGACAGAGCGAGACTCCGTCTCAAAAACAAAACAAAACAACAACAACAAAAAAGAGCAGTTTTTTAAACCTTTACATTGAGCTGAAATTTTTATGCATAAACAAGTGCATGTATCTGACAAATATTTCATTAATTCACATATTTAATATACTAAACATCCCTAAATAATTTATGCATAAAGGTAGGCAATTATGTTTTCTTAAACATTTTAAACTCTATTTACATAATTAATACATCTTATCTTTTAAATATTTCAAATGTCTGACAGAACAGACTTAAAAACATACTAAGGAAAATCCCTCTAATTTCTTAAGCGGCTTTTGCAAATCCAAAACACTCACACAGATTGTCATTTTTTTCTAGAAATAGTTATCTGAGCCTGTTATTTTCCTTTAAAGACAGATTGTACTTTTAAAATCTTTTATATAACAAAATTTGAAATTATATGTAGTTAAATTAACATTTTTCTATCATGACTTTATCTACTGATTTTAAACTGAAAAAGTCATCCTTTATTCAGAAATATAAAATTATATACTGACTTTTTTTCTTATTTCTCCTGTTTTTGTCTTTAACTTTGGCTCCTGGGAGTCACAGAACTTAATTTATTGCCCACGTTAAGCAACAGCATAGTCCAAGAGGAGTATAAATCTACTTTGAATCTCTTCCTACTATGCTGCTATTCAAATTTAAACTTTATTTTATCCTCCTATTATATGTATTTTCTGTAAGGTGCTTCAAATATTTTATCAAATGAGATCTGTTTTAGTAAATAGCATTATTTTTCTGTCTTCGGGATTAATTCTTATATTGTTTTTATAAGATCTATAGTGTAAAAATAATTCGCTTAATGTAGTTCAAACAAAACATACTTCAATCACATCTAACAAAAGATGATGCCAAAATGTGTCTATAGAATGAACATAGCTTACAATCCATTTGACCCGTCCAGTTATAACATTATTTAATTCCTAAAATTTGTTGTTGTTTTTTTAAATTTTGGGCTGTTAGCACTATATAAATTTAAACATGAGATAGTTAACTAACAATTTTAATTTATTCTCTCTTAAATGTGCATTATTTATATTAATGCAATTGATTTATATAAATCTGCATGCACATAAATCATAACCACCCATCCATGATAACTCTCAAAAATGAAGTTAAAAATGAGAGGATTTTTTTTTTTGGAGCCAACACTGAGTAACAAAGATCAAATTCTGCCTCTCATCTGAAACTACTAGAAAACAAGGATGGGACAGGGAATGTATGAAACCACAATTTTTATAACATTATACATCATATGACTAAGGACAGTAATCCCTGAGAGGGTTTTTATGGTATGGCAAAGAACAGAGAAACCAGACAGAGCTTGGCAGCCTCCCTGAGTTAAGATAGTGCTGGAAGACTAGGAAGTCCAAGATAGCTGGAGAGCTGCATAGAAATAAAGCTCCAGAGAAGCATAAAGATTTTCCCTGGAGAACTTCAGCCAAGTAATCATCACCAAGTAATCATCACCTCATGCATGTGAAGCAATTACCTGAGGTCAGGGAAAGAACTATCCTAAGGAATTAGAGGGAATAATCAGAGCTCAAGCAAGGCTGGCAGTAGTTCCTATTCCCACCAAGAGAAGAAAATATCAGAATTTAAGCAATATCAAGTAGAATACTCAGAAAAATATTGTCTTAATAATATGACAAAATTACCCTTTAAGTAATGCTACACTGATCACACCGAAGTTTTAAAACAAGACTCAACAAGAATCAAATTATTTACAAGTAAATTAACTGCATCTCAAAACAAAGCTCAAAAATATTTATAGAACTCAAAAATATCAAGCACTCAATCATTTTTAAACATTCACAATTTTGTACATCAGTCAAAAATTACCAGGAATGCAAAGAAATAGGAAAATGAGACCAATGAAGAAGAGGAAATATAATCAATCAAAAGTGAAATCACATATGTACATGATCGAATTATTATTAGTAGATGAGGGCATTACAACAGTCATTTAAACTGTAGTGCTTATGTTCAAGAAGCTAGAGAAAAGATTGAACATGTTCAATAGGTAGATGGAAGATATAAAAAAAACAAAACAAATGTCCAGAGATTAACACTAAAATGGCTGAAATTTAAAAATACTCTGGTAGTGATTAATGGCAAAATATACATTGCAGAATAAACAATTTGGGAACTTGGAGGCATAGCAATATAAATCACATAAAAATTAAATTAAAACACGCTGAAAAATTAAAAGAGTTTTGAAACAATTTCAAGTGGCCCATGTATTCAAGTATACACTTCAAGTACATATATATTTGAAGCCTCTGAAGAAAATGACAGAGAAGGGGGGATGACAATAATATTATTTGAAGAAATTATTGCCAAGAAGTTTGAAGAAAACTATAAACCCACATTTTGAAGAAGGCTTCACAAATCCCAAGTACAAGAAATGTGATAAAACTTCACCAAGGCACATCATAATGAAATTATTTTAATTCAATAACAAAGTTTTAAAAGAAGACAGAGAAAAAAAAAACAGAGGAATAAAATTAGACTGACAATAGATTTCTTGTTGGAGTCCAAGTCAGCCAGAGAAAAGGACATAAATATTTTTAAAGTAATGAAAAAGAAGCCTGCCAACTTAGAATTCTATAACCAGCAACAACAACAACAAAAAAAAACTTTTAAAAACAAAGTTGTATTAAATGCTTTACCAGACATATGAAAGCTGAAGGAGTTCTTCACCAGCATCCTGCATTATAGGAAATTAAAGGGATTCTGAAGGAAAATGATACCAAATGAAATCCGCATCAACACAGAGGAATGAAAAACACTGGGAGTAGAAACTGCGTGGGTAAATATAAGACAAATAGCCCTATGTATTTTTTAAAAAATTAAATTTGCAATTGAAGTAAACCTTCCCACAAAAAGAACTTCAGGTCCACATGACTTCACCATTTTACCAAACATTTAAGAAAGAAGTAATACCAATTTTGCACAATCTCTTACAGAAAATAGAAGGAGGGAGAAGACTATGTAACTAATTCTCTGAAGCCAGCATCACCCTAATGCTAAAACCATAAGAAAACATTGCAGGAAAAGAAAACTATAGCCCAATAAATAGCTCTTATAAAAATTTGATGTAAAAATTCTTACCAAATTTTATCAAACTCTGAAAAGTATAAAAGGTATATCATGACCAAGGGGAGTTTATTCTAGAAATGAAAAACTGGCTTAATATTTGAAAATCAATCAATGTGATTCACCATATTAACAGAATACAATGAAAAACATATTTCAATAGATACAAGAAAGCATGTGATAAAATGCAATATGCAATATATATTCCTTCTAAAATACAAACAAACAAAAGGTCTTAGTACTATGAATAAAAAGGGAAATACTCATCTGATAAAAGGCATCTACTTAAAAATCTATAGCTATCATACTTAATGTTAAATGACTGAATGAATGCCTTTTCCTAGGGATCACATAACTAGGACGCCCATTCTCATTATAATGATTTAACGTTGTACTGAAGGTTCTAGACAGTGTTCATGAAAACAACTCTAAGGACATTTACACAAGGGCTATTAGAAATAATAAGGGAGTTTAGCCAAAATGCATGATTCAAAAATAAGTATCTAATAATCAACTGTATTTCTATAACTAGCTATGAACATTTGGACATTAAGAAATCAATACCATTTATAATATCAAAAACTATAAAATACTTAGTGGCAAATGTGACAAAAAGACATTCAAGGCCTGTACACTAAATACTACATAACATTAATTAAAAAAACAAAAGAGAATCTAAATAAATGGAGATAGATTTTCATGTATCAGAACACTCCATTTTGTTAAGATGTCAATTCTCCCCAAATTGATCTACAGATTCAATAAAATCTGTATCAAAATACCAATAGAAACTTTTCTAGAAATTGATAAGCAAATTCTAAAATTCATATAAAAATTCAAAACCTTCTCATAACCAAAACAAATTTGTAAAAGAATAAATGTTAAGGACTTCACTGTCTGATATCAAGTATTATCACAAAATTACAGTAATCTAATCAGTGTAATATTGGTGTAAATATAAACAAATAGTTCAATAGAAAAGACTATAGAATTGAGAAATACATTGAATTTTGTAAAAGACACAAAGGTAATTCTATACATAAAGGGGTTTTTTTTTCAACAAATGACATATATCCATATTAAGGAAAAAATTAAAAACAGAAAAATTTCAATCCATAGTTTACAGAATCTATAAAAATTAACTCAGATAAGTCATAGACCTAACAGCAAAAAAAAAAAAAAAAACTATAAAGCTTCCATAAGAAACCACAAATAAAAATCTTTTTGATATTGGATGAAGTGAAAAATTCCAAATAAAAAAAATTGATAAATTGGTCATCATCAGGATTAATAACTCCTGGTCTTTGACACTGTTAAGAGAGTAAGTAGAAAAGCCAAATATTAGGAGAAATTATTTGCAGATTATATATCTGACAAAGAATTTGTATTCAGAATATGTAATGGATCCTCAAATAATAAGAAAATTATCTTCAATAATAAGAAAACAAACAACATGCTTTTTTAGGTTGGGCAAAATATTTGAATTAGACTCTTAACTATAAAAGACATACAGATGGCAAATAAGCACATGGAAAACGCTCAGCATCATTAGTCATTAAGGAAATGCAAATTAAAATCCACTGAGATGCCACTCAAACCCTGCAGGTGTTTAATATTAAAAAGGTTGGCTATACCAAATGTTGGTGAGAATGTGAAGCAACTAGAAGACTCATATACTTCTAGTAGAAACAGGAAATGGGCAACAATATTGAAAAATAGTTTTGATAGGGCGCGGTGGCCCACACCAGTAATCTCAGTACTTTGGGAGGCCAAGGTGGGTGAATTACCTGGCCTGACAAAATGGTGAAATCCCGTTTCTACTAAAATTACAAAAAATTAGCTGGGCGTGGTGGCAGGCGTCTGTAATCCCAGCTACTCGGGAGGCTGAGACAGGAGAATCCCTTGAACCTGGGAAGTGGACGTTGCAGTGAGGCCAAGTAATGCCATTGCACCCCAGCCTGGGCAACAAGAGCAAAACTCTGTCCCCACCCCCAAAAAAAAGAAAGAAAGAAAAATAGTTCGTTTCTTAAACAACAGAAAATATCTTAAACATATATAAAATACACAAATATTTATATATATATATATATATATATACAGTCTCACACTTATATCTGCCATAACAACCAGACATTCCATGTCTGGATATTTTCCCAAGAAAATGAGATTATACATTCATACAAAGACTTACACACATAAACATTATTCACAGATGTACACGATCTTCATCAGTAGCTGACAACACGAATGTCTAGCAATAGATGAATAAACAAATTATAGTATATCTGTATGCTGGAATACTACCTTGCAATAAGAATAAATTAACTTTTGATACATGCAACAAAATGGATGTCTCAATAGTGCTGAATTTAAAAATCACACCAAAAAATGCATACTAAAATTGTATAAAGTTCTTAGTACAAACTAGAGTACAGTGACAGAAAAATCAATAGTTTCCTGAAGATAAGTGGTGGGCAGAATTAGCAGAAGGGAGAGATGATGAAGGGACAGGAGGAAATTTCTGGGATGGTGAATATATTCATTATCTTGATTGTGTCAATGGTTTCATGAGTGTATGCATATATCAAAACTTATCCAATTTGTATACTTTATATACAGTTCATTGTCTTTCTATTATACTTCAAGAAAGTTGTTAGAAAGGCAGAAAGAAATGCTGCTCATAAATATAGCATGTAACAGTATAATTCATTATGATAAGAAAACTGATATATTTTTAAATTAGGGAGTTACTTGAAATGTTAAATATTTTTCCCCAAATAAGACTAAAAGCCCACGAAGCAAGTGCTATGTCACAATCATCCTTTTTTTTTTTTTTTTTTTTTTTTTGACAGAGTCTCGCTCTGTCGCCCAGGCTGGAGTGCAGTGGCGCGATCTCGGCTCACTGCAAGCTCCGCCTCCCGGGTTCACGCCATTCTCCTGCCTCAGCCTCCCTAGTAGCTGGGACTACAGGCGCCCGCCACTGCGCCTGGCTAAATTTTTTTTGTATTTTTAGTAGAGACGGGGTTTCACCGTGGTCTCGATCTCCTGACCTCGTGATCTGCCCGCCTCGGCCTCCCAAAGTGCTGGGATTACAGGCGTGAGCCACTGCGCCCGGCCCGCAATCATCTTTTACAGGTAGTACCATGCCTGGCACAGAGTAGTTGCTTAATAAATATTGGTAAACTGAACATGTTTATCATTTCATTTACAGCAGAAAGGACACTGTGGAAGAAAGCATATTTGAAACTTCTTAGCTGATGATTGTTTAAACACCATCTTCCAGCTGTTTCATTTCTGGGTCTTTAGAAGAAATAAACAACATCTGCCCCTCTGTGCATTATTGGTTTAAAGAACTTTGTGTTTATGAAATATGATGTGCATTAAAAATGCAAATTGTTTCTCACTTTGCATTAAAAAAGATTAAAAATTAATAAGAATTCACTTACTAATGTCAAGTCCCTTATACATTTTAAGTCAAATCACATACATTCTTTAATTCTTTTTTTCCCCCCTACGGAGGAAATTAAAATGTGAAACCTTTCTTTCCCTCCAAATAAAGTAACTACAGGCAAGAGACCCAAGGAAAATGACAAGCCTTTAAGCGATATTGAACCCTTCCTAATGTAAACATCTGGCCTGTCCAAATTCAATGATTAAATCTCAAGTTACGCCGATTCAATTGAGATGCAGTTATTTTAAAGTATATTTCTTGTATATTGTCTCAATTTGCCAGATAAGTTTGGGAAGAGACAAAATAAAATGGTTAGGTTTGCATTTTGCAAATTCACTGCAAACTCGCATACTCCAATTTACAGAGGATCTGGTAGAGCTGATTGAAGATATAATTTGTTATATAGCATTTCACTGTAGAAAGCATATACATCCATCATGCTTATGAATTTAAAACATGCCTTTATTAACCTTTCAGAAGAAATGTTTTGTGTACAAACGGAATACTGCATTTGAAGCAGTCCTATCTTCTCTTAAAATATGATGGGTATTTAAACTTTCAGGGAAAAAAAGATCCCTTTTTAGATTAGACAAATATAATTGATGGAGGAGGTAGAAAAATACTTAACATTTTTGCAAGTATACCTTCCTTACAAAGTAAGATTTGCTTTCCTGCCAGAATTAACCTTATTGAGCTGTTTCCCTGTCCTGACTTTAAAATGAAACTGTATGTCTTCCAGAAACACATTGGTCATGAATAAAACAAAACCAAACAAAAACCTGTCAACTTGGCTTTTTACACATGATGAAATGGAGTATTTCAAATCTCTTAAATCATTTCCAAAATCAGAATAATAGTACCTCAGAGTGGAGTCCCCACCTGCCATTTGCCTGAAATTTGAACCAGTGCTGAGAGGTGTGTGTGAGAAAACAAGGGTTTACCCTGCCCTTCCCGCTGGTCTAGAGTAGCATGCTAGGGCTCAGAAAACAAAACCGTCTGTGCCTATAACACAGAATGGGGAACTGTTATGTTAGCCCAGAGAGTCCTTGTTTTTAGGGGCCCCATGTTCATGCGGTTTTTCGTTGTTGTTTGTTTGATTCCTCTTGACTCTGAAGATAACACCATAGGAAGATGGAGAGCTGATTAGAAGTTGGTTTCAGCTCTATGGAGGTTCCACCATTAATTAGTCATGTGATCTTTTGGGTGGCTTCTTGCCAAACATTTGTTCCAGGTGAATGTGGCTATCATCAAAATTTTTCTATGTCCGTAAAATAAAATACGGACCCACCTATTTTTAAATAACACAAGAGGTAAATCAGCAAACAGTATTTCTTTCTTTGGCCAACATTTTAATCATTTTTAAATTTGTTTTGTTTAAGTTTTCTAGTGGCTATCAAAGGAAGCAGAGTGAAATTTGAAAATTCAAAATTGATCTTATCTATTCCCATTTGGCATGAGCCGAGAGGGTATATAAAATCTGGGTTCGGGCTCCAGTCAGACAGAACACTTTTTTTTTTCTGCTCCCCAAACACAGCATGCTCTCTCCCTCCTCAGGGCCATTGCACATGAAGTTCCTCTGCCCACTACCCCTGCAAGACTGGCTCTCTAGTACCTTCAGATCTAGAACAATATTCCCTTAATATGGACTTTCTGAATATTATACCTAATGTTGATGCTCCCTGTTTTTCCTTCTTATGGTTCTTATTCTTCCACGTTATAACACTGGTTACAAACATTTGTATTTTTATTTTTTCAACTAGTCTATAAGATCCACCAAGGCAGAAAACATATTGATTTGGTTTTGTTTTGAATAATCAGTTCAGTGATGGGTCCAGATTAAACACTAAATAAATATCTGTTGACTAACTGTGTTGGTTAATGTTTTCATTTAATAAAAGAAAATACTTTCCACTTCCCACAATTTATTTCTAATAGGGAGATTTCATTGCAATAACATTTATATATTTCTAGTAACTTACCAATCATTTAACACACTTCAGTACTGGATGTGAAAGTAAGAATTAGTGGTTTTAAAATAATGAATACTTAATCAAAACTTTAATTGAAAGATTCTTTTGGCATCAGAATGTCAACAAAGTTAAAACTGTGAGTGTTCAGGAATAATAATATATGAAAACTGACTACCAAAATGGGTGACTAAGCAATGATTTTTCTTCCATATTCTCTCTGCCCATCTGCAGACTGGGAATTTCCATGGGTCTTTTTCAGAGCCCTAATATCCCCTAAATACAATGGTAATTATTTTGGGTGACAAATGCCCTGTTGTTAGCTCACAATTTATTGTAATTCACATAACTGTCTTCACCCTATCTATTGTTACTTGTTGATTCTGAGTTTGCTGGGTTTAGAGGAATTGACTGGCTTATAACTTTGACTGTTATGTTGATCTATGAAGCTATGATGCCAGCCTATTATTTCATGCTAGCTATGACACTGGCCTATTAGTATTAATGTGCCTTAAACTCCCAAATTAAATACAACACTGGTAATAACTTGTTCCCTCTGAATAGCGTTCTAACCTTTATTTCAATAGATTAGAAAGAGCGCTTTGCTAAGAGACAGGGAACCTGAGTTCTTATTCTAAATGTAGTGCTGACTTAAGGTCTATTTGGGGGGGAAAAAAATCACATACACCTTTCTCAGGTATAAGATTAGAGGGTTTGAGCACATTACGTCTAAGTTTTTTACACATTAGTGAATCTAAAAGAAACTATTTGAAAACACAAGAGCAATTATTAGATGAAAAAGGAAGGTTCCCTCATAATAGTCCTATTTATCTAGGTACATGCATGTAGATATAGACGATATAGATAAATATAAATATATAGTGAGATAATAGATAAATATAAATATAGGCATTGATATTTATCTGATTACCATGCCATAGTACCCTATAGATAGTCAGAGCCAGAAAGCAGAAAAACTGAAGGAGTAGAGTTTTATCTTCTCTGCTAAAGAAGGGAGAGAGAATACATAAAAATAACATAGTGAAAAATAACATAACTTAGATATTTGTATTGATATAGATGTTTATATCTACAAATATAGATATTATTTTCTTTGTTTCCTTCAAAGAAAAATAATATTTAGTATATACACATTTTTGCCAATGATGCTAAAAAGCTTTTTTGAAAATTCTCCTTTGGAAGTGCTTCCAGAATCAGGTTAATAACAATGCAAAGAAACCAGACATTTTGACTGCAAATGTTATTGCTTAAAGTGGCCATCTAACTTATTTACACTATGGTTTTATTTTATTATTTCTGACATTTATCCTAAAATGAAGATTTGCTATGAAAGAAACTATTTGCTCAAGCAACCATTTTTATTCAATAAACTTGTACAGAAAAATCTCTGAAAAAATATTAATATTATACCCCAAGGACTGAAAATTATTTCAAAATAGAAATTTCCTGGTGGTAAAGTGTATAAACTATCATAGATTTTTCACCCATTTTGAGGTATCATCTCTGTTATATTTGCTGAAACTGGGTTTCCTCTCTTTCCCTCAAGCCTCATACCCGATGAACTAGGAAAACTGTTGGCTTTGATATCAAATACATCCTGAATACAAACCATCTCACCATGCCATTGTCAGAATCTTAGACCAATTCACCAGCACAAATTGCCTGTACAATTGCAGTAGCCTCTTGGCTGAACATAGATTTGATGGGTGTTAAATATGAGGGGTAAGCACTGTAACTGGTCTGTATTCTTCTAAAATGTCAAGGTAATTATATAAGTCAGCCTGGTTGGGCAGCCATAACAAAATATCATAGACTGGGTGGCTTAAACAATGGAAATCTATTTTCTCACCATTCTGGAGGCTAGAAATCCACAATTAAGATCTGGAAGAGTTTGTTTCCGGTGAAAGCCCTCTTCTTGGCTTGCAGATTGCCACCTTCTCACCAGGTCATCACATGGCCTTTTCTCTGTGTGCACTCAGAGTGAGAATGAAAACAAGAGAGAGTGAGTGTGCAGGCATTCTGGTGTCTCTTCTTATAAGGACTTAATCCTATTAGACCAAGACACTGCTCTTATGACCCCATTTAAACTTAGTCACTTCCATAGGGGCTCCATCCCCAAATATAGCCACACTAGGAGTTAGGTGAATTTGGGGAGACACATTCATGTAATAGCAGTTATGAAAGACAAAAAAAAAAAAAACTAAAGAACTGTTTCATATTAAAACATACTAAAGAAACATAATAAAGAAATTCAGCATATGATACTACATGGGATATTATTGTCATAACTGGCAAAAAATTAAATATTAGTGCTGAATCAATGTTAATTTCCTGGTTTGATAAGTGCACTGTAGTTATGAAAGAGAATGCCCTATATTGTAGGAAATAAACACTGAAGAATTTAGATGTAACTGTTGTAACTAATTTAGTTGTACAAATGTAGTTGTACATTGGTTTGGTGTTGAATTCCTTAGAACACCAAGCAAATTTAACCAAAAGAAGACTACCTCAAGGCATTTAATAATCAAACTCCCAAAGGTCAAGGATAAAGAAAGAATCCTAAGAGCAGTAAAAGAAACCAATAACATACAATGGTGCTCCAATACGTCACGCAGTAGACTTTTCAGTGGCAACTTTATAGACCAGAATAGAGTGGCATGATATATTTAAAAAGTTTTGAAGGGGAGAAAAAAAATCCTTTGGCCTAGCATAGTATATTTGGCAAAAATAGCCATCAAACATGAAGGATAAATAAAGAGTTTCCCAGAGAAACAAAAGCTGAGAGATTTCATCAACATCAGACCTGTCCTACAAGAAATGGTAATGGGAGTTCTTCATTATGAAAGAAAAGATGTTAATGAGTGAGAAGAAATCATCTGATGGTACAAAACTCACTGGGAATAGTAAGCACACCGAAAAACAAAGAATATTATAATACTGTAATTGTAGTATATAAACTACTCTTATCTTAAATAAAAAGACTAAAAGATGCACCAATCAAAAATAATAACTGCAAAAACTTTTCAAGACATAAACATTACAGTAAGATATTAATAGAAATAACAAGAAGTTAAAATGTGTGTGGAGTGGACAAAGTTAACGTGTATAATTTTTATTAGTTTTTTTTTTTTTTTTTTGAGATGGAGTCTTGCTCTGTCGCCCAGGCTGGAGTGCAGTGGTGCAATCTCGGCTCACTGCAAGCTCCGCCTCCCGGGTTCACGCCATTCTCCTGCCTCCGCCTCCCGAGAAGCTGGGACTACAGGCGCCCGCCACCATGCCCGGCTAATTTTTTGTGTTTTTAGTAGAGACGGCGTTTCACCATGTTAGCCAGGATGGTCTCGATCTCCTGACCTTGTGATCCACCCGCCTCGGCCTCCCAAAGTGCTAGGATTACAGGCGTGAGCCACCGCACCCGGCCTTAGTTTTCTTTTTTTTCTTTTTCTATGTTTATGCAATCAGTGCTAAGTTATCAGTTTAAAATAATGAGTTATAAGATGGCATTTGTAAGCCTCATGGTAATCTCAAATAAAAAACACACAACAGATACCAAAAAAAATAAAAAAATTAAAATATGCCACAAGAGAAAATCACCTTCACTAAAGGAAGACAGGGAGGAAGGAAAGAAGGAAGAGAAAATTACAAAAAAAAATAGCAAAATAGCAGCAGTAAGTTCTTACTCATCAATAATAACATTAAATGTAAATGTACTAAACTGTCTAATCAAAAGAAATAGAGTGGCTGATTGGGTAAAAAAAAAAAAAACCCATTGATTTGTTGCCTACAAAACACTTCACATAAACCAAAACAAAGAGATGAGAAAAAATATATTCCATGCCAATGGAAACCAAAAAAGAGCAAGAATAGTCATACTTATATCAAAGTAGATTTTAAGACAAAAACTATAAGGAGACACAAAGAAGTTCATTTTATAATCATAAAGGGATTAAGTCAGCAAGATAATACAATAATTGTAAATATATATATGTGTGTATATATGTGTGTGTATATATATATATATATATATACACACAGTACTGGAGCACCCAGATATAAAAAGCAAAAATTATTAGAGCTAAAAAGAGAGATAGACAATACAATAATAATAGCTGGAAACTTTCGTGCCTCCTTTCAGCATTGGACAGACCTTCCAGACAGAAAATTAACAACAACAACAAAAAAAATTGGACTTAATCTGCACTGTAGATGAAATGATCCTGATAGATATGTAAAGAATATTTCATCCAATGGCCACAAAATGCACATTCTTCCCAGCACATGGATCATTCTCAAGGACAGACCATATGTTAGCACACAAAACAAGTCTTAGAAATTAAAAAAAAAAAAAAAAGGAAGAAGAAAGAATATCAAGCACCTTCTGTGACCACAGTGAAATAAAACAAGAAATCAATAACAAGAGGAATTTTGGAAACTATATAAACACTTGGAAATTAAACAGTATGCTCCTGAATGACCAGTGAGTCAATGAAGAAATTTTTTTTTAAATTGAAAAATTTCTTGAAACAAATAATGGAAAGACAACACACCAAAACCTATGGGATACTGTGAAAGCAATATTAAGAGGGAAGTTTATAGGTATAAATGCCTACATCAAAAAAGAAGAAAAACTTCAAATAATTGACTTACTGATACATCTTAAAGAACTAGAAACAAAAGAGCCAATCAAACTCAAAATAAGTAGAAGAAAAGTAATAAAACTCAGAGCAGAAATAAATAAAATTGAAGTAAAAAATCAATGGCATGAAAAAGTCAATTTTTTGGAAAGATAAAATCAACAAACTGTTATTCAGACTAATTAAGAAAAAAAGAAAAAAGGTACAAATAAAATCAGAGACCAAAATAATAAAAATACAGTAGTAATTCAAAGGATCATTAGTGGCTACTCTGAGCAACTATTTGCCTTAAAGTGGAAAATATAAAAGAAACTGATAAATTCCTAGACACATACAACCTATACATATTGAAACACAAAGAAATTCAAAAACTGAAAAGAACAGTAACAAGTAACAAAGATTAAATCTGTAATAAACAGTCTCCCAGCAATGAAAATCCTGGGACATGCTGGCTTCACTGTTAAATTTTACCGAACATTTAAAGAAGAACTAATACCAATCCTACTCAAACTATTCCAAAAAATAGAGGAGAAGTGATGACTTCCAAACTCCTTCTACAAGGCCAGTATTACCCTTATAGCAAAGCCAGACAAAAACACATCGAAGAGAAAAGAAAGCTACAGACAAATGTCCCTGATGAACATTGATACAAAAATATTCAACAAAATACTAGCAAGCCAAATTTGACAGCATGTTGAAAAGATTATTCATCACGACCAAGTAGGATTTATTTCAGGGATGCAATGATAGTTCAACCTACACAAACAAATGAATGTGAAACATCATGTCTACAGAATGAAGGACAAAACCATATGATCATTCAACTGATGCTGAAAAGGCATTTAAAATTCAACATTCCTCATGACAATCACCCTCAAAAAACTGGATATAGAAGGAACGTATCTCAACATAATAAAAGCCATATGCAAGAAACTCACAGCTGGTTTCATAAATGGGGAAATACTGAGAGTCTTTCTTCTAAGATCTGGAACAAGACAAAGATGCTCATTTTCACCACTGTTATTCAACATGGTACTAGAAGTCCTAGCTAGAGCAATCAGTCAATAGAAAGAAATAAAAGGCATCCAGATTGGAAAGGAAGAAGTCAAATTATCTGTGTTTTCAGATAATATAATCTTGTATTTGGAAAAACTAGAGACTTCACAGAAAAACTCTGCAAATTCAGTAAAGTTGCAGGATACTAACTCAACATTTAAAACTAAGTAACATTTCTAAACGCCAACAGCAAAAAACCTGAAAAAAAAAGAAATCAAGAAAGTAATTCCATTTGTGATAGCTATGAATAAAAATAAATACCTAGGAATCAACCAAAGAAATGAAACATCTCTACAATGAAAACTATAAAACACTGATGAAAGAAATTAAGATGACACAAAAAATGAAAAGACATTTCATGTTTATGGATTGGAATGGAAAAATAAATACTATTAAAATGTCCATGCTCCTCAAAGTCATCTGCAGATTTAGTGCAATCCCTGTCAAAATACCAATGATATGCTTGACAGAAATAAAAAACAATTTTAAAATTCATACAGAACCACAAAAGACCCAGAATAGCCACAGCTATCCTGAGCAAAAAGAACAAAACTGGAGAAATTACATTGCCTGACTTCAAATTACACTGCAAAGATATAGTAACCAAAACAGCATGGTTCTGGCCTAAAAACAGAAACATAGATCAATCGAACCGAATAGAGATCCCAAAAACAAACCCACACATGTACAGTGAACTCATTTTCTGCAAAGGTGCGAAGAAGATACAAGGGAAAAGACAGTCTCTTCAATAAATGGTGCTGGGAAAATTGGATATCCATAGGCAGAAGAATGAAACTAGACCCTATCTCTTGCCATATACATAAATAAAATGAATTAAAGACTTAAACCTAAGACAACAAACTATGAAACTAATAAAAGAAAACATTGGGGAAACTCTACAGGTTATTGGGCTGGGCAAAGATTTATTAATACCCTACAAGCACAGGCAATTAAAGCAAAAAATAGGCAAATAAAGTCACATCAAGCCAAATAGATTCTGAACAGCAAAGGAAACAATCAACAAAGTGAAGCAATTTATGGGAGAAAATATTTGCAAACTATCCTTCTGACAAAAGATTAAAACCAGAATATATAAGGAGCTCAAACAACTCTGTAGGAAAAAAGCCAATCATTCCATTATAAAATGGGTAAAATATTTGAATAGACCTTTCTCAAAAGATGACATACCAATGGTAAACAAATTTATGAAGAGGTGCTCAACATCACTGATCATCAGAGAAATGTAAACCAAAACTACAATGAGATGTATCTCATTCTAGTTAAAATGGTTTTTATTCAAAAGACAGGCAAATAACTAATGCTGGCAAGGATATGGAGAAAATGAAACCCTTGTACACTGTTGGTGGGAACATAAATTAGTACCAACCATTGTGGAAAACAGTTTAGAGGCTATTCAAGAAACAAAAAATAGAGCTTCCATATGATCCAGCCATCTTGCTGCTAGGTATATACCCAAAACAAAGAAAATCTGTGTATCAAAGAGATATCTGCACTCTTGTGCTTATTGCAGCACTATTCACAATAGCTAAGATTTGTAAGCAACCTAAGAGCTCAAAAACAGATGAATGGACAGAAAAAATGTGGTATTTAGACACAATGGAGTACTATTCAGCCATAAAAAAGAATGACAGCAAGTCATTTGCAAGAACATGGATGAAACTGGAGATCATATGTTAAGTTTAATAAGCCAGGCACAGAAAGATGAACTTCGCATGTTCGCACTTATTTGTGGAAACTAAAAATAAAAACATTTGAACTCATGGACATAGAGAGTAATGGTTACCAGAGGCTGGGAAGAGTTGCAGGGTAGTAGGGGGAAAGTAGAGATAGTTAATGGGTACAAAAAATAGTTAGAAAGAATGAGTAAGAACTAGTATTTGATAGCACAACAGAGTGACTATAGTCAATAATAATTCAATGGTACATTTTTAAACAACTAAAAGATTATAATTGGATTGTTTGCAACACAAAGGATAGACACTTGAGGGGATGGACACCTCATTTACCCTGATGTTTTTATTACACATTGCATGCCTGTATCAAAATATCTCATGCATCCCATAAATATATATACCTACTATGAACGCACAAAAATTAAAAATAAATTTTTAAATGTTTAGAAAAAAACAGTAAAATGTTAGCATTTGGAAAGTTTGTGTGAATGCATACCAAATACTTTATACAATTTTCACAACTTTTATAAAATGTATAAATTATTTCAAAATATAAGGTCTGTATTAAGATAATTCTGTGTCACAAGTTAAAGTAACCTACTTGATGATTTCACAGCAGAAGTATGAAGTTGCTACAGATAAACAAGGGATCTGCTAGCCATGTTGGTGAATTCAGAAAATGAGTTCTGCTTGGTGAGTTTTCCCATTTGGAACATACTTCATATGCAACATGTTTCATAAAAAAAAATATTTTTTATAAAAAATTTTTATTTTTAATTTTAATTTTATTTAATTTTTTATTTTTATTTTATATTTTATTTAACATAAAAATGTTAATGTTCAATAAATGTTAGGCATTGATGTTATAATTTTTTAAAAAACATAACATATTTCCCCAAAATATGATTAAACAGTAAAAACATATATAAAGAAATAGTTATATAGTTTGTTCCAGTGTTTCTCAACCTGGGGCAATTTTGTCCCCCAAGGGACATTTCACAATGTCTAAAGATATTTGTATTCATCCCTAGGGGATGGGGGTGCTACTAGCATCTAATGAATGTGGAGGTCAGGGATACTGCAAAACTTCCTGGAATGCACAAGGCAGGCCTCAACACAAAGATTTATCTGATCCAAAATGTCAGTAGTGCACAGGCTAAAAAACTGTTTATTCAAATGTATCAAGGATCACAGATTGGTTTCTTCCAAATCTGCCCTTGTTAATTTGCAGCACAATATCATTTGTGACACCTCAAGAATTTTAATGTCTTGGAATTGCCACAATCTACATTTTCCATTCAATACTGACAGAAGTTGTCATTACTGTATTTTTTTGACAATCCTGTATAATTAGTTTAGCCTTTATATATAAATTACAGCATTCAATGGATCATTTACACCACTACCTTAAATTCCTAAATTAGTCTTATGTCACATACAATTCATGTTTTTTTCTCATAATTCAAAGCTCTAAAAGGGCAGTGAGTGTGATGTTTTTACTTTGCCTTGTAGAAAAGCAGTGTCACAAACAGATAAAAGACTCAAAAAATAAATCTTTAAATGAGTATTGTATTTCCTTTCTGTGTTTCCTCCTGTTATTCTATCCCACTAGAATGCCTGGGTCTACCCCATCTCTGTTCTCAAAACTGTGCCCATTATTCAATCCAATCTTAAGTGACACTCTTCCAAAAAAGCCTTTGGGATGCTTCCAATCTGAATCAGTCTCTCCCTTATCAATATACCAAAAGCATAAATAGAAAAAACTCTATTACAGCATGTTGAACAGAGTAATTATATATCCTTTTTCTTCTACTATGTTAAAAGCCTCAAAGGAAAGGGAGCATTCCATCCATTCATTCATTCATTTTTCTATTCTACACAGCACCTTGCACGGTGTCTCAGACATTGCACATGCTTGGTCAATACTTCTTGACTGTAGTTCTTTTTTTTTAATTTTATTATTATTATACTTTAAGTTTTAGGGTACATGTGCATGACATGCATGTTTGTTACATATGTATACATGTGCCATGCTGGTATACTGCACCCATTAACTCGTCATTTAGAATTAGGTATATCTCCTAATGCTATCCCTCCCTCCTCCCCCCACCCCACAACAGTCCCTGGTGTGTGATGTTCCCCTTCCTGTGTCCATGTGTTCTCATTGTTCAATTCCCACCTATGAGTGAGAACATTCGGTGTTTGGTTTTTTGTCCTTGCGATAGTTTGCTGAGAATGATGGTTTCCAGTTTCATCCATGTCCCTACAAAGGACATGAACTCATCATTTTTTATGGCTACATAGTATTCCATGGTGTATATGTGCCACATTTTCTTAACCCAGTCTATCGCTGTTGGACATTTAGGTTGGTTCCAAGTCTTTGCTATTGTGAATAGTGCGGCAATAAACATACGTGTGCATGTGTCTTTATAGCAGCATGATTTACAATCTTTTGGGTATATACCCAGTAATGGGATGGCTGGGTCAAATGGTATTTCTAGTTCTAGATCCCCGAGGAATCGCCACACTGACTTCCACAGTGGTTGAACTAGTTTACAGTCCCACCAACAATGTAAAAGTGTTCCTATTTCTCCACATCCTCTCCAGCACCTGTTGTTTCCTGACTTTTTAATGATCGCCATTCTAACTGGTGTGAGATGGTATCTCACTGTGGTTTTGATTTGCATTTCTCTGATGGCCAGTGATGATGAGCATTTTTTCATGTGTTCTTTGGCTGCATAAATGTCTTCTTTTAAGAAATGTCTGTTCATATCCTTTGCCCACTTTTTGATGGGGTTGTTTGTTTGTTTCTTGTAAATTTGTTTGAGTTCATTGTAGATTCTGGATATTAGCCCTTTTTCAGATGAGTAGGTTGCAAAAATTTTCTCCCATTCTGTAGGTTGCCTGTTCACTCTGATGGTAGTTTCTTTTGCTGTGCAGAAGCTCTTTAGTTTAATTAGATCCCATTTGTCTATTTTGGCTTTTGTTGCCATTGCTTTTGGTGTTTTAGACATGAAGTCCTTGCCCATGCCTATGTCCTGAATGGTATTGCCTAGGTTTTCTTCTAGGGTTTTTATTGTTTTAGGTCTAACATTTAAGTCTTAAATCCATCTTGAATTAATTTTTGTATAAGGTGTAAGGAAAGGATCCAGTTTCCGCTTTCTACATATGGCTAGCCAGTTTTCCCAGCACCATTTATTAAATAGGGAATCTTTTCCCCATTGCTTGTTTTTGTCAGGTTTGTCAAAGATCAGATAGTTGTAGATATGCGGCATTATTTCTGAGAGCTCTGTTCTGTTCCATTGGTCTATATCTCTGTTTTGGTACCAGTACCATGCTGTTTTGGTTACTGTAGCCTCGTAGTATACTTTGAAGTCAGGTAGCGTGATGCCTCCAGCTTTGTTCTTTTGGTTTATGATTGACTTGGAGATGCGAGCTCTTTTTTGTTTCCATATGGACTTTAAATTAGTTTTTTCCAATTCTGTGAAGAAAGTCATTGGTAGCTTGATGGGGATGGCATTGAATCTATAAATTACCTTGGGCAGTATGGCCATTTTCATGATATTGATTTTCCTACCCATGAACATGGAATGTTCTTCCATTTGTTTGTATCCTCTTTTATTTCATTGAGCGGTGGTTTGTAGTTCTCTTGAAGAGGTCCTTCACATCCCTTTTAAGTTGGATTCCTAGGTATTTTATTCTCTTTGAAGCAATTGTGAATGGGAGTTCACTGATGATTTGGCTCTCTGTTTGTCTGTTATTGGTGTGCAAGAATGCTTGTGATTTTTGTACATTGATTTTGTAACCTGAGACTTTACTGAAGTTGCTTATCAGCTTGAGGAGATTTTGAGCTGAGAAAATGGGGTTTTCTAGATATACAATCATGTCGTCTGCAAACAGGGACAATTTGACTTCCTCTTTTCCTAATTGAATGCCCTTTATTTCCTTCTCTTGCCTGATTGCCCTGGCCAGAACTTCCAACACTATGTTGAATAGGAGTGGTGAGAGAGGGCATCCCTCTCTTGTGCCAGTTTTCAAAGGGAATGCTTCCAGTTTTTGCCCATTCAGTATGATATTGGCTGTGGGTTTGTCATAGATAGCTCTTATTATTTTGAGATACGTCCCATCAATACCTAATTTATTGAGAGTTTTTAGCAGGAAGCGTTGAATTTTGTCAAAGGCCTTTTCTGCATCTATTGAGATAATCATGTGGTTTTTGTCTTTGGTTCTGTTTATATGCTGGATTATGTTTATTGATTTGCGTATGTTGAACCAGCCTTGCATCCCAGGGATGAAGCCCACTTGATCATGTTGGATAAGCTTTTTGATGTGCTGCTGGATTCAGTTTGCCAGTATTTTACTGAGGATTTTTGCATCGATGTTCATCAAGGATATTGGTCTAAAATTCTCTTTTTTGGTTGTGTCTCTGCCAGCCTTTGGTATCAGGATGATGCTGGCCTCATAAAATGAGTTAGGGAGGATTCCTTCTTTTTCTATTGATTGGAATAGTTTCAGAAGGAATGGTACCAGCTCCTCTTTGTACCTCTGGTAGAATTTGGCTGTGAATCTATCTGGTCCTGGACTTTTTTTGGTTGGTAAGCTACTGATTATTGCCTCAATTTCAGAGCCTGTTATTGGTCTATTGAGAGATTCAACTTCTTCCTGGTTTAGTCTTGGGAGGATGTATATGTTGAGGAATTCATCCATTTCTTCTAGATTTTCTAGTTTATTTGCATAGAGGTGTTTATAGGATTCTCTGATAGTAGTTTGTATTTCTGTGGGATCAGTGGTGATATCCCCTTTATCATTTTTTATTGCATCTATTTGATTCTTCTCTCTTTTATTCTTTATTACTCTTGCTAGCGGTCTATCAATTTTGTTGATCCTTTCAAAAAACAAGCTCCTGGATTCATTAATCTTTTGAAGGGTTTTTTGTGTTTCTATCTCCTTCAGTTCTGCTCTGATCTTAATTATTTCTTGCCTTCTGCCAGCTTTTGAATGTGTTTGCTCTTGCTTTTCTAGCTCTTTTAATTGTGATGTTAGGGTGTCAATTTTAGATCTTTCCTGCTTTCTCTTGTGGGCATTTAGTGCTATAAATTTCCCTCTACACACTGCTTTGAAAGTGTCCCAGAGATTCCGGTATGTTGTGTCTTTGTTCTCGTTGGTTTCAAAGAACATCTTTATTTTTGCTTTCATTTCATTATTTACCCAGTAGTCATTCAGGATCAGGTTGTTCAGTTTCCATGTAGTTGAGTGGTTTTGAGTGAGTTTCTTAATCCTGAGTTCTAGTTTGATTGCACTGTGGTCTGAGAGACAGTTTGTTATAATTTCTGTTCTTTTACATTTGCTGAGGAGTGCTTTACTTCCAACTATGTGGTCAGTTTTGGAGTAGGTATGGTGTGGTGCTGAAAAGAATGTATATTCTGTTGATTTGGGTTGGAGAGTTCTGTAGATGTCTATTAGGTCCGCTTGGTGCAGGGCTGAGTTCAATTCCTGGGTATCCTTGTTAACTTTCTCTCTTGTTGATCTGTCTAATATTGACAGTGGGGTGTTAAAGTCTCCTATTATTTTTGTGTGGGAATCTAAGTCTCTTTGTAGGTAACTAAGGACTTGCTTTATGAATCTGGGTGCTCCTGTATTGGGAGCATATATATTTAGGATAGTTAGCTCTTCTTGTTGAATTGATCCCTTTACCATTATGTAATGGCCTTCTTTGTCTCTTTTGATCTTTGTTGGTTTAAAGTCTGTTTTATCAGAGACTAGGATTGAAACCCCTGCTTTTTTTTGTTTTCCATTTGCTTGGTAGATCTTCCTCCATCCCTTTATTTTGAGCCTATGTGTGTCTCTGCCCATGAGATGGGTTTCCTGAATACAGCAGACTGATGGGTCTTGACTCTTTATCCAATTTGCCAGTCTGTGTCTTTTAATTGGAGCATTTAGCCCATTTACATTTAAAGTTAATATTGTTACGTGTGAATTTGATCCTGTCATTATGATGTTAGCTGGTTATTTTGCTCCATAGTTGATGCAGTTTCTTCCTAGCCTTGATGGTCTTTACAATTTGGCATGTTTTTGCAGTGGCTGGTACTGGTTGTTCCTTTCCATGTTTAGTGCTTCCTTCAGGAGCTCTTTTAGGGCAGGCCTGGTGGTGACAAAATCTCTCAGCATTTGCTTATCTGTAAAGTATTTTATTTCTCCTTCACTTATGAAGCTTAGTTTGGCTGGAAATGAGATTCTGGGTTGAAAATTCTTTTCTTTAAGAATGTTGAATATTGGTCCCCACTCTCTTCTGGCTTGTAGAGTTTCTGCAGAGAGATCAGCTGTTAGTCTGATGGGCTTGCCTTTGTGGGTAACCCGACCTTTCTCTCTGGCTGCCCTTAACATTTTTTCCTTCATTTCAACTTTGGTGAATCTGACAATTATGTGTCTTGGAGTTGCTCTTCTCGAGAAGTATCTTTGTGGCGTTCTCTGTATTTCCTGAATGTGAATGTTGGCCTGCCTTGCTAGATTGGGGAAGTTCTCCTGGATAATATCCTGCAGAGTGTTTTCCAACTTGGTTCCATTCTCCCCGTCACTTTCAGGTACACCAATCAGATGTAGATTTGGTCTTTTCACATAGTCCCATATTTCTTGGAGGCTTTGTTCGTTTCTTTTTATTCTTTTTTCTCTACACTTCTCTTCTCATTTCATTTCATCATTTCATCTTCCATCACTGATACCCTTTCTTCCAGTTGATCGCATCAGCTACTGAGGCTTCTGCATTCATCACGTAGCTCTCACACGTTGGTTTTCAGCTCCATCATGCCCTCTAAGGACTTCTCTGCATTAGTTATTCTAGTTATCCATTCTTCTAATTTTTTTCAAAGCTTTTAACTTCTTTGCCATTGGTTCGAATTTCCTCCTGTAGCTTGGAGTAGTTTGATTGTCTGAAGCCTTCTCTCAACTCGTCAAAGTCATTCTCCATGCAGCTTTGTTCCATTGCTGGTGAGGAGCTGAGTTCCTTTGGAGGAGGAGAGGCACTCTGATTTTTAGAGTTTCCAGTTTTTCTGCTGTTTTTTTCCCATCTATGTGGTTTTATATACCTTTGATCTTTGATGATGGTGATGTACAGATGGGTTTTTGGTGTGGATGTCCTTTCTGTTTGTTAGTTTTCCTTCTAACAGACAGGACCCTCAGCTGCAGGTCTGTTGGAGTTTGCTAGAGGTCCACTCCACACCCTGTTTTCCTGGGTATCAGCAGCAGTGGCTGCAGAATAGTGGATATTGATGAACCACAGATGCTGCTGCCTGATTGTTCCTCTGGAAGTTTTGTCTCAGAGGAGTACCTGGCCATGTGAGGTGTCAGTCTGCCCCCTACTGGGGGGTGCCTCCCAGTTAGGCTACTTGGGGTCAGCGACCCACTTGAGGAGGCAGTCTGCCCATTCTCAGATCTCAAGCCACATGCTGGGAGAACCACTACTCTCTTCAAAGCTGTCAGAGAGGGACATTTAAGTCTGCAGAGGTTACTGCTGTCTTTTTGTTTTCTGTGCCCTGCCCGCAGAGGTGGAGCCTACAGAGGCAGGCAGGCCTCCTTGAGCTGTGGTGGGCTCCACCCGGTTCAAGCTTCCCGGCTGCTTTGTTTACCTAAGCAAGCCTGGGCAATGGCGGGCGCCCCTCCCCCAGCCTCGCTGCCACCTTGCAGTTTGATCATGGACTGCTGTGTTAGCAATGAGTGAGACTCGGTGGGCGTAGGACCCTCTGAGTCAGGGGCGGGATATAATCTCCTGGTGTGCCATTTTTTAAGCCAGTTAGAAAAGCGCAGTATTAGGGTGGGAGTGACCCGATTTTCCAGGTGCCATCTGTCACCCCTTTCTTTGACTAGGAAAGGGAACTCCCTGACCCCTTGTGCTTCCCAAGTGAGGCAATACCTTGCCCTGCTTCAGCTCACACATGGTGCACTGCACCCACTGTCCTGCGCCCACTGTCTGGCACTCCCCAGTGAGATGAACCCGGTACCTCAGATGGAAATGCAGAAATCACCCATCTTCTGCACCGCTCACGCTGGGAGCTGTAGACTGGAGCTGTTTCTATTCGGCCATCTTGGCTCCTCCCTGACTGTAGTTCTTTTGAACACTTGTCACATTTATGGCATTCAATAAATCACACACATATATACATAGCTTTGAAGAATCAATGAGAAAAAGATAAACACGCCAATAAAAATAGTATATAAGCAAAATTCATATAAGAAATAGAAATGGTTAGGAAAAAATATTTCAACCTCAGTGGTCATTTATGCCAATGAAAGCAATACTAATAAAAAAAAAACCTTCCTTTGTTTTATGCCAGGTACTACACTAAGCACTTTACACATATTGACTCATCTAATCTTCATGACTTTTTGCAGCATATGATATAATCCACTCTCCTTTTTTGTTTTGTTTTTTACAATTTTTTTACTGTTTAATTTTTGTGGGTACATATTAGGTGTATATATTTATGGAATACATGAGATGTGTTGATATAGGCATGCAATGCATAATAATTACATAATGGAAAATGGGGTATCCATCCTCTCAAGCTCTTTTGCAGAGGAAGGACCTGTGGCACAGAAAAGGCAAGTAATTTGTCCAGTGCGATGTGGTAATGTTACAGTAGTTAGGCCAGCATGAGTGGGGCAGGAAAGGGCTCTCCCCTCACCCACTAGGAATATCAGGTGATGCTTTGACAATTATCACACTGCCTCTCTAAAATGATATTTGGCAACCCACCCAGGGCACCAGGAGAGGCCATTTCCTGATAATTCACAGCTATTAACATTAAAATGTTAATTGAATGCAGATGCCAGGGAGAAAAAAACTTCCTGGGCATGTGCACTAAGAGACTAAATGGCAAAGTATGACCTTCTGGGTGTACTCCACTGAAAGAAGGAAGAAAGCTTCAGATGGGCACGCATACAACTTCCTAAACACACTACACATGCTCAGTTCCCAAGGATAAGGAGGGCACTGCACATGTGGGAAGCCCACCCTAAGGGAAGAACCGTGGAAAAGCAGTGAGCCTGTAAAGCCTTAGGATCAAGGTTAAATGCTCTCTTTGACCTTCAGGCGCCCTCTTGGATCTTTTTTCAAGTAAACTTTCCTTTCTTTCTTGTTCTAAAGTCTTATTAAATAAACTTCCACTCCCGCTCTGAAACTTGCCTTGGTCTCTTTTTCTGCTTTATGCCCCTCAGTAGAATTCTTTCTTCCGAGGAGGCAAGGGCTGAAGTTGCTACAGACCAGCATACATATGCTGCCAGTAACTGAGGGTAACTCTGATCTCTTGCGCCGGTAACAGTAAGTCACAAAGCTGACATGCAAACACAGATAGTTTGGCTTCAGAGCCCGAATAGTTCACCTAAGAGTATGTCATTTTGCCCACATGTTTGATAAATATATGTTCAATTATAATATTCAGAAAAATATAAACGAATATTTTCATATTGGATAAAAATGCTAAATGTCAAGCAAAAGAGTTAAAGAAAAACATTATAAAAATCCTCAAAGTCCAAGCAATTTAGTTTGATATTTTGTCGTAGAATAGAAAAGGATCCATTTTGGTTGAATTACTTTAATCTCACCTAGTATCTCCATCCCTTATAGTATCCATGACAATCTCATTGAGACTATAAGTATCTACATCTTGGCACACTGAGAAAGTAGCAGAAAAGGGGAAGATTACTCTCAAGCAGAGAATAGAAATGAACACAAAAGAAAAATTTCCAATTCAATGTAAATGTGGTTTTATGTGAAAGGTTAAAATAAATTCACCAACTCAATGGGTAAAGGTGTGGCTTGTTTGGAGATTCAGGTAACTCTTGGGTATACATGCTACACATAATTATCAGTTGTCCTGTTAATCATGACATTCAACATTCCGGGGATACTTTGTAATATTTAAAGTTTGAGTAACAACTTTGGACTTGGGTAAATAGGAATACTCCTAGGACATCTACATTTCTGGGTTATGTTTTGTTTTGAGTTTTAAAGTACAACTGCTGTCTTCACTTCAACCATAAAGCAAATGACAACAAATAAAAAAACGGATCCTTGAATTTTTTCTTACCCTTGGAAAAATTTGCCTATCCTGGATGTGATCATTGTTAGCTAATTTGTCTAACATTTTGTTTGAGAGTTATTATCTAGTAGTTAAATTTCCTGCAGCAGTTACACAATAAAAAGGTTAATTTGTATAATTTGATTAGACAATTTGAAAAATTAATAAAATAGACCTTTCATACCTCCTAATAGAGAAAGGCAACTAAAGAAACTATTTTGCATTATTTTAACCAAATATAAAATGTGGTTACAGGGGACAATATAAAAACATAAATCACTTTTTTTTGTCTTGCCAAAAGTTGTAACTTTGACATGAGGGAAGTTTGTCTTCACTATTTCGTGGCAAATAGACAAAACAAGCCACACCTCCTTGACCTTTGAGCTTTCCAACTAAAAAATAAATTGCCAACAACAAGCTGATAGCCATGTGAGGAGCAATACAGAAAATAGGCCCATAGTTAAGATAGAAAATGTGGATGTAAGTCTTTGAACTGACACTTTTTTTCTCTGAAGGCTTTGCCAAGTCATTTAACCTGGCAAGATCTCTATATAAAATGAGCCCAACTAGTCCCTGTCAAATTTCCAGAACTTTTAACCCAAACAATGAAGTAATTATCTCGAGAGAAGAGAACAACCTGTACTCCTTTCATCTATTATTGAAAATACAAGAAAATGTGGTCAAGGGATCTTCTTGACTTTTTGAGAAAATGCTTTTCTTCAGTGTTTTCGGTTTGGTGATCACTGTGAGTTACTCTATAAGGTTTTAATCCTCTCAACTGCCTTATGAGACCTTGAGCAAGCTACTTAACCTCTCTGTGCTTTAATTTGCTTCTGAAAAATAGATGTAATAATTGAACATCCTCATAAGGTTGTTGTGAGGAGTCAATGTGTTAATTAATAAAAAACTTTTAAAACAACTCTGCACATATGCTAAGTGATCAATCGAAGTTAACTCTTAGGCGTATTAATACCATTTTACAAATGATAAAACTGAGGCTTAGAGATGTTAATTAACATGTCCCAAGACCAGAGTTTGGAAATCGTAGAAGTAGGATTTGAACCCAGGTATTTTGTCTCCATAGCCCAAATCCAAGCACTGTCCTGTACTGTTTTCCTTTGAACATCCTGAATTAGGTAATGAGAAAAAAATGTTCTGTTTACATATTTATTGATAGAACACAGAGAGTACATACATAAGAAGCTACAAATTATTATAACAGATAATATTTAAAAGAAAATAAGAGACCCTTAAATTTGTTATATAAAAGAAAGGCTGAGAAATCATATTTTCACAGTAAATATTGTAGTTGCACAATTTTCCTTGTTACTGGTAGAGAAGCATCCACAGAATGTGAAGAGGAAAAGCTACCATAAATCAGAGCTGAATAATCGATCCAAACCATGAAAAAAATGCCAGCAAGCACTAAACACATTTGTCTGCAAAGCTTTAATAAATGTAGTTTTATAAATACTATGCAATATAAGGTATAAATTATGCGGCTTTCTTTCAAAAATTAGTTTAAGTGCAAGCTGGAAGAATTCCCTATGCTTAGGCTGATATAAAATTCAGTAAATACAGAAACTTTGAAGGACAAGAAAATAATAATAAAGACTTCTAAAAGGTTATATGAATATTGTAATTATCTGTGCATAAATGAGAACATTTTATCTTTCTATGCCGAAACAGAAAATGAATACCAAAAAAAGTATGCCTGTGGGAAAATTACTTCCAAAACCATTTTGAGAAATTGAACCATTTTCTATATACAAGTACTTAAACATTCAAGCTAAAACTTGGAATAAAATAACATTGATTTTATTATAAATACTTTAATATTTTTTAAAAGTTTATATTTCATATATAAAATTATATCTTAATAAGTGGAGTGTAGGTTCATAAAGCTGACTTCAATAGAGACTTTAGCTAATGATTGAAAACAAGATTTATATTGGAAGAATTAAGGGTTAAAATGGAATATGGACATTTAGAATAAAGGCTTAATGGATTGAAGTTGGTCAGGCTGGGATATAAATTCCTGCTCTATTTCTAAGAACAATATTAATGCCTAAATTAAGAAGGATACATGCGTAACTGAGGTCAGAGAATTTAAAGAGCAGGCAAAGTTGTTGCTCTGAAACATGACACGAGTCAACCAATATTACCCACATCTACAAAAACTGGGCAGATAAAAGAGCCATCTCTCTAATGGAAATTACTAAAGAAGCCTTACATTGCAGATGCAGTCTGGAACCTGGAACTCTGCAGAAACACACTTCAAACCCATTCCTTACAACTGGGCTTCTTCCTGCAACACCTACAGCTTATTTTTAAGTACACAGCTACATGACACCACGGGATAAATAAACTATTAAGACAATTGTATGCATAACATTTAACAAAATAATTCTTATCATAGAAAATGAGTTGCATTATACAAAGGGATGAATCTATTTGGAAAAATAAGTAAAGTCCAGGGATATATTAGATATAATAAATATCTAAAGTCCCGGGAGAATCTGGAATCACAGATGTCTCAGAGGGGTGCAACAAATTGGGCTCTATTTTCTTCAAATGAATATCAGGAGATATTCTGAGAAATGCATGCAGCCTGCTAATGAAATAAATATGTTCATTTTCCTCTCTGCCTTCCTAACTTTGGAAGTGGTCTAAAATCTCCTGCACACAGTAGGCATTCAATAAATGTTTGTTAAATGAATAATTCAATTAAGAAATCCATATTAGCTTACTAAAAATACAAAATTGAAAAAAAACACAAGGGTTTCAGTTGGAAGAAATTTAGAGATTTTAAGCCAATTCACACACATAACATATTAGACTCAGAAAGGTAAGGAGACTTGTTCCAGGTCATTCAGCTAATTTGTGACCAGGCACTTCCACCAGAAATCAAACCTCAACTCCCAATTTAACCAGAGACACATGTAAGCAGAATTAAAATTGTAAAAAAATCCTGGTTGAATTATAACATATTAAGGATTTGTTAGTAGGTTCACATCAAGTGAAGGTTATTGATTATGAAATTAATATCCTGTGTTTCTACAATGCTCTAAAGGCAGTGAAAAGAACTTCGAAGAAGTATAGCGATTTGGTTTTAGTCCTGATTCTGCCTGAGTATGCCTAAGTGATCCTCAGTTTCCAAAGAGGTAAAATAAGGGATCTATATAAATAATACAGTCTAATTCCCCTCCAAAATTTTATTAAGTACCCATTATATCTCATGTGCCAAGCCAGATACTGAGGATACAAAGAGACATAAAGTGCAGGTCATGCTGTGAAAGGCTAACATCTGGTAGAGGATAGCACATAAAGCTTTAATTCAGACTTTGTGCTGGACTCCTGGCTCTGCCATTTACTAACCGAATGACCTTAGGCACTTATTTTTCTTGGTCTCAGTTTCCTCCTTTGTAAAATGGAAACAATGATGATAATATACCTAATTTATAGAGGTATAAGGACTATGTTATTATGTATATAGTACTCAGAATAATGCCTGTTACTGTTCCATAAATAGTAGCAGTTTTTAACCACATGGAATCTATAATATAACATGGGAAATAAGAATATATATGTAACTATAATTAACACAAGCTAACATAATGCTAAGTCACCAAAGCAAAGCATAAAATGTGGTCATAAGAATTTTAGGAATCACTTTATTCCAACAAAATAAAAGACAGGAATTAATGGAAGCATTTTTTTTTCCTTTGAAGAATATAATGATTAGAAAAGAAGAAGGTGACAAAAAAGGCTGAAAAATTATCAGGATGAGTTATGAAAAATGACTCCTGTATTTAGAAATGTGATGGTCTCAAAGTCATTTTCAAGTTTTTGAAAAATCCATTCCTATGGAAAAGAAAGGCAAACTATGTAATGTTTGCATATTGAAAGAAGGGGAGAAAATATGAACAGTAAATATAGAATACACTTTTAATTAATGTATTCATTCACCCACTCACTCACTAGTTAATTCAACAAATAAGTGAGCCTACTGTGCACAATATCCTCAGCACTGTGGCAAATATCTATCTGAGGTGTCCGCCCCTCAAAGGTAGATGATCCCTGTCTTCCTGGATCTTAGCATATAGAAAGGAGTCCTCAGTAGAGGGAATACCAAATGTCAAGGCCTTGAGAAGTCTAGTATTAATGTAAATAAAAAGAAAAGACCAAGTTCTAAAGCATTCTAAAGCATAGCATGCTTGATGTTCAGTGAACATCAAGAGGTAGAGGAAGTATCCCAGGAAAAAGGAGAAGTGTGCTAATGTTAAATATGAGTTCCCACAGAACATGGTGGAAGGAAACAAAAGGGGAGAGGCCAGGATTTATTGATATGGGGTACAGTAGAAGGTGATAAATGTTGGTAGAGGAAGGTGTGAAGGAAGGAATGAAAAAAGGGGACACAACCAGTAAAGATCTCACTGGGCTTGCAGTGGCAGAACAAGTAGGTTGCTGCTAGTAAACAGAATTCTACTTGGGGAATCCCTGATATTTGTTCCTGTTCTTTGATTCTGTGATTCTCTCAAAAAAAGAAATGCAATTGAACATCTTAAAAATTGAAACAACATGTGTTTCATTGTGTGTAATTAATGAGCAATACTCTGTTCTTAAGGTGTGGCCTTAGTGGTTCATTTGAATTTATGTGCGTCTGGCTTCTGTAATTAAACAGAGCTGCTTAACCTCCATTGTCAAACCAAAAGCCTCGAGAGATTTCAATTAGCATAACTGCTGGAAATTGTTGAAAGTTATGCCACTGATTTCCAAGGCCTGGTTCATTAATTGACCTTTAGCAAGCAAATTTAGTTTCCAAGAATATATCTAGTAAGAAGACCACTGAATAAAGTGTGTCCTAAAAGCATATGCAGAGATAATAGTAATAAAGTATGTGTTTTGTGATATTGATGCTGCATAGTTTACAGGATCCTCACACTGGAAAAGCTGTTCAGTATTTGCCATATATCCAGGCAGGTTGTTCTCATTAAAACCAAGCACCATAATTTTACACTTACTGTCATTTGTACTGTAATAAGGAGCAGAGCACATCAATCTCATGTGACACAGCCATATGCTGCTTATGATGTACAAGACTTACAAAGGGAACTTCTACAGGGCTAAAGAAGAGCTTTACAGAGTGCCAGGCTTTATAATTATTGATAAGAACTAAAAAAAATCAGCAAAGAAATTTAAGATTTTGTTCTCCAAAGTAAGAAAGAGTGGGGAAAAAACTGCACATACATGTACAATACTAGCACAAGCACACATGCACAGTAACCCTACCCATTACATTATACATATGGGAAAACCAAGAAAACCTTTTATAGAATTATAAGAAGCATAGCCCCTTTCTTTTCTCAAATGGTGAACTGTAGAGACTTCTAGTTCCAACTGTGAAATAATATAGTAGTAACATAATATTAACAGTAGGTTTCATGCCAGACAATGCTCCCACTGCAACTACTAAATATATTATATATACACAGTATTACTCCGTTCTCACATTGCTGTAAGGAACTACCCGAGACTGGGTAATTGATGAAGAAAAAAGGTTTAATTGACTCACCGTTCCACAGGCTGTTTGGGAAGCATGGCTGAGGAGGCCTCGGGGAACTTACAATCATGGCAGAAGGCAATGGGGAAGCAGGAAAATCTTCACCTGGCTGGCAGAAGAGAGACAGTGAAGGAGGAAGTGCTACACAGTTTCAAACAACCAGATCAAATAACTCTATCATGAGGCAGGACTAGGTGGATGGTGCTAAATCATTACAAACCACCCTCATGATTCAATCACCTCCCACCAGGCCATTCCCCCAAAACTAGGGATTATAATTCAATGTGAGACTTAGGTGGGGACACAGAGCCAAACCATATCATATGTATATGATCTCTCTCTCTCTCTCTATATATATATATATACACACACACACACATATATATGCACACACATATACATATATGCTAAATCATTATAGATTTATGGAAGAAAAGATGAACAATGGATTAAAATATCAGGTCATAAAGGGAAGAGCCTCTCTGAGAGAGCAATCTGTTACTGGACATTTTCTTCTGTGATAGGGTTGCTAGATACATTACAAGCAACCCTATTCTGTGGTGACATTTGTCAATTTTATGTGAAAGCCGAGAATGGCTTGGTTCACACAGAGGTACTCTGCTGGGAGAGAGAGAAACTTGAAAAGATTTTGACAGTCATGCAGGGCTATTGTAATAATTTGGAAATGTCACGAGCTCTAAACATGTAATTAGGATTTCCCGATAGTGCCCTTACTATTTTTCAGTAATGCAGAGATAGTGACTCACCGGCTCTCAGTAAAAAGCTTAGATAGGACATATCAGAAGAAAGAAAAGTCAAAGATATATACAGTCTGAACAAACCTGCAATTCAACCCTGACTCAACCCAGTTACTACCTAGATTGAGGTGATCAGCTCTTGCCCTGTCTCTCTAATATAAGAAGACCAAGGCTTTCTGGTAAAAGGTAGTATCATTTGGAGCTTCAACACAAAGTCTCCTTAAACAAAAAGCCCAGATGGGGGATAAGATGGCTGTCTAGACACAGCCAGGAAATGCCTCTCCTACTGAGAGAAAATAAACTGTTGAGTAGATCATGACACTTTGAACAGATCTCTTGAGAAAAACACTGAAAGCCAATAGAAAGATGACTCAGATACCAAGGTTGAAGAGGCAGGAAGCTGGGAAGCTTGCATGGAATTGCCAAGGACCAGAACCAGTTACAGGACCTGAACAGGACTTAAATAAGGAGTGAGTGAAAAAACTGTGGGGCACCACACTCCTGCAACGGACCTCTGGGATCCTAGCTACAAGAGAGCCCACAACCCCCAGAGACATTTGAATTGGCAGAGGAGCCGCCTGGAGAGTAGGCAAAGGCAGGGGCTCAAACCTGTGCAGTGTCCAGGAGGTTTTCTCTGTGGCAGGTGCGGTAAAAAGCAATCATGGTGCCCATCCCCCAAGGCTCTCTGTCTTGCTCTGAGTGACTCTATCCCCTGCTGAAAGCTGGGCTGGGAGAGAGTAGGGCTACCTTTCCCCTGGGAGAGGTGAGCATCTGATCTGTGTAGCCCCTTGTCCCCTGGTCCCTTCCAAGGCTCCTGCCTGACTGCTCCTGCAAGAGTATGCACGGAGCACAGCCTCCACTTCCCTGCCTAATTGTTTTGCCAGCAGCCTGGGAGTAGTTTACATCCCCCACCCCACCCAAAGCACAAAGTACAGAGCTCAACCTCAAGGAACCAGAGGACAAAGCTGCCACAGCCTGGTCCCAACCTTCTAGGGTTCAAGCACACTGCACTCAGGGGTATCCAGCCTGGGTGTGGGAGAAGTCTCCAATCTCAGAACACCGAGAAGAGTGAGGTGCAAGTTTAAGTGCTGGCATGAGAGCTGAGTGTTTCTCCCTCCACAAGACTGGTCCAAGAAGGGTGTAGCCTACTGGCCAGCTGCAGCCTCTACCCAAGAATGCCCCATGGCCCTGAACACCTAATAGCCCAGCGATCTGGACAAAACTAGCTTGGGAAAAAACTAGAAAGTTGGGCCTGCTCCTGGGACAGACACCAGAGGGAGGCCTGGTTGGGGAAGCATGAGCTGGGCAGTCCCCAAGGAGCTGTCTGCTGGGCAAAAATCTCCGGCCCATGGCTGCAAACCTATAGCACCACCACCCTGCCTGTGGATCTTGTATCTTTGAACCACTGCATCAACAGACCACCCCCAGACATACCCCACAACCTACTCTGACTCTGTTAAGCTCAGAGGACCAGTGGGTCCCCAAGGAGCTGTGGGGCTTCATGGTGACCTAAGCTTCAACCTGGGCCACCCTGTGGGAAGGGGGAGTGTAGTCTTCCAATGCCCACCTTGAGGCTAAGGAAATGTGGGTGTGGTGCCAGTAATTGGAGGGGGCTCCGCCAAGGCTCATGAATGGATTTGGTGAAGGGGTCATCTCCCAACCCCCTTGCCTGCCCCCTCTCCAGAGCACTGCTATAAATGCACCAAAATACAAAAGAGGTACATGGTTGAATAAGAGCCTGTCAGCCTGCCTTTACTCTTAAGAGCCATCTACTGGATCACAGCCCAAATGACACCACCAAACAAAAATAAATTCCTTCAACACATTGCCTACAAAACCCAATGCATGAATCTGGCTAGAACTAAGGAACCAATACAGAACCTTAGCCCTCTGAAAGCACCCAGAAATGAAGCCAATCAACTATGTACAACATATATCATAGGCAAATCCTCAGAGAAAAAAGAATATAAAAACAAAAAGACCCATTCAAATGACAACAACTTCAAAAAGATAAACTCTAGCCCTCTCAGAATAGAAAGAATCAGCACAAGAACTCTAGCAATTCAAAAAATCGGAGTGTTTTTCTTACCTCCAAAGGATTGCACTAGCTCCCCAGCCATGGATCCCAACCAGATTAAAATGTCTGAAATAACAGATGTAAAATTCAGAATCTGGATAGCAAGGAAATTCAACAAGATTAAAGAGAAAACTGAAAACCAATCCAAGGAATCCAGTGCAATGATCCAAGAGTTGAAAGAAACAAACTGAACCAAATTAGCCGGGCGCGGTGGCGGGCGCCTGTAGTCCCAGCTACTCGGGAGGCTGAGGCAGGAGAATGGCGTGAACCCGGGAAGCAGAGCTTGCAGTGAGCCGAGATTGCGCCACTGCAGTCCGCAGTCTGGCCTGGGCGACAGAGCGAGACTCCGTCTCAAAAAAAAAAAAAAAAAAAAAAAAGAATAAAGAAAACTCTATCATGCAAACAAAAACCAAGAAGCAGCAGAGGTCATTATTCTTATATTAGATAAAACGGACTTTAAACCAACAACAGTAAAAAAAGAAAAATACAAAGAAGGACAATACATCATGATAAAGGGATCAACTGAACAGTAAGTGTTAACTGTCTTAAATATATGCACACCCAGCACTGAAGAACCTGGATTCATAAAACAACTACTTCTAGACCTACAGAAAGAGTTGGCTACAGAATAAGAGTGGGGGATATCAACACTTCACTGACAATGTTAGACAAATCATTAAGACAGAGAAATAACAAAGAAATTATTGACTTAAATTCAACAATTGACCAATTGGACCTAATAGACATGCACAGATCTTCATTCAACAACCACAGAATATACATTCTTCTCATCTGCACATAGAACATACTATAAGATTGATCACACGCTCAGTCATAAAGCAAGTCTGAATACATTCAAAGAATATAAATCATACCAAGTATACTCCCATACCACTGTGGAATAAAAATAGAAATCAATACCAAGAAGATCTCTCAAAATCACAAAATAACATAGAAATTAAACAATGCTTTCCTAAATTATTTTGGGGTAAACAATGAAATTAAGCCAGAAATTAAAAAATCATTTGAAATTAATGAGATGCAACATACAAAAATATCTGGAATTCAGCAAAAGCAGCGTTAAGAAGAAAGTTTATAGCATTAAACACCTACATCAAGAAGTTAGAAAGATCTCAAATTAACAATCTAACATTTCACCTGAAGGAACTAGAAAAACAAGAACAAACTAAACCTAAAGCTAGCAGAAGAAAATAAATAACTAAAATCAGAGCGGAACTGAATAAAATTAGACCCAAAAACCCATATAAAGGACCATGAAACCAAAAGTTAGTTTTTTGAAAATATAAACAGATTTATACACCCCTAGCTATATTAGCAAATAAAAGATTCAAATAAATGCAATCAGAAATGACAAAGGTTACATTATAACCAGCCCCATATAAATAAAAAAGATCCTCGGAGACTATGACAAATGCCTCTATGCACACAATCTAGAAAATGTAGATGAAATGGATAAATTCCTGGGCACACACAACCAAAGATTAAGCCAGGAAGAAATTAAAACACTGCATGGATCAATAAAGAATCCCAAAACTGAATCAGTAATTAAAAACCTACCAACCAAGAAAAAGCCCTGGAGCAGGTAGATGCACAGCCAAATTCTACTAGACACACATAGAAGAACTGATACCAAGCCTACTGAAACTATTCCAAAAACTCAGGGAGGAGGGACTCCTCCCTAACTCTTTCTGTGAAGCCAGCATTATCCTGATACCAAAATCTGTCAAAGACACAGTGAAAAAAACAACTACTAGAGGCCAATGTCCCTGATGAATATAGATACAAAAACCCCCAACAAAATCCTAGCAAACTAAATCCAGCAGCACCTCAAAATGTAATTCACTGTGATCATGTAGGCTGAGATACAAAGTTGGTTCAATGTACACAAATCAATAAATGTTACTTACTACATAAACAGAATTAAAAACGAAAACCATATGATCATCTCAATGGATACAGAAAATTGATAAAATCCAATGATGCTTCATGATAAAAACTTAAGTAAAGTAGGCATCAAAGAAACATACCTCAAAATCATCAGAGCTGTCTATGACAAACTCACAGTCAACTTCATACCAAAAGGGCAAACGCTGGAAGCATTCTCTTTGAGAACTGGAACAAGACAAAGATGCCCACTCTCTCCATTCCTATTTAACATAGTATTGGGAGTCTTAGCTAGAACAAGCAGGCAAGAGAAAGAAATAAAAGGCATCCAGAAAGAAAGATAAGAAGTCAAAATATCTCTCTTTACTGATGAAATTATTCTATGTCTAGAAAAACCTGAAATAAAAGGCATCCAAATAAAAAAATACGAAGTCAAACTATCTCTCTTCACTAATGAGATGATTCTGTACCTAGAAAAACTTGAAGACTCTGCCAAAAGCCTCTTGGAAAGATAAACAACTTCGGTAATGTTTCAGGATACAAAATTAATATCCAAAAATCAGGAGCATTCTTATATACCAATAACATTCTAGCTGAGAGCCAAATCGGGAGCCTAATCACATTTACAAGAGCCACAAACAAAATAAATAAAGTACCTAGGAACCAACAACAGTAAAAAAACAAAAAATACAAAGAAGGACACTACATCATGATAAAGGGATCAATTGGGGATCATAATCTAACCAAGGAGGTGAAAGATCCCTACAAGGAGAATACAAAACTGCTGAAAAAAATTATAGATGACACAAACAAATGGAAAAACATTCTATGCTCCTGGCCTGGGAAGCATTAATATTCTTAAAACAGCTATACTGCCCAAAGCAATGTACAGATTCTATGCTGTTCCTATCAAGATAAAAACGTCATTTTTCACAGAATTAAAAAAACATATTCTAAGATTCAAATGAACCCAAAACAAGCCCAAATAGTCATAACAATCCTAAGTAAAACAAACTAAGCTGGCATCACATTACCTGACTTCACTATAAGGCTACAGTAACCAAAATGGCATGGCACTGTACAGAAATAGACATGCAGAACAATGGAGCAGAAGAAATAACCCAGAAGTTAAGCCAAACACCTATAATTATCTGATCTTCAACAAAGTTGACAAAAATAAGCAATAGAGAAAAGATTCCCTGTGCAATATATCATACTGGGATAATTGGCTATCCATATACAAAGGATGAAACTGGACCCCTACCTTTCACATATACAAAAATTAACTCAAATTGGATTAAAAATATGAGACCTCAAACTATAAAAACCCTAGAAGAAAACCCAGAAAATACCCTTCTCAACATCAGCCTCAACATTGGTTTTAGAGGTCATATGGCTAATTGCTTTTAAGGACATAGTCATAAGTCTTCAAAAGCAATTGCAACAAAAACAAAAATTGACATTTGGGATGCTCTCCACAGCTTCTGCACAGCAAAAGAAACCATCAACAGAATAAACAGCCTACAGAATGGGAAAAATGTTCACAAACTATGCAGTCCACAAAGGTCTAATATTCAGACTTCATAAGAACTCAAAAATATTGATAAGAAAAAACAAATTATCTCTTTAAAAAGTTAGCAAAGACATGAGTAGACACTTTTTGAAATAAGACAACAATCCAACAAATATATTTTAAAATGTTCATCACCACTAATTATTAGATAAATGTACATCAAAACCACAATAGGTACATCAAAACCACAATTAGATATCATCTCACACTAGTCAGAACGACTATTATTAAAAAGTCAAAAAATAACAGATGTTGGTGTGGCTGCAGAGAAAATGGAATGCTTAAACACTGTTGGTGAGAATTTACATTAGCTCAGTCCCTATAGAAAGCAGTTTGGAGATTTCTCAAAGATCTTAAAATAGAACTACCATTCAACCCTGTAATCCCATTACTGAGTATCTACTCAAAGGAAAATAATTCTATGAAAAAGAATTCTATGAAAAAGACCTGTGTCTTCATTGCAGCACTATTTACAATAGTGAGGACATGGAATTAACCCTGGTACCCATCAAAGTGGACTGGATAAAGAAAATGTGGTATATATACACCATGAAATACTATGCAACCACAAAAAAGAATAAAATCATGTCCTTTGCAGCAACACGGATGCAGCTGGAGCCATTATCCTAAGTGAACTCATACAGAAACAGAACATATACCACATGTTCTCACTTATAAGTGAGAGCTAAACATTGGGTACACATGGACATAAAGATGGACAGAATGGACAATGGTGCTACAAGAGGGAGGGGAGAGGGAAGGAGACAAGGGTGAAAAGCTGCCTGTTGGGTACTATACTCACTACCTGGGAGACAAGTTCAATTATACTCCAAACCTTACCATCACACAATACACCTTTGTAACAAACTGGTGTATGTACCCCCTGAAGCTAAAATAAAGGTTGAAAAGAAACCCCAAAACCCAACATACAATCACATTACCAGACCCACATAATGACAGAAATTGTGACTGATAACCAAGAAAACAATGGGTACAAACTCGGAGATTGGCGTAGCCAGCTACCAAGATGGTCCCCAATGGTGCATGCCTCCTGGTAGTTTACTCTTTTTTTTTTTCTTTTTCTTTTTTTTTTTTTTTTCCTTGAGATACAGTCTCACTCTGTTGCCCAGGCTGGAGTGTGGTGGCACGATCTCCACTCAGTGCAACCCCGCCTCCTGGGTTCAAGCAATTCTCCCTACCTCAGCCTCCTGAGTAGCTGGGATTACAGGCGCCCGCCACCACGCCCAGCTAATTTTTGTATTTTTTAATAGAGATGGGGTTTCATCATGTTGGCCAGGATGGTCTTGAACTCCTGACCTCAAGTGATCTGCGTTCCTCTGCCTCCGAAAGTGCTGGGATTACAGGCGTGAGCCACCGCACCTGGCGGTAATTTACTCTTATGTAGTCCCTTCCCACACTGACTATACCTGACTTTGTAACCAGTAGAATACAGACAAAATGAGAGCCTGTGACTTTCAAAGTTAAGTCATGAAATACTTTGCATTTCTGCCATACTTCCTTTCAGATCATTAGCTCAGGGGGAAGCCCCCTGCCGTGTCATGAAGATTTCCAGGCATTCCCAAGCAGGCCTCCTGCCAACAGCCAGCAAGGGACTAAAGATTCCTACTAACAGCTATTTATCACGTAAATGGATCCTGCAGTTCTAATCAAAGCTTTGGATCACTGCAGTACTGGTTGACATCTTGACCATAACCTCACAAAATACACCAAGCTAGAACCACTCAGTGAAGCAGCTCCTGAATTTCTGAACACCACCACTGTGTGAAATACTAAGATTATTATTATTTTAAAACATGAAGTTTGGGAGTAATTAATTATGTAACAATAAGTAACCAAAAGAGGTACTGGTACCTTGAAATGGAGTGCTGCCATGACAAAACTAAAAAATAGGGGAGTAACTTTGGAAATGGGAGAGTGCCCAGGAAGTGGGCAGAAGCTGGAAGGATTTTGAAGACAGCGTTAGTGAGGACCTGTGGAGATTTAATGAGATAGACAGTAGAAATGTAATGCCCTTTGCAGAGGCTGCCGACAGAGAGACTACAATCCCACTTTCTATAAACAATGCTACACACTTAGGAAAACCTGGATAAAGAACCTGCAGAACGCTATCCACCATCAAGGATCACCCCTAGCACCTCTGTATCTGAACAGAAATAGCAATGAACATTACTCTTCTATGCACATAAGACTGCTGGTCATCCCAGGAATTCCCTACTACAATGCCAGGTTCCCCCTGTCAGAACCTGGCAGCAGCATCCAATCTGAGAAAACATTGTTTTGCCTAAAACACTTGTTTTCAATGTAGCAGGGGGCAATTTTGCCCCTTAGGAGACATTTGTCACGCCTGGAGGCATTTCTGGTTTTCACAACTGGAAGTCACTGGCATTTAGTGGGTAGAGGGCAGAGATACTGCTGAACATTCTACAATGTGAAAAACAGCACCCCACAACAAGGAACTATCTGACCTAAAATGTCAATAGTGCCCCAAGGTTGAGGAATCCTGGTCTAAATAAAATACATTTATTTATTTAGAATTGCAGTTTACTCATTAGTCTTTTTATGTAGTACTTTTGAAACATATTACAGATATTTGCTGGCAGGGACCTAATAGGGGTATTTTACTCTCATTTGCTCAGAAGAAGAACAACTGCAGTTCTAAAATCCCCACTCTAAGGCTTATAAAGGGGCTTCCAAGTACTACTGGTTTTGAAAATAAATTTTACATACACACTTAACTCAGATTCGAAACTATTTTACATTGATTTCCATTTTCCCTAAGCTAAAATAATGACAAATCCTTTGAAATAATAAAAGCCTTTGATTCATTCTGGGGACTTAAGTACATTATGATTGAAAAAAAAAATCTTGAAAAATTTTTACTGAAATACAGCGCTTCATATTCATTCTAAAAAAATTATTTCTGTGGTATAAACTAATTTGCACTTAAAAGACACTGATATTGCCCAGTTTATCTTATGTTTACTGACAAATAATAACATTATTTTACTACTCAATAGACAGATGCTAAAGAAAGAAAAGTAAACATGGTCACTTTACTGCTGTCATCTAAAATTAGTTTATTTTTAATCATTTGTTAGAGATATTAAAAAGTTTATGTTTTCTAAGAGGAGGTAGAGTTAATATGAAACACTGCTATTTACACTACATGATCATTTTATTTGTGATCACTACACAAAAGGCATTTGATTTGGCCTTTGTTTATATAAAATATTATAAAGTTCTTTCTGGCAGCCACCTCGACATATATTAAGAGAAAAGATGCAAGTGTCGTAAGCTTTTGAGACACAATTATAATGAAGGCATCTTTATTTAGTGAATTTAAAATATAGTAAGATAAATTTAAGTCACTATCTTCTGAAGCAACATATAGCAGTCTCTTGTTTTGTTACCTTACAGTTTATAAAAGACTGGAATAATAAAGTAAATAAAAATATGGAATATGGAGGGATATTTTTGGTGAAAAAGTTGTAAAGACATGCTTTGCAGATGCATAGAAATTGAGTCACTTCCTTTAGTAAATTTATCTAATGCTGCAAGTTGTTGCAGAATCACAAATTTATTAGGGATGAGAGATCATCTTGTCTTACTTCCTCCTCTCACTAGAGAGGAAATGAATCTGATAGTGACTGTTTGACTCAAGTTGAATTATAGCTCTTGTTTCCCAATACTCATGAATAACTTCCCTTTGGTATAAAGCTTTTAAGAAAGTTAATTTAGAGACTAAGTTTATACAAAATTCTGCCAAATGTTTGGAGGAGATTTTTTTTTTTTTTTAACTTGCAACATTTTATAGGAGATAGCAAAGCAAAAAAGAACAGTTGGTTCCCTGGAAGACCCCCGCAGCTCCTCCTCAAGTAGCCTTAAAATCAGCTCTCTGAGCTGGGAGGTTGTGAGTGACAAGCCCTCCAGTTAAACCAAAGCTGACATGGAAAGAGACATAAGGGGATGCCCAGCAAGAATGAAATCCATATTCTTAAGCTCAGAGTGTTCCAATTAGGATAATTTCATTACTCCAAATCTCCTCCAATATGAAAAGCTTCAGGGAAACCAGGTCTTTCTTCTAGAGCAAAACCACGTCACCCAAGAGAGTCACATGTATTGCCAACCCCGCTTCGTAAGTTTCTTTGATTCTAAACCATATGTTATCTGTAGACTTGGCCCATGCCTATCAGTTGAACAGAAACACAAAGAAGGTTAAGTAAACGTAGTAATAACCTAATACCACACTATGAGATACAAAATGCAGTGGCGGGCGCCTGTAGTCCCAGCTACTCTGGAGGCTGAGGTAGGAGAATGGCGTGAACCCAGGAGGCAGAGCTGGCAGTGAGCCGAGATGGCGCCACTGCACTCCAGCCTGGGTGACAGAGCAAGACTCCATCTCAAAAAAAAAAAAAAAAAGAAAGAGATAAAAAATGCAGAATATACAGGTAGTTGCCTATCTAGCCACTTATATACAGAATATGGTTCCAGGGTACTCCCAAGAGCAACATACCTGTTTCAGTTCTACATTAGGGAGACAGTGTATTTTTTCCATTTTGTGTGACAATCACCCATAAATGGACTTGCTATAGTTTAAGAGAAAAATATAGAAATATGAGGTAGAAATGTGGTATGTAAAATACTGCAACAAAATAAGATAAACCCCTATCACTGCAAAACTTTCTTAGAAGCACTCAAATACAAGTTGTTATTTGATTAAAATACAGGACTAGCTACATAAGTCTTCCTGCCAATGCACTATAGTTTAGAGAGACAAGAGGATCTCAGAGGACTACAATAGGCAATTTTGGCAAGTGCACAGTGAAGTGGAGTAAGTGTCCTTAATTTACATGGACGAACTGTATATATAAAAATATGTATTTATATATATGTGTAATGTCTATGCTTGACAGTGTAACTAGATTTTGGGTTTTCCTCTTAAATCCTTGAGTATAGTATGGTATATGGTACATATAAATAGAAATCCTATTTAGAGACATTTGTCTCCCAAACTCATTCTCATTCTAATATTTTTAAGCAAGAAAAATTGGATCAACCAAAATTCTAGTTTATCATCAGCTTCTCATGTGTGCATTCCATGACTGATTTAACTAATGTGTGAATTCAGGGGAATAAATAGTAAGAGTTGCTGCAAATTATGTTAAGAAGTGATATTTCATTTGTGCAAAGAAGGGGATCATTTATAAAAAGAATTTTTCATTGCTTCTCCTTCAGAGCAAAAGAAAGCAAACTTTATTTAATTTCCTCAGATACTGGTGACCAGGACACAGCAAGGATGAAAAAGAGTTATGGGGAAAGGACTTATTTTTAAAGGGCAGTTTTGCTATTTACCATCTTGTGCCCAAATAAAATAGTATGGGGCAGCTCCAGATAGCTAGTGGTTGAACCCATTTACAGAGATAAGGCTAACGAGTCCTCCTTTTTCACTGGTGTTCTGTTGTCCATAAGAAAACTCTTGTGTTCAAAAATCAAAAGGAAAGCAACTTCTGATGAAAGCCTTCTTCCTGACTATCAAAACAATGAGCCAAAAAATTAAAATGCAATCTTCTAACAGCTTTTTTGAGTAACTCAAGCCATATTGACTGGGTTCCTTTGATTCATTCAGATGCAATGCCTGGATACAAATATTCCCTGCAGAGAAGCAATAAATAGTAGTTAAGGGCATAGGTTTTGTACTTTCAAAGACCCAGATTAAAATTCCAAGTCTGTCCCTGATTAGATGTCAAGTTATTTAACTTCACTAAATTCTAGAGTCCTTGGCTTGTTGATAAATGTACCTAGAGAAAATATCTGTGGCAGAATGAATTTGGGATACCACTTAAAACAGTGCCCAGCACGTCGTAAAGGCTCAATAAATGTCAGCTGTTACAATTAGCCCTTGCTTTCCACTCTCAGCTATGTTAGATAAAGCCCTTCCTTTTTACCTCATGAACAGGCAGTTGAAATAACCTCCTAGCTAGTATCCCTACTTTCTTTGTTTTTCTCCTGTCTCACCTTTTTTCCTTACATTTACAATCATGAGAGCATAATTTCAGAAAGAACAAAGAGAAAGTGAGAGGCAGAAACAGAGATAGAGAAGGAGCCAGCAGGAGAGAAAAAATAATGAAAGCATTATTAAGCACTCACTCTGTGACAGGAGCTTTTAAAACTCTCTATAGGTATTTACAAATTTTATCCTCACAATAGCGCAATGAGATATATACCAATTTTATCCTTCAGTTAAGAAAATGAAGACATAAGTGAAAGAAGTTACTTAACCAAGGTTATACAGTGGTATTATACAGTGGTACAGAGATGACATTCAAACTATGGAATAACAGCAGAGGCACAAACAATCACAACGGAGAGAGAACCATCCTGGTGTATATCAGCCAACTCGCAGCCCAGTGCAAAAAAACGGCAGAGTTGGATTCAAACCTGAGCACTCTGGATCTAGAGCCCTTGCTCTTAACCATTCTACTAGAAATAAGATCAGTGACAGAATATCATCCCATAGCTAACAGGACAGGTTAGTTTGTTTCTTGGGTGTAAAAGTCTCTCTAATCAAGTAGATATTTTGAATCATTACATTGTGAGGACACAGGATAGTAAATTAATTCTCAATCATTGGTGTAGAAAACTGTTCATCGCAATCACCAAAAACAGCAGCTCTTCTAAACACCTCTACAATTTTCAACCCACATATAAATCTGGTTTAAGAGCTTTTTAAATAATTTTTACAGAAATTCAGTAGGAAATGTCTCTAGTTGAAGATGAAAAATGCACCTTGTAATTTAATATTATTAACATCAACACATGAGACAACATATGCTGACAAGAAGATAGCTTTCTGGAACATAAAATTTCTGATTTTTGTTTTTATACTCTCTTCAAATAGTCAGTAGAAGTTGATATACCCAGACAATTTGATATTACAGACAATTTGTACAAATGTCTGTAATTTTGTGACACTCATAGAAAGAAACATTTTCAGAAGTTATGAAAGGGTCAAACATATTTAGAATTATGAAACTTTTATTATTTTGGGCATATGCTAGGGTTTTTTTTTTTTTAGTAATTAAGGCATTTAAAACAGGATATCTAATGTACATGCACACACACAGGCATTAATTGCATATACGGTGAAGTGTAACCAATGTTAAATAGAAATAACACATACCTTAAAATAAGGATAGATTTTCTTAAACTTTCAAGACTGGGTGAGAAGTTTAGAAAGTAAAATTAAGAACAAAAAGTTTTGGTGGAAAACCATGATGATTATGTTGAAAGCAATTCACAAGTCCCCAGATTGTACGGTAATTGCAATCTACCACACAATCCTTGAGGTCACCAGATCTCCATTGTGAGCTAACATTTATTTATCCTCTGATCAGACAACTGTAAAAACACCAAGCAAATAGGGAGTGGGATGGTGAGCCTGAAGAATCAGGAAAACATTGGGATGTCGAAACAGTCTGATATTCAGCTGTGCTATCATTAACAAATTGCTTACTCTTTGCTTTCCCTATGTTAATCCTCTAGCCAGAACTTCTGCCCAAATTCCAGGTTACAGTAGAATCAGATTGCTCATGTAGCTAAGATTGCCAGAACTAGTTGGTAAAATAATCCAGAGGTTTTTCTTAGGAGAAACTGATGTTGCCCTCAAATATTCAGCAGTATAATTAGCTTTAATTCTCAGTTAATTGTTTTGTATATGATTCAGATCTCAGATAAAATCTTAAGACAATCATCATCAATATAATTTGATAATGCATGCATAACCCTTAGAAGTATATAGTATGCTTTCACGTATACCATTCTATCTAAATACTAACCGTTGTGAAGTAGAGTTTTTTCTGGTGTATGGGTAAAGAGAAGGATGCGTATATAGCCTAAAAAATTTGCCAGAGATAATACCAGATCTAAAATTTCCAAAGTTTTCTAGCATAAATTTTAAGCGGTTTTACCAGTTTAGGTTGTCTTCTGTCAGAGTGCTCCCTCACATCTATTTCCATTGGGTTCCTCTCTTCCTACTAGCAATTCAATGTCTTTATGCTCTTCCTCAGCTACCAAGGATCTCTTTGGCCTATATGTTTGCAACCCTTGGGGTTCTGCCCTCTGGACTCTCTCTCCTCTACTCTTGCTGCATATAGTGTGGTTGTCTTGTGTCCCATCTCATGAGGTCACTCCTCTCTACTATATAAAAGAAGGTTGATATAAGAAAATATTTGTGTGTTTTAAGGGGATGTGGCTTTATTATCCATTCTAGAGTTCACATTAGTATTTAAAGAATTTTCTGTGAAATAAAAGACTTAAATTAATTTAACATTAAAGACTTTAAATTACGGTCAACTTTTTGGTTATAATATTGCCTTCTACTCATAGCTGTACTTTCAAATTATTAGGAATTCTGGGTTTTTTTCCATTTTTTTAGCAATGAAAATAGGTCATAGTAATCCTAAGATTTAAAGAGTATAAATCTTACATAATTAGTTTTTATAATGCTCAGTCTGTTCTTACATAACATGAGCCGTATTTATTCTAATGTACTTCTTATAAGCTTCTATTTGAATCTTTATCTACATCACAGTCATTTTCCCCCAAAGATTCTTACTACAGCCGGCACCAGCACAGAAACTGTGTGATAATCCAGATTGTTTTCTCAGAGATCTCCTAAGTACTATAAATTAATGTGCATCACGAGGTAAAAGAAGAAGACATAAGTTTAAAAGAAATTGAAAGGTATGCATACAAGAAGAAAGACTGAAAATCAAGAAATAATTTTTTACGATAAATAACAATTTTCTCATGGAAGAAAAAAATGGTTCTAAAGATTATTCTAAGTAAAAAGGTAGTTTAAAAAGGATCTGGCTGGCTAACACGGTGAAATCCCATCTCTACTAAAAATACAAAAAATTACCCGGGCGTGGTGGCGGGTGCCTGTAGTCCCAGCTACTCAGGAGACTGAGGCAGGAGAATGGTGTGAACCTGGGAGGCAGAGCTTGCAGTGAGCCAAGATCGTACCACTGCATTCCAGCCTGGGCGACAGAGCGAGACTCTGTCTCAGAAAAAAAAAAAAAAGATCTGAGACATATCTGGATCAAGTTTACACCTTTCTCAAATTTTGAAATTTGTGAAATCTTAGTTTTTAATTTGGAGAATACCTTAGCATACAAACTGTTCAACTCCCATTCTGTGTAACAGTCTGCAATATCTGCCACTTAGGATCATTCAGGGTCTACATAAAACCATGGTTCATTCTATTGAATTTGCCTCCCTAAGATACCTGCCCATTTTTCTTCATTCTGACATTTGAAGCTAAAAGAATAAATCTTATCCCTCATCCACATATTACCATATCAAGTGATTCAGTTATTATTTTTCTTTTACCAAGCAAGAGAGCTATTTTCTCTCCACCATTACATTTATTGGGGTTACCTCCCACTGTACATTTGGATACATGAGCTTTGGAATATTAAAAAAAAATCTTTCTTGGAGAGGATTTCATATTAAATCCTTTAAATTTTAAAGAAATCAACAAAGAGTAATTTTTAAGCTGTAGTTTAATGTTTAAAACAGTATAGAAATACTTCATTTTATGGATTGAGATTCAACAACCAAATCTATTCAGTGCTACAACTTTACAATTTACTATACTCTATAGCATTAAAAGATAAAAAGAAAGAGTGGGAAAATTCTAAGTAAACATTGGTTCACACATTTTAATACAGAAATACCTGGTGTAATATTAAGTGCAATGGGAAACTAGTCTTCAATACTGGCATTGAAGAAATGATAACTCAAAAAAAAGGGGAGGGGGAAACTTTTACTTTCCAATGCTAAAAATGAAGCAAGTTGATTTCCAACTTGACATCACCAAAGGAAACTTTACAACTACATGAGAATTGCAAACTCGAAGACTTTCTATGGCAATAGGTAAATAGGCAAGTCTTTTCTGGGCAGATTTTTGTTATTATAGAGGTAAATATTTTAGGGTCTCTCTTAGTTACGAAAATGCAAATATAGTCAAAGTAGGCAGCCAATGCCCTGAGGAGAGTACAGTATATAGCAGAACATTTTTCTCCTATACTTTTAACAAATGTCCATCTTGGAAAATCTCTTAGTGTCCAAAGATGGGGTTGAATAGGGTGACAAAATCCATTTTCCAAAAGGTCCTAGATATCTTCTTTTTAATAATCACCTTGACTACTTTTGAGGAGGATATTGGGGAATATGCCTTCCTTGCTTGCTGAACAACCTCACCATCTGCTTGCAGGCTATAATCTCAGCCTCAGTCTCTTTCAGCTCAAACTGGCCTGCCAATGCTTTTGTCAACACATTACTGACAATTTAAAAATGCACAAGGGGGTTTAAACACTTCAACATGAATCTACACAGCACAATGGTTCTACTATTATTCCACAAGATGATGAGACTTCCTAAAAACTACTACTCATTGGTTCTTATTTAGTGCTCTAGAGTTCTTTATGGAAGAGGTCTTTATAGTCACCAAGTAAATACTTGCAACAATAAAATATTATGTAAAAACATTTGGTAGTTGTTCTGTTCTTAAAAGGTTAATGTGTCTATTTACAAATTAAGAAAATGATAGCATAAGAAAATAAACAATAAATTGGTGAAATTCCATATTATTGTCTTAGATTTATCTTTGTTATTATTTTTAATTTATGGGTACATAATAGTTGTACATATTTATGGGGTACACGTGAAATTTTGATACAAGGATATAGTTTATAATGGTCAAATCAAGATAATTGGGACATCCATCACTTCAAACATTTATTATAGCTTTGTGTCAGAAAAATTTCAAATATACTCCTCTAGTTATTTTGAAATATGCAATAAATTATTGCTAACTATAGTCATCCTATTGTGCTACCAAATATTAGATCTTATTTCTGCTATCTAACTGTATTTTTGTAGCCATTAACCAACCCCTCTTTACCCTCCCCTCTTCACTACTCTTGTGAGACTCTGCTAATTATCATTCTACTCTCTTCAACTCCATGATACCAATTTTTAGCTTCCATGTAAGATAAAGTCCATTTATAAGAAACTCACAACTAATATGATACTTAACAGGAAAAATAATGAAAGCCTTTCCTCTAAGATCTGGAACAAGACAAGAATGCCCACTTTCACCATTTTATTTAACATAATACTAGAAGTTCTACCCATGGCAATTAGACAAGAACAAAAAATAAAAAGCATGCCAATTAGAAAGGAAGGAGTCAAATTGTCCTTGTTTGCAGACAATATGATCTTATATTTGGGAAAATCAAAGACTCCACCACAAAAACCGATACAACTGATAAATGATTTCAGTAATGTTACAAGATACAAAATCAACTGACAAAAATCAGTACCATTTTTATATTACAACAGCAAACTTTTTCTGAAAAAGTAACCAAGAAAGCAATCTCATTTACAATAGCCACAAAAAAATGTAAAATACTTAAAAATGAACTTAATCAAAGAAGTGAAAGATCTCCACAATGAAAACTATAAAACATTGACACAATAAATTAAAAAGGACAGAGGAAATGGAAAGATAATTCATATTCATGAATTGGAAGAATCAATATTGTTAAAATGTCCATACTACCTAATACAATCTATAGATTCAATGCAATTTTTTCAAAATACCAGTGACATTCTTCACAGAAACAGAAAAAAAAAGTCCTAAAATTTATGTGGAAGAACAAAAGACCCAGAATACCCAAAGCCATTCAGAGTAAAAAGCAAAACTGGAAGCATTGTATTACCAGACTTCAAATTGTACTACAAAGCTATAATAAACAAAACAGCATGGTTCTGGCATTAAAAAGAGAAACACAGACCTATTAAACAGGATAGAGAACACAAAAATAAATTCATGCATTTACAGCAGCTCATTTTCAACAAAGGCACCAAGAGCATACACTGGGGAAAAGACAGACTCTTCAATAAATGGTGCTAGGAAAACTGGATATTCATATGCAGAAGAATGAAACTGGACCCTCATCTTTTGCCATATACCAAAATAAAATTAAAATGAAATAAGAGCTAAATATAAGACCTGAAACTATAAAATGACTGAAAGAAAACATTGCAGAAATGCTTCAAGACACTGGTCTGGGCAAAGATTTATTGAGTAAGATGTCAAAGCCATAGGCAACTAAAGCAAAAATGAACAAATGATATCTGTATTGGTCCGTTTTCATGCTGCTGATAAAGACATACCTGAGACTGGGAAATTTACAAAACGAAGAGGTTTATTAGACTTACAGTTCCACGTGGCTAGGGAGGCCTCACGATCATGGCAGAAGGTGAAAGGCAAGGAGGAGCAAGTCACGTCTTTCATGGATGGCAGCAGGCAAAGAGAGAGCTTGTGCAGGGAACTCCCATTTTTAAAACCATCAGATCTTGTAAGACTTATTCACTATCATGAGAACATCACCAGAAAGACCCACCCCCATGATTCAATTACCTCCCACCGGCTTCCTCCCATAACATGTGGGAATTGTAGGAGTTACAATTCAAGATGAGATTTGGGTGGAGACACAGCCAAACCATATCATTCTGCCCCTGGACCCTCCCAAATCTCATGTTCTCACATTGCAAAACCAATCATCCCTTCCCAACAGTCCCCCACAGTATTAACTCATTTAAGCATTAACTCAAAAGTCCACAGTCCAAAGTCTCATCTGAGACAAGGCAAGCCCCTTCCACCTATGAGCCCTTAAAATCAAAAGCAAGTTAGTTACTTCCCAGATACAATGGGGGTACAGGCATTGGGTAAATAGAACTGTTCCAAATGGGAGAAATTGGCCAAAACAAAGGAGTTACAGTGTCCATGCAAGTCTGAAATCCAGCAGGGCAGTCAAATCTTACAGCTCCCAAATGATCTCCTTTGACTCCATGTCTCACATCCGGGTCACACTGATGCAAGAAGTGGGTCCCCATGGTCTTGGGCAGCTCTGCCCCTGTGGCTCTACAGGGTAGAGCCTCCCTCCCAGCTGATTTAATGGACTGGCATTGAGTGTTTTCACCTATTCCAGGTGCACAGTGCAATCTGTCAGTGGATCTACCATTCTGGGGTCTGGAAGATGGTGCCCTTCTTCTCACAGCTCCACTAGGCAGTGCCCCAGTAGGGACTCTGTGTGGAAGCTCTGACTCCACATTTCCGTTCTGCACTACCCTAGCAGAGGTTCTCCATGAGCACCCACCCCTGCAGCAAACTTCAGCCTGGGCATCCAGGCACTTCCATACATCTTCTGAAGTCTAGATGAAGGTTAACAAACCCCAATTCTTGACTTCTGTGCACTTGCAGGCACAACACAACATGGAAGCTGCCAAGGCTTGGGGCTTGCACTCTCTGAAGCCACAGCCCAACCTCTACATTGGCCCCTTTCAGCCCCAGCTGGAGTGTCTGAGATACAGGGCACCAAGTCCCTAGGCTGCACACAGCCCAGGGACCCTGGGCCAGACCCATGAAACCATGATTTCCTCCTGTGCCTCTGGGCCTGTGATGGGAGGGACTGCTGTGAAGATCTCTGACATGCCCTGGAGAAATTTTCCCCATTGTCTTGGGAATTAACATTCAGCTCTTTGTTACTTATGCAAATTTCTGCAGCCAGCTTGAATTTCTCCTCAGAAAATGGGGTTTTATTTTCTGTCACATTGTCAGGCTGCAAAGTTTCTGAACTTTTATGCTCTGTTCCCTTATAAAACTCAATGCCTTTAACAGTACCCAGGTCACCTCTTGAATGCTTTGCTGCATAGACATTTCTTCTGCCAGATACTCTAAATCATCTCCCTCAAGTTCAAAGGTCCACAAATCTCTAAGGCAGGGGCAAAACACCACCAGTCTCTTTGCTAAATCGTAACAAGAGTCAGCTTTGCTCCAGTTCCCAACAAGTTCCTCCTCTCCATCTGAGACCACCTGAGCCTCAACCTTATTGTTGACATCACTATCAGCATTTTGGTCAAAGCCATTCAACAAGTCTCTAGGAAGTTACACACTTTCCCACATTTTCCTGTCTTCCTCAGAGCCCTCCAAACTGTTCCAACGTCTGTGTGTTACCCAGTTTCAAAGAAACTTCCACATTTTCGGGTATCTTTTCAGCAACCTCCCACTGTATTGTTACCAATTTACTGTATTAGTCCGTATTCACGCTGCTGATAAAGACATACCCGAGACTGGGCAATTTACTAAAGAAAGAGGCTCATTGGAATTACAGTTGCTCATGGCTGGAGAGGCCTCACAATCATGGCAGAAGGTGAAAGGCAAGAAGGAGCAAGTCACGTCTTAGATGGATGGTAGCATCAAAGAGACAGCTTGTGCAGGGAACTCCCATTTTTAAAACCATCAGATCTCATGAGACTCATTCACTATCACAAGAAAAGCACAGGAAAGACCCTCCCCCATGATTCAATCACCTCCCACTGGGTTTTTCCCATGACACATGGGAATTGTGGGAGTTACAATTCAAGATGAGATTTGGGTGGGTACACAGCCAAACCACATTAGTATCACATCAGGCTAAATAGCTCTGCACAGCAAAGGAAACAATCAGTGAAGGGGAAGAGACAACCTATAGAATGGGAGAAAATATTTGCAAATGATTCAACTGAAAAGGGATTAATAACATGAAATACATGAAAACAGCACTTAAGCATCCTGTTTCTCAAAATCCCAATTAAACTTTTTAGTATTTTAAAACTCTAGATGTTTCTTAATGATCTATTCAGTTTATCTTATTCATATAAATTAAAATTTCGCTTCTGAAAACACAAACCTGCATTATCTATATCTCTGGCTATATCTTGGGTAATGCTTTTCTCCTGCATGGAATTCCTATAAATATCCACTTATCCTTCAAGAAAGTTGACCTACTGTCATGGTTTGCCCAAGACTCTCCTGATTTTCATACAGGAAGTGCTGCATCCCTAGAAAACCCTCAATCCCAAGCAAACTACAACAGTCCATTCTACCTTCAGGACCAAGCCCAATGACCTTCACTCCTCCACTTTATCAACCAACTCACTTGATTGAATACTAGAACTTTTCACTCTTCAAAACTGCTTACCTAATAAATGCTTAAAATAGTTTATCTCTATCTTCATTTTTTTAAAAATGTACCATAACTTTCATACTTCCTTACAGTAAAAAAAGAAAAAGAAAAAAAATGATACCAATGGATTTCTACTTTGTACCAGATATTTTCTGTACTCTACACAAATCTACACTCTGCTCCTCTGCCACCTATTCTGTGCCCCCTTGCAACTCTGATGTTTGGTGTTTGGGTGAGTTCAGCCAATGAGTCATGGACATGATATCAGTGGGTAAGAGAGAGTGAGTTTAAGAAATTTATTCTCCTGTCAGTAGACTTCTCTTAAAGTGCAAAATGCTCTTGTTCATTCCTCTCTCTCGCTCTCTCTTTCTCCTCTCTTTTGCTCTCTCACTTGCTCTCTTCTACTCCCAACCCCAACTTCCTTCCCTTCCCTTAATTTTTAGGTTTATGCGAGGTAACAACCTCCCACTGTTGATAATCCTGGGAAGCTTTACCATGCTTTGTGAATTCTCAATAATGCTTTACTGATTGCCCAAATATTAGTATATAAATTCTTAACCTTTACCTCTTTTAAGAATACTATCTATTTTCTACTGGAAACTGACTGGTGCATCCATTTTTTCCAAGTCTATAAATCTTATTAGCTGTTTTTTTTTTCCAAATCCAATTCCATTTAATAATTCATTATTTTAATCTCTATGTCACCAACATCCTTAATCATCTCACCTGTTTGCCATTCTGGTTATGGCCATTCAGCAATTCCTCTAAACATGCATCAAAGTAATCACATGCTTGCTCTTTTTTGTTACCCCAGTGGTTGAATACAGCTGGTAAAAATCACACACTCAAGCAGACTGGTGACTTTTCATATTAAGATGTGGGTATGGCCAAAGTCATTGGCCTGGAGGCCAGAAGAGATCAGAAGAATGGTCAGGATAGCCTTCCCCCTGCCTCCCCACATGCTCAGAATGAAACCCAAACAATGTCATGCACAGAAAACCATCCTGAAGCTCATTTACTAAAAATGTAAGCAATATTATAGATGGCCTAACAGAGAAGACAACTGAATATTAAGCCACTAAAGACTGAGCTTTGAATGCTTAAATATCACCTACTTGTGGTTTAGAACATCCTAGAGCATGAGGCATAGCTGATCATTTATGTGAGAATTGGTAGTGAAAAATAAAAAGTGGTAAAAAGAGTGAGGAAGAAGAGGCAGATGGAGCCTAGATGAATTAGTCAGAATGTGACATCACTTGTAACCCCAGCTCATATTCATATTCTAAAATAACTGATAAATCAGAAAAGATTGAAGAAAAAAGAGAGTTAAAGAGTACTGAGTGACATTAAATTTAACTTGTTCCAAAAAAAGGCATGAAAACCTGATAAAATCTGTATCTTCAAGGAATTAGAATAGATCTTTAAGGAACTTCTCTGAGAAACTAAAGAGAACTATTCCTTCTCATCCCAACATGCTGTTGATCCTCAGCATGTCTTTGAACAAAGATATTCCCTATATTTATAGTTTTTAGAGAAATTTCATTAGTGATCACTGCATTTTTATTTAAAATGAAGGTAGATTTGGCCATCATGTGAGTAACATGAGGTAAAATTGTTTTGTTTTTCTTAGGTAACACAGGCAAGAAATACAATTGAGTCATTTCATTTCTGAAGAGGAAAACAATGGCTTTGGGAACTAAGAATCCTGGGAGCTACATTTCCTAGAAACCTTTTTAGTGTGATGCCTATTTAGATCTCACCAATAAGAGGCACTTGTTGGAAAGCCAGAGGTCATTATCTTTCTATTTGTTCAGACTTGAGGGCTTTAGCAGATGGGCAGTTTTGCTAAAGCCTTCAGGTGTTCTCCCATGAATCATCTGCTAGGCATTGAACACAGATGTGCTTATTGTAAATTGTTTTCTAAATTTCCTGAGCCAGATGAGTGGAATAACTTCCTGATTCACAGAAAACTAACAGAGAAATTGAGAATTAGTGGTGGCCTTCCCCTGCCTTCCCTGATCTTCACCTCTAGGTTTTCCAATTTCTTCAAAATTTCTTCCTTGTATTAAGACCCTGTCTTCTCAAAATACCTAGAGTATTCTATTTTCTGACCAAACCCTGAGAGACATTAGGTTTCTTTTCCATGATCAGACATCTAACCAAACTTTCTTATTCTATAGAGTAGATTTTTAATCATCAGGCAAAATGCTACAATAATATACTCTGTCTCATATCATGGCAGGAGTACAAAGTGACTGAGTAAAAAAGTGAGACAAAAGGAGGCAGGGCAATTAACTGTCACCCTCTCCCTGTAAATAGATGATCAAAGACTAACAATGAGCAAAGCAATGATAAAAATCAGTTGATTCTCAGGCAACATTGTAAAACAAAGAGTTATAGCAAAAAGAGTAAGGAAAACAATAACTGACCAAAAGGATTTTGTTCTCTGAGAGTCTTGCTCTGAAGTTCAAGTATAGGTCATTTGATCCCATGAAAATTGAAATCACTTTCCTCCATAGAATTTCGTGGTTGTTCACCTCACTGGTCTATTCCCTGTTCTTTAGAAAGAATAGGTGGTTAGATGTGAGGCTGAATATGTTAGGTAGTGGGAAGAGCTACTTCACTGGCTATTTAGTGAAATTCTCTTTTGTGATTATATAGTTAAATCTTCAGGTTTAGGAGAAATGGTAAAGCACATATGGTAATTGCATTGTGTTTTTTCATTTTTTTTACTTCAGTGACAATAGAGAAATTATATTGACATAATCTGAGTTCAGTGATAATTACATTTTTCCCTTAAAATGCATCTGGCATGATGAATGTGTTGTATTCCTAATATCTGTTATTTCGTACAACTAAGAAAATTGAAGGCATTGAATAAATTAGGTCTTCACTCCTCCGATCAAGCTTAAAAGTAATTGAAGCTATAAGTTTCCATTTCCATTTCTGATAATAAGCCTTGGAGGAAAAGAGCTATTTACAAGAACTTTTGTATCTAATAGACAGGTGCTGGAGACTGAGAATGGTAAAGGAATGGGGAAATGCTATGATATTAGCTGAAAGAACCCCCATCAGAGAATAGGTTGTTATGAGGTACATTTGGATAATATCTTGACACCCACCTTCAGTCCTCCTGATTTTCCCCATAAGAATGAGAACAAAGAACAGCACACAGAGATTCTATGTAACCAAGTCACATCACATTCGTTACCAGACACATGCATCCTGAAAAAGAACACTTCCTTCTATGATTTGAATGTTTGTCCCTTCCAAAACTCATGTTGAAATTTAATTGCCATTGTAATAGTATTAAAAGGTAGAATCTTTCAGAGGCAATCAGGCCATGAGGGCTTGACTCTCATAGGTAGAATTAGTGTCATTATAAAGGAGTGAATTTGCCCCTGTCTTGTTATCTCTTTTCCTCTCACTTTCTGCCATGTGATAAAGCAACAACAAGACCCCCACCAGACGTCAACACATTGATATTGGACTTCTCAGCCTGCAGAACTGTGAGCCAATAAATTTCTGTTCATTATAAATTATTTTATAGCAGCACACAAATGGGCTAATACATTCCTATAGCAAGAGTTACCTTCCTTTAAGCCAAGAGTGCAAGAGTAAGGGATGGATTAATAGCACTCTTATTTTTCCACTTTTAAAAAAACAAATAACCCTCTTTACCTTTCTGGTGTGTGATTTTAAGATTGCTTAATTCAGTGGCAATAACCAGGTAGATTAGAGAGTATCAAAGTAAGCTGTTGAAATAAGCCAGCTCAGGGGTCATTCTGCAACAGCTTACATGTACATTTCCCTCCTTTGGAGCTCTCTGTCTTAGAGGTAAATTATTTTTTAACCAGATTTTTCAAATCCAGAAAATTTCTCAACAATTCTCATTTTATAAGTAAGTGTCTGGAAAAAAAGGAAATAACCTACAACTCTTTCTGGCAAGGTAGTGAGAAATTTGGTTATGGGTCCAGCAGTAGATATCATGGATGGTTCTTTTTTGGCCCCATCAAAGGCTTCTTCAGGCTGACCTGTTTGTTGTAATATATTCAGAGAGGAGTTGTGTCTTGACATTTTCCTGGCAGAGATGATTTCATATGCTCCCTGTTGCAGGTTGGTTTTCCAGAAGCAAACAATGAGAAAGTGCTTGGCATGCAGACTAACCATTAGAGAATTTGACAAGGGAAGGAATCAGTATTGGACAGAGTGAGGAGTTGACCAGTGATGCAGTCCCAGCACAGCACCACTTAACCCCATGCAGAGCTCTGGTGCATATGGCCCATTCCTCAGTGGAACAAACTGGTTGGGCCTTTATCCACCACCATGCTTAGTCATTTGAGGTAGACTGTACCGGGAAGGCCGTCGCTACAGTGAGGTAGTCCTCCTAGGCTTAGGGAAACACTGCAGAAGCTAAGAGTTTGAGGCTATCTGCTGACAGCTGGAACAAGTATTATCTTGAAGGGAGATATGGGAGAGCATTTCCGTGTTCACCATAGTCCCTTCCATGTATTGGTTACAGTTGTTTTTAGCAGGAATTAGATTTCAGTGGGAGAGGCTTCTTGTTATTTTTTACTTTCAAGTCTAGAATCATTTATCTGGTTAGGTCTTAAATGATAAATAAGGACATCTAATCTCCGAGTCTGTTGGATATGGGCTGTTTAAATTTTTAGTGTTAGTCTCCTTCTAATTTGGATACATAAATTAATTGAAATATTTTTAAAGTCCAAACAAGTGGGGCTTTTAAACATACCTATGACATTTTAAAACAAGTTTAATTCTACCGTATAATTTCTATCAACCAACTCTTAGCTTAGAATGGTTTCATTAAATCTACTCTTGGCTTTGAAACCTAGATTTGATTTATCAAGACTGTCAAGGCCAAGATAAATCTCTCTTTCTAAAGATGGTTCTGTCTTGAATGATGCACGGAGCATGATTTACTGGGTAATGTCATCAGCCACAGACATTGTTGATGCTAACTCTGCAGAATTCTGTGTACTGAGAGGCAGATTTAGCTTATCCACTTCAAAATACTGGCAGAACACAAAGAGCCTGTGCTCACTTGGCTCTCAGTAATCATGCAACCAACAGTGGACTGTAAGGTGGCCCACTAAAAAAAGCCAGCAGGCTTGAATAGCATCCTTTTAATGGCCTTTTTATTAGAATTGATATTGTTCAAGTGGTTTTCAATATAAAATGGGTTTGTATGTGAGCTTATCAAAATGGCTAAATCTCCGTTATTCAGTTTTTATACTGGTAAAAAAAATTAGACATTTTTGGTCATTGTCTCCTCTTTTATTATTCAGAACAGTCTACTTCAAAACTTTTCCATTTGAATAGGAGTTGTTTTCACTTTTCCCAAACATCTGTCAGTGCACAGCAATGCTCTACCAGTTGTTATTTTGTGGGGGTTTAGGGCAATTCTATTCTAATTACTCCTACCTGGTTGGGTCTTGAAATACAAAAATACAAATATGAAAATAGACATTTTCTTTTTTTTTGTTTTATTTTTTTGTTTTTTTTTTTTTGAAACAGAGTCTTGCTCTGTCACCCAGGCTGGAGTGCAGTGGCATGATCTTGACTCACTGCAAGCTCCGCCTCACGGGTATACACGCCATTCTCCTGCCTCAGCCTCCCGAGTAGCTGGGACTACAGGCGCCCACCACCACGCCCGGCTAATTTTTTTTTTTTTTTGTATTTTTAGTAGAGACGGGGTTTCACCGTGTTAGCCAGTATGGTCTTGATCTCCTGACCTCGTGATCCGCCCGCCTCGGCCACCCAAAGTACTGGGATTACAGGCATGAGCCATCGCGCCTGGCCGAAAATAGACATTTTCATAACCCAGGCTCTAATGTCTAACGTATCAGTTAGAATTCTTGGAATTTACCCAATATCTATAGTATTCCCAAAAAGATGGAACACTTCTTTTTAGAAAAGAAGGCTCTATATAATTCATTCCTCTTGCAAGTGGATGAAAGTAGATGTTTAAAATATCTGGCACAATTCAATCTTTGCATGTTAGGTGTAGAATGCTTGAGGACATTAAGAGGGCTGGTAGATGATACCATTATTGTCAAATCTAAGATGTCATTGATTGTAACATGAAAAATTAATTTCAGATATGTTAATATATGAGCAACTAATGAAATATAGTAATATGATACACTGACTGCCCCTGAGCATCATTTTTCCCTTAATAGGATTAATTAATGAAAATTCTTATAAGGATTACTCTATGCATAATCTTTGATTTATTGCTCAAATAGTAAGCTCTGACAAGGGTTGAGCACACTAAGAATGTACCTGCAATAACACATGTATAAGCAGACATGTCATTGTCAGTCATGAAAACAATAAATATTTTAATAGAATTCAGTCAGCTGACCTAGAGTAATATGGCTTATTAGAACATTGTTATTTAAATTAACATTATAGAGCAACTCTAAGCATAAATTGGGATCAAATATGGAGACACTATATTCTGGTGACAATGATAAAGTACAGCTAGGCAAAATATGGGGCTGAACATTTGAGCATTCAAAGGTTATGATAAAGGAGTACTGATTTTTAGTACTAAGGAGAGCCCCAAAGAAGTTATTGCTTTTATAAAAAGTTCAACTCAACTTCTCAAAAACAGAGAGAGACAGGAAGAGAGAGCACTGGAAAAAGAGATGAAATGAATCTTCATGTTGGGCATTTAATGCATAATTGATGGAAAAAATGTTTTAAATGGACTATAATACTTTCAGTAAATGACTAGCCAACTAGGGAATAGAAATGTCTCATCTTCTTCCACTTACAGGTGTATATCTCTAGAAAGAAATCTCCGTTGTCTATTTGGGAGTTCTCTACAAAAGTCACAATGTCCCTAGACGTGGCAGAAAGTGCCTGTAGTCCCACCTATTTGGGAGGCTGAGGTGGAAGGAGTTTGAAGCCATTCTGGACAACATAGTGAGGAAAAAGTCAAGGTGTCTCAGAGACTTAATTGGACTGGACTCTGGAAAAGGAATAGTTCTGTCCTCCTAGAATGAGACTGTCTCTTCAGTATCAGACAAGGTCATGAGTCCTTGTGATAGTAATCCTGACAGTCATTTTCTTGAAGTATACATGCAATAAGACATTCCAGTATTTATGGTTTATTATTGAGTCAGTCTATAGTTTAGAACCATGAACAAAGGTAAAGAAAAATAAATATTGTCATCATATACACCTTGAGGGTCATAGAATCATCTCTGCCTCCAGTTATTGTGGGCCAGCTAAGCAAAGGCAGCTAGGCATAGATGATTTGATCTTACAACTATTTAAGGAAAGTGCAGAATTTTGCAATAACAAAATAGCTTATTTATCACAATCAGTTATATGTACCTATCATCATCTAATGAAAACGAAATAATTAGGGTAAATTGCACAAAGTATGTTCTTTCAGTTTAAGTGAGATTAGAAATGCAAAAGTTAAAGAGATCAACATAAAAATTGAGAAAGATGGAAGAAGTTACAATATAAGATACATAGGTAGCTAAATCCTATGTCAGAAACAATTGAAATCTTTTTTCTTTTGATAATGATGTGTGCCTCAGAATCATTCTGGAAAGCGCTGAAGAAAAGCTATGAGAGAGCATCATCTTGGAATCTACCCGCATATTAAATGAAATGAGAAAAAAATGACGTTGGAGAATCACCTTTTGTGACCTCTACAGGACTGGTTCCAGTGTCTAAAGTTGTCATTTTGATTTGTGTTTTAGTACTAACTTCTGGAAGTGTCATGCCATGGAATGTATCCAAGCAACCCAAAGAAAATGCGGTCTTTAAAAACAGGAAGTAAAAGAAAAAAATGTAATTGGCACACTTTAAAAAATTTGTCACATCTCACAGAACCCCCCTTCTATTTGATTTGTTTTTCAATACTGACATATAAATAGAAAAAGTGAATTATATTTTTCTATTATACTATTTTTCCATCAATATCTTCTGTTGCAGTATTTACTGCTCTCATATTGTTATTTCATCCCTTAGTATATGAAGGAACAAATAAAATGTGGCAACACAGTATTTCAAAGCCAGCACTTAATAAACTATAAATGGAACACATCTCTTGTGGCAAAGAGGAAAGAACTGCCATAAAGCTATTCACATTTACTTTGCTACTTTTCTATCCTAAGTATGTCTGAAAATCTTTGTAAAAGAAGTTAAAATGGTTACTTATGGGATTTTTGTAATAAACCATCTTCATTATTTAATATTTGCTCTTGGTGCTAAATTGATGCCAGGCTTGACAAGTTAATATATTTTCCAAAGTTGCTGAAAGATTATTAGATCCACTAGGCTGTAAATCTTCCTATGGCAGGGACACTATCTAATCTAAACATAAACCTTTGCATTCACTGTATATTGATAAATCCTAACAGAAGGAAATTTTGGGCAATCATAATGACGGTGGCAATAGTGTTATTATTCAAACACAGTACAGCATCTTTATATTTAGCTATTTTCTAAACATGGCTATTATATTTCAGAGATGCTGTACCGATTGATATGGTTTCTCCCTATTTCTATTTCTGAAACTATTTACATTTAATTTTTAAAAATCCATACACCAGGTACCTACATTGACCAATCTAACCACAACTCACAAACATGATCAAACAACTAAATAGTACTAGAGATTTGGGGACCTCCTTATGCTGAAAAATAAATACCAAGATGAGCAACTGCAGTAACGTGATGTAAATCATGAGAAATAATTTGGAGGTTAAAATAAAACTTTCAAAAAAAATTGAGTGAATTACTTATCTCAAACCTTAGCCTTTTTTCATGGTAATAGGACTCTGTGTCTGCTCCAGCTAGCTTCATTTCCAAACCCATAGCCACATGCTTACATTCATCACCACACATAGGCGGTGCCCGACAGGCAATTGACTACTGAGAATTCTACTTCCTGAAACATGTCATCTAGTCAAGTAACAAAACTGTAGCCATGTAGAGAGGTGACTCCTTTACCACCTTCAGTGAGATGAGTGATGAGAACATGTCTCCAAAACAGCATTTGAAGTCCTGAAACTCACACTTACTAAGCTTGCACTGAGATTTAACCACTGGTTCTTCCACTCTAATCAGCATATCACTGGCAAGGAAGACCAATAACTATGCCCAAGGGCACTCTGTCACTGTCAGGGAAATCATTAATTTAGTCTTGGACAGAATTTACAAATGGCTGATGAGTGAAGAGACCTTTAAAAATTCTTGGTTTTTCATAACTTTGGAGGGGGAACATATTCTGGATTTATTTCCTGCTCATGAAAGTTGCTGTTGAATAAGGTAACTTGTCCAAGCTTACATTCTCTATTTACCTAGACCTCACAGCTGTAACTGAACTACATGCCCCTATAACTCCATCCTCACCCCCTACACTGTCCTGAGACTGTCACTGTGTTTCTAGTAGAAATTAAGATATATATTTTTCAGTATTGAGCGCCCAAACTACACTAAACTTAACATCTTTATTAGATAAATAGTACTCCATAACTATCTCCCTTTGGTTGGAAAATGCCTTTAATGTGGATCTGCCAGAATTCCAGACCAATCTTAAATGTCATCCTTTTATATTAAAGTTCCCTGTAACCATGTAAACTACAGTCATCTCTGCCTAGAAAGCTCATGATAAACAGCTTTCCATAGAAGAGACTGTAGAGCTAACCAACCACATGGTATAAGGTGGCCCTCATAATAAAACATACATGGACTAAGAGATGGACTGTGACTTTTGCCATGTTATATGTAGTGGTGTTGTGGTTCTCAAAAGTGTTTATTCTGCCTTCCCATCATCAAGTGTAGCATTCAGTTTGCATATTGGTACCCTACTGGATTCCAGGTTAGTATTAATAACCAGACTCCTACTGTGATTGCTGGTGGAGACTTGGCCAAGGTATAGCCATTGCTGAAGATTAGACTCACTTGATCATATGTTTGCCCTAATCTATTTCAATCATGCCTAGGAATGTGCATAATGGGTTGGACGAGGGAGAGTATGCTGGACATTTAAGAACATTGCCATCCCAGAAAAGATATTGAGGAATTTCTTTGGTGTGTGTAGGGTCTGTTGATGGAGACAGGAAGGGGAGGAGCACTAGTTACCCCTCCTGTCTGTCCTACAGCATGTCTCACCCAGAGAACTTCTGTCTCCACACTAATGAATAGTCAGCATAGCAATAGCTATGATTAAGTTGTCTTAACTTTCATCTGTGATTGTGTTTGATTTTTTTTCCATGTGTACCTGTAAAACTTTGACATTATATCTCTGAAATTAAATGTTTTGTAACAAAAGGATATAATTAGCAATCTCAGCCTACGCAAGTAGACATTAAAAGCAAAATTCTAGAAGAGGCCATAATAAAAAAAGAAAAGTAAAAAGCTTTTTGACATTACATTAAAAATATAATAACTGAAATTTAAAATTTAGTAGAAGGAAAAAATAATAAGATAAACAAAGAAGAAGACAAAATTTTTGTTCTTTAAGACAGAGCTTAAGCAATCTCTCAGAACAGGTTAAGTAGGGTGTGTTAGACAGTATGTCAAAGTGGCGATTTTTGCCTGCTTTCTATTGCATTTATAAAGCCTAGAGCTCAGTATTTGTTTCAGAGGTATCAAATATATATTTGTTGATATATTAATGAATTAATAAATAATTATAAAGTATGTAAATTGATAATTTAAAAATATGTAAATTATTACAATGAAGAGATAGATAAAATGCAAGAAGGATAACATCTAAGAGGAATTCTAGAAATTAGGAGGTAAAGAAAATGGGAAAAATGTAAAATATATATTTCCTGAGATGAAGGAAAATATGATCTCTAGAATGAAAGATTTTATTTTATGCCAAAAATACGAATGAAAAGTTAATCCACACAGATACATATACTAGTAAAATCTCAACACCAAAATAAAAAGAATATGTTCAAAATCTTTAGAAAATAAATCTACGTTATCTACCAAGGAAAAAGAATCTGGCATCAAGTTTCTCATTAGCTGAAATGAAAGCTAGGAGACAATGGACCAATGCCTTTGATATTTCTGAGGAAAAATTAGTTAAAGCCTGGAATTTTATACCCAGTCAAAATACCAGTCAAATTTAAAGAGAAATTAGAAGCATTTTTGGATCTCAGAGATTAAAAAATACCTCCTTGCAAACATCCTTCAATAAATAAAATTACTTGACTTTATATTCCTGAAAGGTCAAAAAGGAAGTCAAGAAAGAGAAGCACACTCGAATTCATTGGCTTTATGCAATGAAATCTCTGTGCCATCAATACAAATAAAAGCAGGAAATCAGTGGCTGCTATAAAAAAAATCCTTAAGGAGAAAATCAGTTCCATTCTACAATCTATATGATTAATATAAAAACTTATGAGTATTTTGCTGCCAGTAATAACAAAGAAAGAATTAGAAACTCTTTTGAGAACAAAAAGCTGTATAAAAAAATAGACCACATATTGAGCACATTAAAATATAATTTTGAGCATTAAGAACTTGGAATGTTCTCTTTTATTTTGACACAGTTTCAATTAGGAGTACAACTCTTTTCAATGAGTCCCTTTACAGTACTTTGATTGCAATATATATTTGTTTTTAACGTTGTTTATGCATAATATTTATCACACTTACATAATGCTCATGTTTATGAGGTTGCTTTGTTTATAATTTTTAAAATCAACCTTTGGTGAAAAAACACAGAAGATAACATAAGACTTGACAGAACAAAACAGGACATAAGTTGACAAAATCAAACAGTGGCACGGTGGGCAGAACTTAGGAAATGTAAAGGGCAAGAATAATGAAAGAAAAATGTGTGTACACTACTTTCCTCTTCTTATACAATGTGAGATAAATAGCTACCTTAAATTACATGAAGCAAGAAACGTTTGTTAAAAATATTGTTTAAAGTCAAAAATGTAATATTGAATAATCATAATAATATAAATAACAAAAATTGCATATAGAAATCGGGAAGGTAGAAGTTAGTGTGATGATCTAAACTCATCTTTCATAGCAGCAAGTTAGTAGATGCTGTCTAAAGTTGATGAAACAAGAAATAGAAATAAAAACATAAAACTTAGAGATCCAATGATAACCACATAAGAGCTGAAAACAAAAAGCAATTTTAAGTGGTTACAACTGTAGATTACAGCTGGAAGTAATAACAGAGAAAGGAACTTTCGTTTTTGATTTTATATTCTTTTACAGTATCTGAAGATATCTATAAACATATTTTGCTTTTTTTTATGCAGTAAGACAATGATTTATTTTAAAGTTATATGCACACCCATATCACTGACTAGTTTTTCTCTATTGACCAAATCAATTAGAACAGCAATTCATCTTGGTTATTGTTATAATCATTATCCCACCCTATATTTTAGAGCATTAGGCAAAGTTTTTATGCACATTCTCTCAGTTAATCTAACAAGTAATTTATTATCCCCATTTTATAATTGGTGAAATTTTGTTTCTGAGCAGTTCAATAATTTTCTTAAGTGATTAACTTTTTCAAAAACCTGTGTGTGTCAGAAACTGAGATAGGCACAGGGGAGCCAGCGGTCAGGGACACAGATGTAGTACCTGCTCTTGGGGAGTTAACAGTTCAGTTGAGGAGTCAACGTTGATGACACAAATTAATATTCAACTAAAAATGGAGATAAGTGATCCAAAGGAAAGCAACATGTTTCATGAAAACCTGTAAAAACTAATCTGTTCTAAGTGGGAGTAGTGGAAGTTTTAAAGGCAAGCAAAAGAGTGCTTTAGAGAGAAAAATAGAATGACCGATGGTCCTGAGAGATGGAGCATTGTCTACTCAATGAACTATGGCTGTGGTGGCTGGAAGCATGATCATAGCCATAATGCATGTACATGTGTTTCAGTACTCACAGTACATGTGGGTCAGCACTGAAAGATGGAGCTGGACCACGCAGGAACTGTATGCAACGTTATAAACTGTTTTCTATATCGTAAGGACAATCAGAAGCCTTTAAAAGACAAGGAAACATAATACAATCCGATTTACATTCTAAAAAAAAGATTCTGTGTGGAGAAGCTGTATATGAAGGCCTGGGGTTTCAATGCAGATACCTGGTCTCCAAGTTCAGTATTCTTTCCACAGTAACTGCCTTTTGAGATACACCTGTTTATTGGATGACTAAATAACTTATATTCGTATTTTCTTCTATTAGCACAACTTCCAGCAAAATGTGAAGAAATGAACATTATTACCATTTTAACTATTGCCCAGACCTGTACCTTACATAGAGAAGAAAAATCAATTAATTCTGGGTGAACAAATGGATATATTTATTCTACATAAACTTTTAAATCACTACACCAAAGATAACATTCATATATCTCTTTGACGTGTACTTCCTTTCCATGGAATACCAATTATTTCTCTTTGATCTTCTCCTCCCACAAATAAGGAAAATGTGTCTTGGATATTTTCAACTCACAATAGTAGTGACATTTTTATAAAGTACAGAGGAACAAACTAGGAGGAAGGGAAGGAGAAGAAAAAGACTAAATTATCAAATAGCAATTTAATCTAAGAAGGGCTTACATCATTGAAAAGGGTTATATGAACCCTGTATTGGGGAAATAAGGTGATAGGAAGAGAAACAAACAAACAAAAAACTGGAGTTCTGAGGAAGTAGTAATTAGCAAGCATGGAATGAAATGGATAATTACATTAACAAGGACTATAATATAAGATACACAAACACAGACACACAGAAGGCCCACTTATGATCAATCATGCAAACAAATATATACACGTATGCATGGCTACATGTATTTACACAAACCTCAACAAATACAAACTCTATCAGCAGTCAGAAGACAGCAATTACACACATAAAATGGCCAAGCATGGCTGGGTGTGGTGGCTCACACCTGTAATCCCAGCACTTTGGGAGGCCAAGGCAAGTGGATCAACTGAGGTTAGGAGTTTGAGACTAGCCTGGCGACTATGGTGAAACCCTGTCTCTACTAAAAATAAAAAAATTAGCCAGGCATGGTGGCACACACATGTAGTCCCAGCTACTTGGGAAGCTGAGCCAGGAAAATCGATTGAACCTGGGAGGCAGAGGTTACAGTGAGCCGAGATTGTGCCACTGCACTCCAGCCTGGGTGACAGAGTGAGACTTTGTCTCAAAAGAAAAGGCCAGGCATGCAACTGAGTGCCAAAGAAAGCTGATATTCTCTACCTAAAATTTATATGTGTACCTATGTGTGCTAAGATGTTTCAGGTGACTATCAATACCTATAGCAAAACTCAGAATGCAAGGGAATGACAGGAGGCAGCTGTGATTTTCTGCTTAGAGATGCTGAATTCCCACCTTCAAATGAAATATGGCCCAGTGACTTTTGTCTTGTTAGCCCCTGATTTATCATGTGATGTTTAATACATGATATCAGACATAGTCAAAAACTAGTGATTTTGTCAAAAGACTTCAACACATTCATTTGGTGGAAAAATGTTGGAAATACCTTACAATAATATTCTTATATTTGCCTCTCAGCTGATGGTGTCTGGAACACCCACACACACGATTTAGTTAACAATGTGCCAGAAACAATAGTCCTTGCTTTTACCTTCCCACGCATAATTGTATCCCTCCTTCCACTAAGCTTGTTTTTCAGGTTGTAAAAAGATTTGAACACAATGTCTATTTCTATTAGCTTTGAAGAAAAAGCTAATTAAGATATACTTCTAGCTGAGAAAGTATATTTTAAAAGTTTATGTTCATGGTTTATAATAATGAAATAAAAAGGATTGAATCATTTGAAATGGATTTGCATTAAAGAATTATTAAAAGAAAATCTTGCACACACTAACATGTAGAAATCTTTTGGCATATAAGACAATTGAAAATGTATCAAAGATTTGATTTTTTTCAGGACACTTAATGGAATATTAATAGTATGTAATTGTCTTTAAGATTCTGCGGCATATTTTGGCTTTCACATAAACAGAATTAAGTTATGAGTTTATAATGTTAACTAAATTAACAAATCCTCTATGAATAGGCCTCTTATTAATAGGCCCAGATTTGTAAGTGAGGTCATCTTTTAGTAGTGCCTCTGTGATGGCAGAACCTGACAAAAGAAGAGACAGAAGCCGTCTGTAGCACAGGTCTCATGAGAGTCTCCAAAGGCCGTCTGAGGGCCCTCTTGTCTCTCTGAGCTCAATGATACAATTGCCTGAGAGATTTTTTTAAAAGGTTTCCTGACTTTTTTTTTATCAACATAACACACATAGTGTATTTTGTTCTTGGCTGGGGGCATATTGAAAGTGAATCTATCAACGAGGACTTTCCAATGGTGAAGAAAATCAACCAACTCTAAGTTATCTAAGAAGCAAAAAGTTCAGAAAGAACTGACCACCTGAGCTGTGAAGAAAAGCAGGGAAGCAACTGAAATTTGCAGATGATCATCCTATGGAACCTATTTGATGATTTAAATTGATATTTTATATTTGTATGTTTCCATATGGGAATAAAAATTCCTGGGGGTGACACCTAATTGTCCTTGGGTTGGTCACCTTCATATTTTTGTAAACTTAAGGGGAGGTTAGTTTGGGGGTAGGTTATGGTGAAATGCATAAAAGCCATCTCCCTGAAGAAGGAAGGATACTACCAGAGCAGATGGGCCAGAGACAGAAACATGATGTGTGTATATGATTGTGCTAGCCAGCCTCCCAAATGGCCCCAATAAGCTGCATGTCTTTGTATAGTACTATAGTTTGAATGGTTATTTCATAGGTCCAAATTCATATCTTGAAACCTAATCCCCAGTGTGATGCTGCTTGGAGGTGGCGCCTTTGGAAGGTGATTAGGTCATGGAAGCAGAGCACTTAGGAATGGAATTACTGCCCTTATAAAAGCGACCACAGAAAACTGCCATGCCCCTTTTTCTATGTGAAGACACAGCAAGAAGATTCCATCTATGAATCAAGAAACAGGCCTTCCCCAGACACTGAATCTGCCAGTAACTTGATCTGTGTCTTCCCAGTCTCTAGAACTGTGAGAAAGAAATTTTTGTTCTTTATAAGCCACCCCGTCTATCCAGTATGTTGTTATAGCAGCCCAAATGGACTATGACATAGTCTTCTGAATGTTGATGAGGACTGGTTTCGCTGACAAGGAGAATATAGTAGAAGTGAAGATTTGTATCTTCCAAGCCAAGAACATAAGTTCATTGGAGCTTCCATATGAGTCTCTTGAATTGTTACTCTAGAGAAAGCCAGCTTCCATGCTGTGAGGCCACTCAAGTGGTCCCAGAGACAGCCCCATGTGAAGAGGAACTGAAACACCCCCCACTCTCTTTAATAGTCAGCACCAAATTGCCAGCAATGGAAATGAACCACCTTGGAAACAGATCATTCAGGCCCAGTCAAGGCTTCAGACGACAGCCATCCCAGCCAGCATCTGACTGCAATCTCATATGAGACCTGAACCAAGAGTTGCACAACCAGACTATTCCAAATTCCCAACCCACAAAAATAGTGAGAGATAATAAATGATTATAGTTGTTTTAAGTCACTAGGATTTGAATAATTAGTTATATAACAATAGATAACTAATACAGTGACCTTTAGCCACTAAAGGGGAATATAAATTTGAGAGATTTATAAGTCAGATCAGCAGGAATTAATGTTTATTAATTAGGTATAGTCCCTAAATAACTGTATACTAAGTACCTATGACATAGCGAGTCAGTATCATACAGTCATTAGGAGCATGGATTTTGGAACTAGACTGCCTGCATTAGTATCCTGGCTACTTTATTGCATGCACTTCAGTAAATTACTTATCTTTTATCTCTTTGGAGGATAATACCATTTTTCTCATGTATAAATTCAGGATAATAAAAATGATATGTAAAGATTAATTATAAAGATTATGGTGTGATCCAGTAAAACACAGAATTTTGAGTGTCAAGCATATAATATTTGTTCTATGTAGTATACACAGATATACTCAGGCACTGACATACATGCATATACTCATGTAATCCTTATAACAACTTTATGAAACATTTAACTGTACTTCCCATTTTACAGATGAGGAAACTAAGGAATAGCTAATAAGGTGTAGATCCACGTTTCAAATCAAGATGGTTTGTCTCCAGAGCTTGCACTTTCAATCATTATGGTATAGCATCATTTAATTAACTAGGACATGCCTCATAAATGCCTGATATTATTGAGAAGTGATGCTAGTTGATGTTGGAAACAATATATTTACCATCTTTTTTTTTCTTGAGGAGATTACATTTTAGATAATAAGATGAGATTGATACTAGGAAAACCAAAGGTTTGTAAGGGACAGTTTGCTTTTTAGAAAATGAATAATGAATAGCACAGTGAGGGATAATCACACCACCTCACTCCAGCCTGGGTGATGGAGTGAGACACTGTAAAAGAGAGAGAGAGAGAGAATGAATAAGAGAAAGAGAATAAGAGAGAGAAAAAACGATGGAAGGAAGGAAGAATACAACTATTTTTTTCTATATAGAGCACTTTAAAAATGAAGATATTAAATGTGTTTATACATTTATTTCAATGTTTGATATTAGAAATACTTTGCTCCTTACTTAGAATGTTTGCCATAGGAACTTGATTCTTGTTTATGTCAATCAGTATAAGATAATATTGGTTTTGTTATGTGTTGTCTCCCTTAAAGCGACAGTTTCTGAGCACCCATTAAGGATGTTAAGTGAGGACTTCCTGTCCTTATTGTAACCTACTTTTGTTACTTCATTCTATCATGACCACCTTTCTATGTAATATATTGCTCCATTTTAGATATACTATGATTTATTCAAAACAGTCTCAAACTATTGGGCATTTAAATAGTCCTGACTTTTCAGATTTTTTTTTTTTTAATTTTACTTTAAGTTCTGGGATACACATGCAGAAAGTGCAGGTTTGTTACATAGGTATACTTGTGCCATGGTGGTTTGCTGCACCTATCAATCCATCATCTAGGTTTTAAGCCCCGCATGCATTAGGTATTTGTCCTAATGCTCTCCCTCCCCTTGTCCCCCACCAACCAACAGGCCCCAGAGTGTGATATTCTGCTGCCTGTGTCCATGTGATCTCATTGTACAACTCTCACTTATGAGTGAGAACATGCGGTGTTTGATTTTCTTTTCCTATGTTAGTTTGCTGAGAATGATAGTTTCCAGCTTCATCCATGTCCCTGCAAAAGACGTGAATTCATTCTTTCTATGGCTGCATAGTATTCCATAGTGTATGTCTGCCACATTTTCTTTATCCAGTCTATCATTGATGGGCATTTGAGTTGGTTCCAAGTCTTTGATACTGTAAATAGTTCTGCAATAAACATGTAGGTGTATGTGTCTTTATAGTAGAATGATTTATAATCCTTGGGGTATATACCCAGTAATAGGATTGCTGAGTCAAATGGTATTTCTGGTTCTAGATCCTTGAGGAATCGCCACACTGTCTTCCACAATGGTTGAACTAATTTACACTCCCACTAACAGTGTCAGCTTTTATATACAAAGCTATAGTGAACCTAACTACCTCAACCAATTTGAAAAGTTGATTTTATTATATATGTTACTTATCATTGGAGTTGACTCCAGACTTCTCTTACTATTGTTCCATGATTCTACCTGTATTTTTCAGTATTATAACCTTAAGTTTTAATATCTTTTCAAAACTCTCTTGGCTTAAGCAATAAGCCTAACATAAATGGCATAAAAGTGAGGTATCATTATGAGCCACAGGAAAGTCTATGGGGAAGCCTTCACTGAAGTGATAAAACTTGAATAAAGCCTTGAGGAGAGGGTAAGAGTTAAATAGGCAGAGTTTATAGGATTCCAGTTAGGTAAATTGGCATGTACAATGATATGAATGTACAGAGGAAAGAATATAGTCTATATGCTGGATGTAATGGCAAGAGATTACATGTATTTGAGTAGGAGGGAATATGGTGAAACTAGGATTTCATAAAAGTTAATTTGTTAGTGTTGTACAAAATGTTTTTGTAATGACTTAAGGCCTTGATGAGGTTATAATGGGAAAACATTACTTAGTGGGTCTCTTAGTTTATAGTGCACTTAAGGGACTAAGCGCATTGCCACTTACCACTGCCAGACAAGAAGACCTCCTTCTTCATCATCAAATTTCAAGTATCTCAGTAAGTTCAAGCTCTTCTCAAACATTTTCATGTACACCAAATAGAGTAAATTAAAAAAGATTCTCTTAGGATCCAGGAGCCAAGGTTGGTGAATAGCCCACATAGCCCAGCTGCCCTTAGGATAAGGAATCAATTTACTGAGTATATTTGTAAGTCATTCAAAGCCAACCAACTAGAAAGCTCTATGTTAAAAGAGCAAATTACCTCAGACTATCGTAGTTTAAATTCTATTAATAGTCTCAAAATTCCTTTCTCTTTACTTCTATGTTGACGAAGTTACCATCTTAATTTAATTTCCCAGTTAAACTATTGTTGTCACCTTCATGACTACACCAGTTATCATGCTTGGGGTCAGGTTCCAGTCCATGCTGAGGTCTAAAGGGAGTGGGTGGATGAGCAGAAGGAAGTCTCAGGGGCTGCAAGGGACCGAATGATTTTATTCAGCAGCAGCCCTCATCCACAGCTTTCTCACACTGTCTGCCTTGTCTTGGCTGCTTAGTCTGGTGGCCCCCACACAAGCTATGCTGCCAGCTCTCCCTTGCCTTCAGGGTCAGCAGCTTAACTCTTTCTCTCTCTGGGCATGAGCCAGCTGAGCTGTGTCATGGCTCCCTCCTGCCCACCTGCAAAGATGGACAGCTCTAACTCTCTCTCTTTCTCTGGGCACCAGTGTGCCCACCGTGTCAAGCCATGTTGAGCTGAGATGAGCCAAGTCAAGAGCCCCTGTACAGTGTCAGCAGAACAGTTATACCTTTTACAGACAATAGCGGTTTAGAGCCAAGTATGAACTTCCACGAATAGGTTATATAACAAGTGGAGGTGTGCACTTGCTTGCCAAACTTGCTGAGTCCTGCAGGACTAGATATCCACCTTGGCCTGTTCCTTGACCAAAGCACATCCATGTACCTTACACATGTGTAAAGAAAGCCTTCAGTATCATAAAATTATTTTTATTTTACATAAATAAATTTGTATTCTCTGTTCAATGCCATGCTCACTCTTTGTTATATTTTATTGCCTAATTGTTTTCAAACCCTGACCAGAGAAAGTTTCTGGAACTTTGAGCAGAAATTATCTACATGATAGAACTATTTAATATATTCCTGTCTAGCTTTATCCAATCTTTTCTTAAACAATGTTACTGTCATTTCCATCTATAAATTAGTCAAATGAAGTAGAATGCACCTGCTGACAATTCAGATGCTACTGCCAAAAAATAGCTTCCTCTTTTTAGCCAATTCCAAGTAATTAGTAGTGGCTTCCTGCAATGCTGTGGAAAGAAGTCTATTCTCATCTGGGCTGAGGTTTGCTAATGATCTACCAAGGATATGAAATGGAGTAGGACCAGCAGATGCACATTCTGACTCCAATTTTCATGTCATTTACCTTGAAATAATCATTTTCTTTTAAAATTACTTTTCTAATTTTTTTTGCCATGTTTTGGGGAGCCAAATACAAATTATGAAAAGGGAATTTAAGAAAAAGGTAGAAGAGGCAAAAGAGAATGTAGAGTAAATACAGGCAGGTAGAATTTGCAGGGTGATGACAGTGAGAATTGGCTGTTTTACTTCCCATGCTTCCAGTCAGTCCTTGTCATGCTGAGCCCCTATTGACTTCAGAGGGGATGAAGCCAAAGAAGAGACCCAGAGCCAGTAAACAAGACATGGGTTTTACATACAGGGGAGAGAGTCCAGTGGCAGCCGGCTGAGCAGGAAAATCACAACTGCTTGCAAACAACATGCAGTTTACACAGCATTTTCACTTAACACCCTCCTCTAATAACCTCTACCTGGCAGCCTTCATTGAGGCCAAAATTCTGGGCCTCAATACCCTGTATGGCCCTTGTTCCACAGGATGGGGGCTCAGATGTTCCTCATGGACAAGGAATGAATCTCCAGGTCACTCCTGGATTTCCCAGCTCAGAACACAATTCAGGTGCATCCACTATACACGTTCATTCTAAGGGTATGCAGAAGTTAGTGCTATCAGGTGTGTTTACCCTACAGTCCTGACAGCTTTCATCTGTAATAGATTCTGTATCTAGAGTTGGGAAGCAAACATAGTGGCTTATTAGAGTTAACTCATCAAAATCAACATTGATCTGATTTTCAGTTAACCCAGACTATCCACCATATCATAGCTATGCAGTATTAGGCAAGTTAATCCTTCTCTGATTTAATTTCCTCATTTTAAAAGTAGGGTTGATTATAGCCCCTATCTCACACAGTTGTTATTAGGATTCAATTAAATGATATGCATAAAAGTACTTAGAACACAGGAAGCACACAATAAATTTTAACTACTACCACAATGATGATGAGGATGATGATTTTCAACCAAATTCTTTGTTCCCTTGCAGAAAATTTCCAAAATGGACATAGAAGTTAATCTGTTGTTGATCTGTTCAGGAGAAAGTCTATATAGTTAGTCTCTATAAAGTTTGAAGTTAATTAACTCTATTGGGACATTAAAAAAGATTAAATCCCTCACAATAAGCACATAACTACAATAAGAAAAATAAATATTAAAAATAAAAAAGTACAATATTTGTTCATGGAGACAGTATTATTGACACTCACTTCTTTATATGTTCAATGTCAGAACTTTGTTCAAGTTGATCATTTTGGTTGGAGATATTTATAAAATAGTAAGAGAGGAGACCACCCCTCATATTGTCTTATGCCCAATTTCTGCCTCCAAAGAAAAAAGTAGTAAAAACTAAAAGGAGAAATGAAATCCACAGGCAGACAGCCCAGCGCCACACCCTGGGCCTGGTTAAAGATCGACCTCTGACCTAACCAGTTATGTTATCTATAGATTCCAGACATTGTATGGAAGAGCATTGTGAAAATCCCTGTCCTGTTCTGTTCCATTCTGATTACCAGTGCATGCAGCCCCCAGTCATGTACCCACTGCTTGCTCAATCAATCACGACCCACTCACGCAGACCCCCTTAGAGTTGTGAGCCCTTAAAAGGGACAGGAATTGCTCATACGGGGAGCTCAGTTTTTGGAGATGTGAGCCCACCAATGCTCCCAGCTGAATAAAGCCCTTTCCTTCCACAACTTCATATCTGAGGGGTTCTTGTCTGTGGCTCATCCTGCTACTTTTCTTGGTTCCCTGACTGCAAAGTGAGGTGATTAACAGATGGTTGAGGCAGCCCATTAGGCGGCTTAGGCCTGCCCTGTGGAGCATCCCTGCAGGGCACTCCAGCTAGCTTGAGTGACACAGATCCTGAGAGTGCTCCTGGGTAGGCAAGTGCCCCAGTGGAATGCCTCGCCAGAGCAGCACGTGGCAGGCCCCTGTGGAGTATCAACGCAGTGGCTGAACACTGGGAAGGAACTGGCACTTGGAGTCTGGACATCTGAAACTTAGTAAGACTGGTCTTTGGAACTTGCCTACTCCATTTGAGTGGAAGCATGGCCATGGCATGCCTGTACCGGCACTTTAGTTTTTGTTTTTGACTTGACTTGGATTGCTTGATACTTTGGTTTTGGTTTTGGTTTTGACCTGGCTTGGATTTCTTGATACTCTGATTCTGGTTTTGATTTTGTTTTGGAGTAAACTGTAAAAGTGCGTATGTGCCCTTTTTACCCATTCTTTGTTTTGTGGAGTGCGTGTGGTGTAAGCGTTGTGTTTTGTCTTGAGGAAGCATGGGTCATGCACAAAGTAAGCCCACCCCACTAGGAACTATGTTGAAAAATTTCAAGGAAGGATTTAAGGGAGATTATGGTGTCACTATGACACCAGGAAAACTTAGAACTTTGTGTGAAATAGACTGGCCAGCATTAGAGGTGGGTTGGCCATCAGAAGGAAGCCTGGGCTGGTCCCTTGTTTCAAAGGTATGGCACAAGGTAACCTGTAAGCCAGGTCACCCAGAGCAGTTCCCGTACATAGACACTTGGTTACAGCTGGTTTTAGACTCACTCACCCCCACAGCAGTAGAGAGAACAGCAACATAAGCAGCTGGCAGAGGCAAGGAAAGACCAGCAGAGAGAGAGAGAGAGGAAAGAGACAGAGAGGAAAAGAGGCAGAGAGAGAGGAAGAGACAGAGGCAAAAGGAAAGTCAAAGAGAGAGAGAGAGACAGAAAGTCAAAGAGAGAAAGAGAGAGATATACAAGTAGTTAAGAAAAAACAGTGTACCCTATTCCTTTAAAAGCTAAGGTAAATTTCAAACCTATAGTTGATAATTAAAGGTATTCTCATAACCCTATAACACTCCAATAACACTTTGTTGTCAGTGTAAACAAGGGCGTATCCCAAAAGCACTAAGGCCACTGATAACCCATAGCCTTCCTATCAAAACTCCTTAACCCAGAGACCCACGGATGGCCCAAATGCATTCAATCTGTAGCGGCAACTGCTTTGCTAACAGAAGAAAGTAGAAAAATAACTTTTAGAGGAAACCTCATTGTTAGCACACCTCACCAGTTCAGAAGTTTCCTTCTCTAAAAAAAAAATGAAAAAGAAAAAGAAGATTTAACATTAACCACTGAAAATTCCCTTAACGCAGCAGGTTTCCTATCAGGAGATCTAAATCTTAATTACCATACAAAGGTCCAAGCAGACCTAGAAGGAACTCCCTTCAGGACAGGATAATAGATGGTTCCTCCCGTAATTGAAGGAAAAAAAAAAAAGCCATCTATACAAATTCTAAGTTAATTTGGACTAAACAAGGTCTTATTAATAGCAAAGGATAATTGAAATCCCAAACTTACAAGGTTTTCAACAAAAGTAAAGTTTGCTAAAAGTTAACAGTGTAACATGTATTACAGTAACTTCTAATCTTATGGCCTCAGACAGTCTAGTCCACAGACATAAAGGAAGTTCGCTTTGGAAAAGAATGGTTATCATCTTTGAAAAAAAGGGAAAAAAGGGGGGGCAGAATTTATGTAAAAAGAATGTTATATGGTAAATTCTTGTCTTGAAATTAATTAACTGGTTGTTTAAAGAAAGAAATGTTTGCAATAAGTCAGAAAGTTGAGGCATGTCGAAGAACTGTCTGTGAAAGTCATCAAAGAAAAAAAGTTTTAAAAAAAGAATTTATGCAAGAATGGTTGTATAATTTAAAAGTAATTAGCCCTCCTGAATGTAAAACTATTGAAGAAAACAGTTTATGTGCAAGGTGTATCAGGAAAGTAAAATATACCTCTGGTAAAAGGATTATAAGAAGGCATAAAAACGTGGATTTTTACCTACATTAAAAGGTTAAAAAAATTTGTTTTGAAGGTTTAAGCAAATTTTAAAACGTTAATTGTAAAGGAAATTCTGTGTGTAAACATATTGGCTAAAGTTAAACGGGTATCATCCAGTTTTTCTGTGAACTGAACATTAAAATAAAAACACAACAGGTTTTTCTTAAAGCACTAACCTGCTCTTTAACGAAGATTATAAAAGGTTAAAAAGAGTCTACAAAAATTTACCTTATGGTCTGACATTCAAAATTGAATAAATGTGTCTACAAAGTTTTAATTAAAACTAAGTTTAACATTAATAACACACTAATACAAATGTGAAATTTAGCTTATCTGGTATAAAAATTGTACAGGAAGCATTGTCAAATATAAAATGGTGTTTGGCTTGTTTGGTCTCAAAGCTAATAAAAATAGGTGCTAAAGGAAATTTCTCAGTAAAAAGGCACCAAGGACCATAAAGTCCACTGCTGATGTCCCCACATTTAAAACAAAAGGTCAATTTCATTTTTTTTTTTTTTGAGACAGTGTCTTGCTCTGTTGCCCAGGCTGGAGTGCGGTGGTGCAATCTCGGCTCACTGCAAGCTCTGCCTCCCAAGTTCATGCCATTCTCCTGCCTCAGCCTCCTGAGTGGCTGGGACTACAGGTGCCTGCCACCACACCAGCAAATTTTTTGTATTTTTAGTAGAGAGGGGGTTTCACTGTGTTAGCCAGGATGGTCTTGATCTCCTGACCTCGTAATCCACTCATCTCGGCCTCCCAAAGCAAAAGGTCAATTTCTTTTTTTTTTTTCACTTCCATGATTTTTTTTAAATTAATTAATTTATTATTATTACACTTTAAGTTTTAGGGTACATGTGCACATTGTGCAGGTTAGTTACACATGTATACATGTGCCATGCTGGTGCGCTGCACCCACTAACTCGTTATCTAGCATTAGGTATATCTCCCAATGCTATCCCTCCCCCCTCCCCCCTCCCCCCACCCCACAACAGTCCCCAGAGTGTGATATTCCCCTTCCTGTGTCCATGTGATCTCATTGTTCAATTCCCACCTATTTTTATTATACTTTAAGTTCTAGGGTACATGTGCACAATGTGCAGGTTTGTTACATATGTATACATATGCCATGTTGGTGTGCTGCACCCATTAACTCATCATTTATATTAGGTATATCTCCTAATGCTATCCCTCTACCCTCCCCCCACCCCACGACGGGCCCCAGTGTGTGATGTTCTCCTTCCTGTGTCAAAGTGTTCTCATTGTTCAATTCCCACCTATGAGTGAGAACATGTGGTGTTTGGTTTTGTCCTTGCGATAGTTTGCTGAGAATGATGGTTATATGCTTGGTTTAGCACATGTATCACCCGTAGAATTTCCAGTAAACCAGCACCAGCCTGAAGAACACCGTCTTATCAAAGGGTGGAAAAAAGAAAAACTCGAGCAAGCCTAGGACAGACCCTACCTTGTGCTGCTAACCACCAAGACTGCTGTCCGTACAGTGAAAAAGGAATGGACTCATCACACCCGAGTCAAAGTGCTACCCCCTCCAGAGTCGTGGGCCACAATCCCAGGGGAAAATGCTACCAAATTAAAGCTAAGAAAAATTAAACTCTTTCATCTATTCTATTATTCTTTCTTCTTTCCTCGCTCTATTGCTAACCATCTAGTTATTAACATGACCAAGTCAATTTTGCCTCAAACTATTGCATTTAATGCTTTCCTTGTTATACCCTATGAGGACTTGCCAAGTCAAAGACAGCTCTCTACTTCAGAAAAGTACCTCTTTCCCCCTGACTCTCCTCAAACTAGGCATTAGTAAATTAGGACCATTTACTCCAGGGAGATTTCAATAAAGAGCCCAGTGTCAACCAGGAGTCTTGCCCCGACAATGTAGAGCTTTTATGCCATAGTTGGTCCAACGTTCTGTGGACCACTAAAGAGCAAGGATGGACTGCCCCAACCATTTTTTGTAATTTTCTAAAATCATACATTCATTTTACTAGAGGACCATAGAAGTTAAAGACTTAAAGCAAACTTTGGCAATTAAGACAGGATACCAAGATGCAAATGCCTGGTTGGAATGGATCAAATATTCTGTCTGCACATTAAACAAAAGCAATTGTTATGCTTGTGCACATGGCAGGCCAGAGGCCCAGATTGTCCCCTTTTCACTAAGGTGGTCCTCCAGTCAACCAGGCATGGACTGCATGGTAGCTCTTTTCCAGGATTCTACAGCCTGCAGTAATAAGTCATGCCAAGCTCTCTCTGCTATATCCCAAAGTTTGACACCCTGCAAGTCAGCCCCCAAGGGCCATCAAGCTTCTGTCTCCCAACACTAAGTTCACTTCATGTCTCTCACGACAGGGGGGAAACAGCGTTCCTTGGAGACCTGAAGGGATGCAGTGAGCTTAAAAATTTTCAAGAGCTTACCAATAAGTCAGCCCTTGTTCATCCCCGAGTGGATGTTTGGTGGTATTGTGGTGGACCTTTACTGGACACTTTGCCAAATAACTGGAGTGGCACTTGTGCTTTAGTCCAATTGGTTATCCCTTACACCCTGGCATTTCATCAACCAGAGGGAGGGCAGGTAACAGAAGAAGGATGGATCCGGTTATCGGTTGGAAGAATAGCCATGCCACAACTGCTAGGAGCCACAGTCATACTGACTGTGCATGAGACCACCCAGCTAGGCCAAGAGTCACTTGAAAAGTTGTTAAGCTGGTACTTCTACATCTTGCATCTGTTAGCCCTTGCCAAAACAGTGGCACAGCAGTGTGTCACCTCCCAGCAGCACAATGCTAGGCAAGGTCCAACTGTCCCACCTGGCATACAGGCTTAAAGAGCAGCCCCCTTTGAAGATCTCCAAGTAGACTTCACCAAGATGCCCAAATATGGAGATCTCATCCCTAGGTTTGGACTTCCCTTATAAATTGGCACGGACAACGAGCTGGCGTTTGTGGCTGACTTGGTACAGAAGACAGCAAAGGTGATCAGGTGTAGACCAAGGATTAGAACGTAGGCCCCTTGCGGCCATGGTGAAAAGGACCCCAAACCGTTGTCTTGACCACTCCCACAGCTGTAAAAGTAAAAGGAATCCCAGCCTGGATCCACCACAGCCACGTGAAATCCCCAGCACCTGAGACCTGGGGGGCGAGACCAAGCCTGAACAATCTCTGCAAAGTGACTCTGAAGAAGACGACAAGCCCTGCTCCAGTCACACCCGAAAGCTGACTGGTGCACACATGACAGAAGCATGAGGAAACTCACCGTGGGACTTACTTTCCTTAAATTTTGGACTTGTACAGTAGGGACTTCAACTGACCTTTCTCAAACTAAGGACTGTTCCCAGTGTATACATCAGGTCACTAAGGTAGGGCAAAAAGTTAAAACTATCTTTTTGTCCTATAGTTATTATAAATGTGTGGAACTCTCAAAAGGACTTGTTTGTATAATGCCACCCAGTACAAGTTATGTAGCCCAGGGAGTGACCAACATGATGTGTTTTAACCCCTCTGAGCCTCCCATGTCCACAGTTTTTGAAATGAGATTAAGGACTGAAGACTGGTGGGGACTTGTAAATGACACAAGTAAAGTATTAGCCAAAACAGAATAAAAAGGGGTGCCCAAACACATAATCTTAAATTTGATGCCTGTGCTGTCATTAATGGCAATAAGTTAGGATGGGATGTGGCTCTTTTAATTGGGAGAAAGGCTATATGACCAAAAATAAGTACATTTGTCATAAATTAGGACTGTGTGGAAATAAATGTGGATACTGGTCTTGTGTCATTTGGGCCACTTGGATAAAGAATGAACAGGATCCAGTCCGCCTTCAGAAAGAAAAAAAGTGGCCCTTCCTGTACTAAGGGACTATGTAACCCCTTAGAGCTAGTAATAACCAATCCCCCTGATCCTCACTGGAAAAAAGGGGAGCGTGTGACCCTAGGAATTGATGGGGCCATACTGGATCCTCAAGTAAATATCTTAGTTCGAGGAGAAGTTTACAAACGCTCTCCTGAGGCAGTGCTTCAAACTTTCTATGATGAACTAAATGTGCCAGTACCAGAAATTCCAGGAAAAACAAGAAATTTGTTTTTGCAATTAGCTGAGCATGTAGCCCAGTCTCTCAATGTCACTTCATGTTACGTATGTGGAGGAACTGTAATGGGAAATCAATGGTCATGGGAAGCCCAAGAATGAGTACCTACAGACTCAGTTCCTAATGAATTCCTGGCTCAAAAGAATCACCCTAATAATTTCTGGGTCCTAAAAGCCTCAATTATTGGACAATATTGCATAGCTAGAGAAGAAAAAGAATTCACTCAACCCATAGGATGACTTAGTTGTCTAGGACAGAAACTGTATAATGGTACCACAGAAACAGTCACTTGATGGAGTTCAAATCACATAGAAAGGAATCCATTTAGTAAATTCCAAAGTTGCAAACTGTGTGGACCCACCCGGAGTCCCACCGGGACTGGACAGCCCCCACTGGATTATACTGGATATGTGGGCATAAAGCTTATGCCAAATTACCTGACCAGTGGGCAGATAGTTGTGTTAAACCATCTTTCTTCCTACTACCCATAAAAACAGGTAAACTCCTGGGCTTCCCTGTTTATGCTTCCCACGAAAAGAGAAGCATAGCTATAGAAAATTGGAAAGATGATGAATGGACCCCTGAGAGAATCATACAATATTATGGGCCTGCTACTTGGGTACAAGGCAGCTCTTGGGGATACTGGACCCCCATTTACATGCTCAACTGAATCATATGGTTACAAGCTGTCTTAGAAACAATCACTAATAAAACTGGCAGAGCCTTGACTATTCTGGCCTGGCAAGAAACTCAGATGAAAAATGCTATCTATAAAAATAGACTAACCCTAGACTACTTGCTAGCAGCTGAAGGAGGGGTCTGTGGAAAGTTTAACCTAACCAATTGCTGTGTGCACACAGATGACCAAGGGCAAGTAGTTGAAGATATAAAGATATCACAAAGCTGGCACATGTGCCCGTGCAGGTGTGGCAAGGGTTTAATCCTAGGACTATGTTTGGAAAACGGTTTCCAGCACTAGGATAATTTAAAACTCCTATAATAGGAATTATAATAGTAATAGAAACCTGCTTGTTGCTTCCCTGTGTGCTGCCTTTGCTCTTTCAAGTAATGGAAAGTTGTGTTACTACCTTAGTCCATCAAAGTGTTTCAGCACATGTGTACTATATGAATCACTATTCATCTGACTTGCAAGAAGACATGGGTAGTGAGGATGAAAGTGAGAACTCCCACTAATGAGTTTGGTTCTCAAAGGTGGGGAATAAGGGAGGAGACCACCCCTCATATTGTCATATGCCCAATTTCTGCCTCCAAAGAAAAAAAGAAGTAAAAACTAAAAGGCAGAAATGAAATCCACAGGCAGACAGCCCGGTGCCACACCCTGGGCCTGGCAGTTAAAGATCCACCTCTAATCTAACCAGTTATGTTATCTATAGATTCCGGACATTGTATGGAAGAGCATTGTGAAAATCCCTGTCCTGTTCTGTTCCATTCTGATTACTGGTGCATGCAGCCCCCGGTCACATGCCCACTGCTTGCTCAATCAATCACGACCCTCTCACGTGGACCCCTTTAGAGCTGTAAGCCCTTAAAAGGGACAGGAATTGCTCACTCAGGAGCTTGGTTTTTGTAGACATGAGCTCACCAATGCTCCCAGCTGAATAAAGCCCTTTCCTTCCACAACTCAGTGTCTGAGGGGTTCTTGTCTGTGGCTCATCCTGCTACAATAGTACAAGTGTCTTACTTTAAATGAATGATACTGTCAATGGTTATATATATATATATATATATATATATATATAAAGATGACTTACATGTACCTCTTAACATTTGCACATAAACATATATATTTGCTGACAAATTCACAGCTAAATGTTTGCATTTACTTACAAAATAGGTAATTAGTGTGTCTTAATTTTCTTATATATTGCATATATAAATACATAGCCAAGTTAATATTTATACAATGTTCTCTGTGAACTAGTAATGGGGCAAACCCACACAGAAACACATTCCTGATATGATACTTATGTGTATACATTTGGGAGCTGTGATGTAATGCACACAACACATAAGTGTGTTTTAGAGTTTTTAGCCTTTCTCTCACTCTCCATTTGTCAGCCAACATTTATCAGTGTTTCCCACATGCAATCTCAGAAGACTCTTTAACCTGCCCCTGATTCTACTTCTACTTTGCTTCTAATAGTAATAGTGGGTTGAACAGTGTCCTCAAAAATTCAGGTCACCTTGGAGCTTCAAGATGTGAACTTATTTGGAAATAGCATCTTTACAAACATAATGAGTCAGGGTAAGATGAGGTCATACTAAATGAGGGTAGATGCCTGTATCAAAACATTTCATGTGCTCCATAAATATATATACTTACTATGTACCCACAAAAAATTTTTAAAAAGTAAATAAAAAATAAATAAGAGTGGAGTCTAAATCCAATGACTTTGGACCATCTAAGAGGAGGAGAGGCACATACAGACACACAGAGGAGAAAGACATCTGAAGATGGAGGCAGAGATTAGAGTGATGCAGTTACAAGCCAGGGAACACCAAGGATTTTGGGCAGCCATCAGATGCTACAAAGAAACAAGGAAGGATTTTTCCCCAGAGCCTTCAGAGGGAGCATGGCACTGCCAACACAGTGATATCAGATTTCTTGCCTCCAGAACTGAGAGAATAAATTTCTGTTGTTTAAAGTCACCAAATTAAATAGTAATTTGTTACAACAACACTAGAATACTAATGCACCAACTTTATAGAAATTATATTTAAGGCAGGGTGTGGTGGCTCATGTCTGTAATCCTAGCACTTTGAGAGGCTGAGGTGGGCAGATTGCTTGAGCCCAGGAGTTTGAGAACAGCCAGGGCTACATGGCAAAACCTTATCTCTACTAAAAATACAAAAAAAAAAAAAAAAAATAGCTGGGTGTCGTGGCACAGGCCTGTAGTCCCAGCTACTTGGGAGGCTGTGGTGTGAGGATTACCTGAGCTTGGGAAGTTGAGGCTGCAGTGAGCCAGGATTGCACCACTGCACTCCCGCCTGGGCAATCAGAGTGAGATCCTGTCTAAAAAAAAAAAAAAAAAAAAAAAAAACTCCCAGCACAGTGGCTCACACCTATAATCCCAGCACTTTGAGAGGCTGAGGTGGGCAGATCACCTAGGTCAGGAGTTGGAGACCAGCCTGGCCAACATGGTTAAACCCCGTCTCTACTAAAAATACAAACGAAATAGCTGGGCATGGTGGTGGGCACCTGTAATCCTAGCTACCTGGGAGGCTGAGGCAGAAGAATCGCTTGAACACAGGAGGTGGAGGTTGCAGTGAGCTGAGATTGTGCCATTGCACACCAGCCTGGGCAACAAGAGTGAAATACCATCTCAAAAAAAAAATTGTATTTAAACAGTTCATTAAAATGCAGGTGGGTTCTTCTTTCTCTAAATGTAGGTTAAATGTACCTAAATTTAAATATAGGTTAAAGAATCTTGGCTAGGAGAAAGTGAAAAAAAAAAGCTAGGAAAATATCCTCTCTAGGTGGTTTTGAAGATATTTCAGGAGCCCAAAAACCTCTAGGTGTTTATTCTGGGCTACAAGTCAGAAGCAAAAGTCTGGAATGGTTAAGTTGTCAAGAGAACAAGGGAGACCTGGAAATCAAGGATCCCTGTCTTGCCTGGTAATAACAACTTGCCCGGGAGATCTTTTAAATTCTAGGGGAAAATAAATGTGTTATTCCACCTGAGAATCTCATTACTTGAACCAAATACAGGTGATAATCCAAGGTCAGTGCCACAACAGGGAAAGTAGATTGTTCTCAGTCGGAGTCTCCAAGCATCATGCATCACACATGAGTCAAAGGTTCATGGTCTCACTCTCTTGAATTGTGTTTATCAGCAACAGCAGATTAGATTATAAAAGTTAGTGGTGTGCTTTTAGTAACTGCAAAGTAAAGGTCACTTCAAAATTGATGTATTTGGAACAAGCTGTGCTCTACATTCTGTTCTTTGTACCTCACTGCTTATTATTAGAAACTTACAAAGGGGAGTATCAGAGTAGCAAAAAAAAAAGGTCATTCCTATCGAATTCAGATATAGTTTGATTCATTTCTATAAAAATAACTAATGCTTCTGAAATTCTTCAGTTGGCTTTTGATGATTCACAGAACTACAGTGCAGCATGAGAACAAGTCTGTTAAATGTATTCCCCAGACTTTGAGCAGAAAAAAAAAACTGAGGAAGGTGCCTATTTTTCAAATGATATAACATATGCAAAGTACCAGGAATATAGCGTAAGTACTCACTAAAAATTAGCTCCCGTCACAGTTACCCAAAGCCTTCCTCCTTCTCCTCTTCCTCCAACTCCTTTGCAACCACCTCCTCCTCCTATAGTGTAACAATCAGAGATAGATTGCCTTGGCAATTCCAGAGTGTCCACAAGCCACATATTCAAAAATAAATTTCTAAATTCTTCTCCATTTCCCATTGTCCTGTGCTTAGTAGTACTAATTCTAACAACTAGGATACATAACATCATATACTTTAATGCAATTGAGTGTTTTCTCACTTTTTTTGTACAGAATATTAAAAATTCAGTTCTTTAGAATGTATTCATGAGCTTATTCTTTTATGGTTTTTCTTGTTTACCTGGTAAGGTCTGAATGTTGCTGTTTTCCAAAATTTTATATGGTGAAATCCTAATCTTCAAGGTAATGGTATTAGCAAGTGGGTCCTTTTGGAAGGTGATGAAGTCATGAGGGCCTACTTCTAATTAATGAGATTAGTGCCCTAGAAAAGAGACCCCAGAAAGCTACCTTGCCCCTTCCACCATGTGAGGACACAGCAAGAAGTCACCATCTATGAACCAAAAAACAGGCTCTTACCAGACACCATATCTGCTGGCACTTTTATCTTGGATTTCCCAGCCTCCAAAACTATGATAAATACATTTCTGTTATTTATAAGCCACCCAGTCTATGGTACTTTGTTATAGCAGCCTGAATGGACTAAGACATTTCTATTAGAGGCTTTTAAATTTTTTTCTATTTTATATGAGTGCTTAAAAAGAAAAAAAAACCTACATTATGGAATATGTCCATGTCAAAGGGATATGGGAACTAACTAAAGGAGCTGCCAGTGACCATAACCAGAACAATTTGAACAACAAAATTAATAAACTAGTATTGTATTACAGCCCCATAAAATAAATATTCATGAGTTTATACTAACATAAATAAACAATTGGATAAATAAATAAATAAGAAGAGACAAATCTTCCCTGTAGAAGTACTTCAAATAATGTATCGAGAATCTGTGCACACAAGGCGGTGGAGCATAGCTCCTCATTCCTGAGATGTAGACTGCACATAGTGGCATCCTTGCAAAGAATACATTACAGAAAGGGTTGGGGGGATAGTAACCTTACAGTGGAGAAGCCTGAGAAATGCTATCTAGCCAGATGATCAAGGTTAATATCAACATTGACAAGCCATGTTGATAGTATGTACCCTTGATATGATGTGATAAGAATGGCACTTTATTTCCTTTCAAATACAAATAATCCCAGTTGAAGCATGTGAAAAAGATTAGTTGCATGCCTGCTGAAGCATATCCTACAAAACACCTAGCACTTCTCAAAACCAACAAGGTCATCAAAAGCAAGGAAAGTCTGAAGAACTGTCAATAGCCTAGAGTAGCCTAAAGAGACATCATGACTAAATGTAATGTGTTATCTTGGATGGAGTCCCAGAAAAGAAAAAAAGGGATATTAGTTGAAAACCAAGAAAATCTGAATATGGACTTCACTTAATAATAATATGTAATTCTCACTAATTTTTACAAATGTACTGTATTAATGTTAGATACTAATAATAGAGGAAGCTGGATAGAGGGTAATGGGAACTCTGTACTATATTTGCAATTTTTTTGTAAATCTAAAACTATTCTAAAGTAAAAATTTTATTTAAAAAAATACACATAGATGTACTCTTGGTTTTCTAAATATAGTTAGCTAGCTTTCTCAGGGAGCTCAACCAACTAAGCACTGAATTAAACCTCAAAAAAATCCTTATGAGGTAGGTACTATAATTATGGCATTTTTAGAGATAAGATAACAGACTGAAATAGTTTAAACAGATTTACCAAAGATCTACCCAAAAGTGGCAGAGCTGGAATTGAAATACAGAGAGCCATGTTCTGGAACCTATACTCTTAATCACTATCTTGTACTATCTCATAATGTGACAATATTCATAGAAAATACAAAACAATCTACACATCTATTTTTTAAATTAATAAATTATTTTGGGAAAGTTATTGCTTACAAGGTCAAGAGAGAAAAATCTGTTATACAAGATGTCCAATTAGAAGTAGCTGCAGTATGTGACACTCACAGAGAGAAATGAAAGAGGAAAGCAAATACAGCACCTTCACCTGAAATATCCAGGTACTCACATTGGGATTGATCAGGGAAACAATTCGACCCACGGAGAATAAAGAAAAGCAGGGCAGGGAGATGGCCCACCTGGGAGTGACACAGAGCCAAGGCAACCTCCATTCCCAGCCAAGGGAAGTGGTGAGTGAATGTGCAATCCCAGGATACCATACTTTTCCCATAGATCTTTGCAACCTTCAGATCAGGAGATCCCCTTGTGAGCCCGTGCCACCAGGCCTTGGGTCAGACACACAGAGCTGTGTGGAGTCTCAGCAGATCAGCTGCTCAGACATGTACAAAGATCCAGGAGCTTTATATACTTCAGCCCCAGGATTCCCAGCAAAGGTGACTACAACACAGGAAAGGCAGGAGATCCATACATACCCCTAGGAAGGGGACAGAATCCAAGGGCCAAGCAACATCAGTCTGAGGGCCCTACTTCCACAGCACCTCACAAGATAAGACCCACTGGCTTGGAATTCCAGCCAGCCACTGGCATCAAAGTGGAGCCTACATGACAGGACAGATTCCCCAGTGGGGAGGGACAGGCTGCCATCCTTGCTGTTTGGTCAACTCAGCTGTTCCAGCCTACAGGCTTTGCAGAGTCCAAACAGTCCAGTCAAGGAAGAGTTTCCCTAGTGCAACACAGCTGCTTTGCCAGAATGTGGCCAGACAGCTTTTTTAAGTGGGACCCCTATCCATTCCTCCTCACTGAGTGGGACCTCCCAGCTGAGGCCTCTAATGACCCCTGCCCACCCATATTCTATGGACAGAATTCTAATTTCTCCCTGGGACAGAGTGCCTGGTGGGAGCGGCAGACCATCATCTTTGCTGTTTGGGTGACTCAGTGGTCCAGCCTGCCAGCTTTGGAGAGTCCAAGCTAACTAGGGCAGAGCTGGTTCCCCAGCACAGCATGGCTGTTTTGTCCAAGCATGGACAGATGGTTTCTTTAAACAGGACCTGGATCCATTCCTCCTCACTTGGAGGGTCCTCCCAGCTGCAGCCTCTGGCCACCTCCACCTGTGTTTTATAGCCAACAGAGCTCTAATTCATCCCTGTGATACAGCATGTGGAGGGGTGGGGCAGGCCACCACCTTTGCTGTTTGGGCATCTCAGCCAATCCAGCATACAGGTCTTGGAGAGCCCAAACCAATAGGGGGCTGAAGGGATCCCCAGTACAGCACAGCTTCTCTACCAAAACTCAGCCAGATTGCTTCTTTTAGCAGATCCATGATCCTGTTCTTCCTGACTGAGTGAGACCTCCCAACTGGGCTCTCTGTCACCATTTATAGGAGCATTCGGGCTGGCAACAGGTCAATACCCACCTGGGACAGGGCTTCCAGAGAAAGCAGCAGGCTGCCATCTTTGCTGTTTCACAGTCTTCACTGGGGATATATCCAGGTACTGGAAAAGCCAAAACAAGTAGGGTCTGGAGTGGACCCCCAGTAAACTGCAGCAGCCCTATGGATGAGTGGCCAGAGTGTTAAAAGAAAAACAAACAAACAAAAACAACAAAAAAAGCAAAATCTCCATCCAAAGGCTGGCAACCTTAAAGACGAAAGGTAGATAACCCCACAAAAACAAGAAAAAAGCAGTGCAAAAATGCTGAAAACTCAAAAAGCCACAGTGCCTCCTGTCCTTCGTATGACCTCAACACCTCTCCAGCAAGAGTACTGAACTGGGCTGAGGCTGAGATGGCTGAAAAGATAGAAGTAGGCTTCAGAATGCGGAAAAAAAAAAAAGAACTTTGCAGAGCTAAAGGAGCATGTTGTAACCCAATTCAAAGAAGTTAAAAATCATGATAAAAAAATGCAGGAACTTACATACAAAATAGCCACTAGAGAGAGGGATATAACCAATCTGACAGAGCTGAAAAACACACTACAAGAACTTCATAATGAAATCATGAATATTAATAGTAGAATAGACCAAGCAGAGGAAAGAATCTCAGAGCTAGAAGATTTTCTGAAATAAGACAGGCAGAAAAGAATAGGGAAAAAAGAATGAAAGAGAAATATGGGATTCTGTAGAGACTGAAACTATGACTGATTGGGGTACCTGAAAGAGATGGAGAGAATGGAACCAAGTTGGAAAACATACTTCAGGATATCAACCAGGAGAGCTTCCCCAACCTAGCTAGGTAGACCAACAATCAAACTTGGGAAATCCAGAGAACCCCAGTAAGATATGCCATGAAAAGACCATCCCCAAGACACATAATCATCAGATTCTCCATGGTCGAAATGAAAGAAAAAATGTTAAGGGCAACCAGAGAGAAAGACGAGGTCACTTACAAAGGGAAGCCCATCAGACTAACAGCGGACCTCTCAGTGGAAATTCTACAAGCCAGAAGAGATTGGGGGCTAATATTCAATCTTCTCAAAAAAAAAAAAAAAAAAAAAAGAATTTCCAACCCGGAATTTCATATCTGACCAAACTAAGTTTCATAAGTAAAGGAGAAATAAGATCCTTTTCAGACAAGCAAATGCTGAGGGTATCTGTTATCACCAGACCTGCCTTTCAAGAGCCCCTGAAGGAAGCACTGAATATGGAAAGGAAAAATCATTACCAGCCACTACAAAAACACACTGAAGTACACAGACTAGTGACACTATGAAGCAACCATATAAACAAGTCTGCAAAATAACCAGTGAGCATCATGATGACAGGATCAAATCCACACATAACAATACTAATCTTAAATGTAAATGTGCTAAATGCCCCAATTAAAAGACCCAGAATGGCAAGCTGGAGAAAGAACCAAGGCTCATGGTATGCTGTCTTCAAGAGACCCATCTCACATGCAAAGACACACATAGGCTCAAAATAAAGTGATGGAGAAAAATTACCAAGCAAATAGAATACATAAAAAAGCAGGGGTTGCAATCTTAGTTTCTAGCAAAACACACTTTAAACCAACAAAGATGAAAAAGGACAAATAAGGGCATTACATAATGGTAAAGGGTTCCATTCAACAAGAAGAGCTAATTATCCTAAATATATATGAACCCAATGTAGGAGCACCCAGTTTTGTAGAGCAAGTTCTTAGAGACCTTCAAGGAGACTTAGACTCCCACACTATAATAGTGGGAGAATTTAACACCTCACTGACAATATTAGACAGATCTTAAAAACAGAAAATAAACAAAAATATTCAGGACCTGAACTCGGCTCTGGATTAAGTGGACCTGGTAGATATCTGCAGAACTCTCCGCTCAAAAACAATAAAATATACATTTTTCTTATTGCCACACAGCACTTACTCCAAAATTAATCACGTAATTGGAAGGAAAACACTCCTCAGCAAATGCAAAAGAACTTAAATCATGCAGTCTCTCAGACTACAATGCAATCAAATTAGAACTCAAGATTAGGAAATTCACTCAAAAGCATACAATTACATGGAAATTGAACAACGTACTTCTGAATTACTTTCGGGTAAACAATAAAATTAAGGCAGAAATCAAGAAATACTTTGAAACTGATGAGAACAAAGAGACAACATACTGGAATCTCTGGGATGCAGCTAAAGCAGTGTCTTAAGAGAGAAATTTATGGCCCGGTGCAGTGGCTTACACCTGTAATCCCAGCACTTTGGGAGGCCAAGGCAGACGGATCACGAGGTCAGGCAATCAAGACCATCCTGGCTAACATGGTGAAACCCCATCTCTACTAAAAATACAAAAAAATTAGCCAGGTGTGGTGGCGGTCACCTGTAGTCCCAGCTACTCGGAAGGCTGAGTCAGGAGAATGGAGTGAATCAGGGAGGCGGAGCTTGTAGTGAGCTGAGATCATGCCACTGCACTCCAGCCTGGGCAACAGACTGAGACTCTGTCTCAAAAAAACAAAGAGGGAAATTTATAGCACTAAATGCCACATCAAAAAGCTAGAAAGATCTCAAGTTAACAACATAACATCATAACAAAAAACTAGACAACCAAGAGCAAACACTCCCCAATGCTTGCAGAAGACAAGAAATAACCAAGATCAGAGCTAAACTGAAGGACATAGAGACATGAAAAACCCTCCAAAAAATTAATGAATCCAAGGCTGGTTTTTTGAAAAAATTAATAAAATAGACCACTAGCTAGAATAATAAAAAGAAAAGAGATAAGATTCAAATAAATACAATCAGAAATGATAAGGTGGATATTACCACTGATCCCACAGAAATATAAACAACCATCATAGAATATTATCTCTGCACATAAACTAGAAAATCTAAAAAAATGGATAAATTCCTAGACACATACACCCTCCCAGGACTGAACCAGGAAGAAATTGAATCCCTAAATAGACCAATAACAAGTTCTGAAAATTGAGGCAGTAATAAATAGCCTATCAATCAGAAAAAAAAAAAAAAAAAACCCAGGAGCAGATAGATTCACAGCTGTACTCCACCAGAGGTACAAAGAAGAGCTGGTAGCATTCCTACTGAAACTATTCCAAATAATTGAATAGGAGGGATTCCTCCCTCATTCATTCTATGAGGCCAGCATCACCCTGGTACCAAAAGCTGGCAGAGATACAACAAAGAAAGAAAACTTCGGGCCAATAGCCTTGAGGAACATTGATGCAAAAATCCTCAACAACATACTGGTAAACTGAATCCAGCAGCACATCAAAAAGCTTATCCACCACAGTTAAATAGGCTTCATTCCCACGATGCAAGGTTGGTTCAACATACGCAAATCAATAAATGTGATTCATCACATAAACAGAAATAAAGATAAAAACCACATGATTGTCTCAATAAATGCAGAAAGGCCTTCAATAAAATGCAACATCCCTTCATGTTAAAAACTTTCAATAAACTAAATATTGAAGGAACATACCTCAAAATAATGAGAGACATATATGACAAACCTAAAGCCAATATCATACCGTAGAGACAAAAGCTGGAAGCATTCCCATTGAAATCCAGCACAAGACAAGGTTGCCTTCTTTCACCAATCCTATTCAATAGAGTATTGGAAGTTCCTGCCAGGGCAATCAGGCAAGAGAAAGAAATAAAGGGTATTCAAATAGAAAGAGAGGAAGTCAAATCAGTTGGCATGTTCCTATATCTAGAAAACTCCATCACTGTGTTTCAGCCCAAAAGCTTCTTAAGCTGACAAGCAGCTTCAAAAAACTTTCAGGGTACGACATCAATGTGCAAAAATCACTAGCATTCTAATATACCAACAACAGTCAAGCCAAGAGCCAAATCAGGAATACAATCCCATTCACAATTGGCACAAAAAGAATAATCCTACACAAAAAGAACAAAGCTGGAGGCATCATGCCAACTGACTTAAATCTATACTATAGGGCTACAGTAAACAAAACAGCATGGTACTGGTATAGGAACAGACACATAGGCCAATGGAACAGGATAGAGAACCCAGAAATAATAGTGCACACCTACAACTATCTGATCTTCAAAAAGACTGACAAAAACAAGCATTGGAAAAAGGTTTCTCTATTTAATAAATAATGCTGGTAAAACTTTCTAGCAATATGAGGAAAATTGAAACTGGACCTCTTCTTTATACCATATACAAAAATCAGGTCAAGATGGATTAAAGGCTTAAAGGGAAAACCCAAAGCTGTAAAAACCCTAGAAGAAAACCTAGATAATATCATTCAGGACACAGTCACAGGCAAAGATTTCATGACAAAGACACCAAAAGCAATTGCAACAAAGGCAAAAATTGACAAAAATTGATTAAACTAAAGAGTTTCTGCACAGCAAAAGAAACTATCAACAGAGTAAACAGAGAACTTACAGAGTCAGAGAAAAAATTTTCCAACTTTGCGTCTGACAAAAGTTAATATCCAGCATCTATAAGGAACTTAACAAGTTTACAAGAAAAAAAAAATTAAAAAGTGGGCAAAGGACATGAACAGACATTTCTCAAATACATACATACATATATATATAATATATATACATATATATATTATATATGTACATATATAATATACATATATATGTATATATACACATATATATGTATATATATATATACAACCAAGAAACATGAAAAAAATCTCAATATAACCGACCATTAGAGAAATGAAAATCAAAAACACAATGAAATACCTCACATAAGTCAGAATGGCTATTATTAACAAATCGAAAAACAACAGATGCTGGTGAGGTTGTGGATAAAAGGGAATGCTTTTACAATGTTAGTGGGAGGGTAAATTAGTTCAATCATTGTGCAAGACAGTGTGGCAATTCTTCAAAGATCTAGAGACAGAAATATTATTTGACACAGCAATGTCATTACTGGGTATATACCCAAAGGAATATAAATCATTTTATATACCCATAAATTTTTTATTTTACACCCAAATTAAAAAGACACATGTACATGTATGTTCATTACAGCACTATTCACAATAGCAAGAACATGGAATAAACCTAATGCCCATCAATGAGAGACTGGATAAAATGTGGTACATATACACCATGGAATACTATGCAGCAATAAAAAGAAACTAGATCATGCTGTTTGCAGGGATATGGATAGAGGTGGAGGCCATTATCCTTAGCAAACTAACACAGGAACAGAAAACCAAATACTGCATGTTTTCACGTATAAGTGGGATCTAAATGATGAAAACCCATGGACACATGTAGGGGAACAACACACACTGGGGCCTGTCAGAGGGTGGTGGGTGGGAGGAGGGACAGGATCATAAGAATAGCTAACGGATGCTGGGCCTAATATCTAGCTGATGGGATGATTGGTGCAGCAAACAACCATGGCACACATTTACCTATGTATCAAACCCGCACATCCTGCACATGTACCCCTGAACTTAAAAGTTGGAAATTAAACAAATAAAATAAAATACAGATGAACAAAAAATAATCGATTATATTTCTGAAAGTTCCCATAACAATTGACTAGAAAATAAAAATGTTAAAGGACATACTATTTACCGTGGCATCAAAATTATGTAATATAGTAAATCTAGACCAGATGTATAAGGTTTCTACATTGAAAACAATAAAACATTATTGAAAGAAACTAATAAATACTTATATAAATGTAGGGGTATAACGTTTATTTTGGAAAGACTTGATATTATGAAGAAATAAATCCTTCAATTCTTCTAAAACTTCTCAAAAGGTCATTAAAGTTACAACAGGATGTGTGGGTGTGGAGTGTGGTAGTGTGTGTCTATCTTTACAAATTATCTTAAAATTTAAATTGAATGTAACAGACTCAGAATAGTCAAAATACTATTCAGACAGACAAAGACAAAAGAATTATCACTAAAACAACTGGAAAAAATATTGGAAAAAATTAAATGTACTCGTGTCACATCATAAATAAATATCAAAACTAAGTATAATATAGGTGTAAATGTAAAAGACAAAACTAGAAATTTTCAGAATGTATTATAAGAGAATATCTTTATGACCTTGGAGTAGGATAAAGCTTTTTAAACAAAACACAAAAAACACTAAACCAGAAAAATTTTTTAATTGGACTACATGAAAATTAAAAACTTATAGCCTTCAAAAGATATAATCAAGGGAGATAAAGGCAAGCCAATGTACGGAAGAAAATATCACACACATATATGAATATATAAAGAATTCTACAAATCAAAAATAAAAAGCTAGCCAAAATAAGCAAGACAGTTAAACAGTTACTTCATAAAAAGGACAGTCCTAATGGCAAATAAATACATGAAAATATTTTAATCTTAGAAGTAATCAGAGAACTGAAATGAAAATCCCAAAGAAATACCACTAGAAACCCATTAATGACTAAAATTGAGACTGAAACATTTTAACAGGGATATAGATTAACAGAAACTATCACACAATGCTGGTGCAATTATAAACTGGGACAACCATTTTGAGAAGAGTTTGGAGTAAACTACTAATATTGAAAATACGCACATGCTATAATAGAAATTCCACTCCCATCTATATAACCAAGAAAGATGTGGACACGTGCAGCAAAAGATGTACACAAAACTGCATATTATTTACAAACATTTCAAACTGGAGAAAGCCCAAATGTCTACCAACATTAAAAAAGAGGAAGATCAAGAGAAGTTGCTAAATGGGTACAAACGAGCCATCCAATTGAAGAAATAAGAACTAGCGTTAGATAGATCAGTAGAGTTAATATAATTTGCAGTCATCTATTATACATTACAAAGTAGCCTTTTGAATTTGAATACAATTTTGAAATAGAATTCAAATGGTTCTGGTATAAAGAAAAGTCAAACATTTAAGGTAATGGATATCCCAAGTACACAGATTTGATCTTTACCAACTATATGAATGTATTAAATTATCACATATATCCCAAAATTATGTACATCTATTATGCATCAATTAAAAAAATAAAACAAAATGGATAACAATTTGTGCAATAATAAAACAATAGAATACTATGAATCAATGAAGGTGAACAAACTGCTACAAGCAACAACATGGATGAGTCTCACTAAACATAAACATTGATCAAAAGAAGCAGATAAAATGAATCATTTACTGTATGATTTGATTTATATGAAGTTTGACAACAGATGAAACTATAGTGTAATGATTAGAGATCTGTGCTTCAGTGAAAAAACTGCAAAGAAAAAAGCATATATTATAAAAGTCAGAAGCATGTTTACTTTGGAGGCTGGGGTGGTGAATCAGTGTTTGGACATGATCAGTACTGGACATGAGGGGGAATTTTGTGGTGGTGGCATGTTTTATTTCTTGACCTACATGGTGATTTTATGGTTGTTCATTTTGCACTTTACAATTCATTGGGTTATAATTTTTTGTACACTCCTAAACAGAATATATTTTAAAAATGAAAATATAAATTACTTTATTTTACATTTAAATATATATTATTTTATATATTTCATGCATATAAATCTTAGTATAAATAATTATACTATATGTTATATAATTATGCACATTGTGCCTTATTATAAAACTTTTACATATATAAAATAATCTTTATTTAAATGTAAAACAAATTAATTTTACATTTTTATTATAAAACAAGGCACATTTTATAATAAGGCATTTTCTCATGTTTAACTGTCACAGACTACAGAACAAGAGACCCTTGGGATCCCATTCCCAGATATACCTAACTTGCAAAATACCTAACCAAAATGAAAGTGAAACAATTTTATTCTAGAAAAAAGATATATTTACCAAGGATGATTGGAACGTCTTCTTTAATTACAAATTACTCATGATTTCCAAGAAAGTCTTTCTGCAGAAGGCAAGACTATAATCACTCTCAGAGCTATACAGTGTCCCCATTGTGCTGTTAGACAGGATGGTAATTAACATGGTCACAACTATAACTGTCAAGCACGAAAGCAATGCTGAGTGTATTTCTGATCCAGCTGCTATCAGCATGGGGTACAAAGATTGAAAATATTGCTAAGAAATCAGTCTCCTTCATCAAAATTGAGCTGGCTTTGAGCAGTAGTTCAGAAGCTTTCTGAGAACAAACACCAGTACAACTAATTGCTACCAAGAAAATTAATATAGAGGGCTCTATTCTGTATTTCACCTGTGGTTTATGTGCAGGTGTTCTAAATGCTTGCCAAGAAAGTAATATAAGTTGTCTCAGGAAACAAAAAAGAGGTGAACAGCATCTCTCTGAGTACACAAAAGAAATGTATCAATTGTCAAAACTAGTTACAGTCAAGATCAGCTTGTTATATTTTGTTATATAAAGCCTTTCATTTCTAGAAATTAATAGTGAATATTATTGGCACACTAAGCGAGCAGTGAGGGGTCATTGGTATGAGAGAAGGAATCAGAGGCCAGTGTTCTCCAGCAGAATTGAGTATAGAGTAAGACGACTATCCAAGAAATGGACTGCACAGGTTATGTCCCGTAGTGACTGCCTCTAGGGTACATACACAGGGCCACAAACAAAAGTTTTTATTTTTTTTCAGAGTCCCTTTCTACAAAATAATTTGATTAAAAATACACTACAAAAATCCATGAGTCTGTGAAAGATATAGCAAGTAGAAGTGAACAGGGGAAGAAGTTTAACTGCAATGCAGACCTAACAAAGTCTTGGCCAACCTGGTGAACACCTCTAAAGGGAATACTACCTGTCAGGGTATTTGATGTCAGGCTAAAATGGACAGGCCTTAGATATCTAACCCTCAGTCATCAGTTGTGGGCTTCCAAAGGAATGTTGTGACTTGGAGTGAAACAGCTTTGGGCAACTAAGGCAAATCCTGAAGAAGCTGAGGTCTGGAGGCTGCTTCTACTGACTTTTCCATAAACATTAGAGTGACAGCCTCTCCAGGATTGCTGCAGGCCTCTTTTTCTGAAGGAAAATGGAAGAGGGAGGGAGTGAAAGTTAACCTTAGGAAGGCAATTGATTCTCGTCGTCTTTCTTCTCCACTATCCATTCTAGAATTCCCTCACCATCAGCTACCAACTCTGCTGACCTTGGAAGCTTACCTGATGGTATGAAGCAAACACTCGTCTCTGAAATCCCTGAACCATGATCACTGTGCTTTTCTCCAGCTGAGATTTCTATTGCTGTCCATTTATAGTCACAATAAAGCAAGAAAGAACCAAGAGACATTGTCTTAGTCCAGTCTACTATAACAAAAATAGCATAGATTGTGTAGCATAAGCAACATACTCATTTCTAACAGTTCTGGTGGCTGGGAAGTCCAAGATAAAAGTGCCAGAAAACCTTGTGTCTGGTGAGGGCCCAATTATTGGTTCACAGACAGCTAACTTCTTATTATATTCTCACATGGCTGAGAGCAGAGAGAAAGGATGTAAGCTCTCTTCTGCCTGTTCTTATAAGTGTACTTATCCCAGCATGAGGGTTCTGTCTTGATGACCTAATTACCTCCCAAAGGCCCCATGTTCAAATGCCCTCACATTGAGTATTAGGGTTTCAATATATGAATTTTGGGTTGACACAAGTAGACCATAGGAGGAACTCAAGTAGATTACCTGATTTTATTTATATTCCTCTCTGTATTGTGAAACAGCAATCTGAACAGATGATAACCTTATTTTTGCCTGCTGGTTCCCAGAGAAACAGAGCTCAAACTGCCCAGGCAGCAGTGATAGCTTATGATTCAATGGAACTATTTTTGTACCACTGGTGAAAATGTTCCCCCTTTGGTAATCAGGACTTGTAGCTATGCAGAACTCAGAGTTGTAAGGAGAAGATACGCAAATTCTTCATCAGTCCCTGAAATTAATGGTATGAGGTACCATTCCTCTTCCTATACCTTGGTTTCTGAACTCATGCATTCCTTCCATAGAAGGCATGCACTACATACAGGTCTTTATGTAAATGTGTACAATGCAACCTAGACTATAGTGCCTTTTCTTGCAGAATATTGCTGCCAAGTTAGCACACCAGCTGTTGAGGTCCCTATGAGCAGCTGTTGAGGTCCCTGAGGTCCCATTGAAACAGGCTGTTTCAATGCTCTCTCAGGCCAGCAACTTGGAGTGACATGGCATGTAATATTAGCAATAGCTCTCACAGTAATGGGCCCATTTCCACAACCCCTTTGCTGTAAAATAGTTTATCTGGTCTGACACAATTTTATGTGGTACCACAAGCCAATGAATTAAATACTCTCTAAGTCTCTGGACAATGTGCTGATCAAAATTCTATTGACAAAAAAAGAAAACCAATAATCAACATGTCTGTGTAAAAAAACACTGGCTATTCTGGAACAGAGGGTCCTGATATAATCAACTTTCTATCAAGTGGCAGGTTGGTCTCCTGAAGAAATGGTTCTTATTGGGGTTTCAGAATTAGTCTGTTGCTAGTAGGTAGGAAATTCAAAGGCTAAGCTTGATCACGTGTTGTAAGTGGGAGTTCACAGTTTTGGGCCTAGGCACAGTTCCTATATCACTATGAAATGGACACTGTGGCCACTTCATCTATGAGCCTATTTTGCCAACATTGGAGTAGTTGTTGAAAGAGTCTGGCTAATGACAATTGGCTAGGCCATTTTGTGTACTTGGTTGTTTAGTGCCTCCTCAATTGTTGATATTCGCTGGTGGTTATTATGTGAAATACAAAGATCCTCAAACTTCATTCACTCCCATATGTTCAACCACATACATTTATCCCACATCTTCTTGTCCATGATCTTCCAATCTTTTTCCATGAATGTGTGTGTGCATTCTAACCTTGGGTCACTTCTCTTTTCATACTAAGTCAAGGCCTGGATACATCACAATCACTCTCTCCATTGGAAAGATTTTTTCTGTACCACAGTTTTTCAAGGCATCCTTGAGTAAGGTTATAGCATAGCTGGTATCCATATTTGGCCTATACTTACATACCAAGCTGACCCATCTGGAAGCCAAACTCAGAAATTTTTCATTTTTTTAAATTTTAGTCCTACAGTATGTCATACAGCCATAGAAATGAGCTGAGAAAGAAATGCTTGTACTATTACTTGTGGGAGCCATAGGGACCTCAACTACCTGTTTATGCAAATTTCTTGTGTCCTCTGAACCTGTTTGTGCTCAATCCTGGATATCACACTTTCATCTTATAATAGGGTTACTGTTGGTATTATCTGACTATGGCTTAGTAACACTTACAGGACCTAGCTCATGATAGTTCTGTCCACATGGTCACTTGCAGTCCCATGGTCAGGCCTGGTAGCTTGTCAAGAGTTATTTTTCAAAAGACATAATATTCCCTGGTTTTATGGCATTTCTCCATTACCCCAGGAACCTCTCTTGTGCTTCACACAAAATCAACATGGTCCCATTTCCTATCACTGATACTTCCAACATGTAGGTTCCAACAGATTGCATAGTTCAAAAAGAAATACTGCTTATATCACAGCCTCAGTCTGCTCAGAGCTCTTTCCTGCTCCATCCATACTCAAAGATAGCAACTTTTAAAATTTGTTTTGTCACTCAGCATCCAGGCAAAGCAGTATCCCTAGGTGTTAAATAAGCTGTCTCCAGAGCATAAAGTAGCCCACAAAGCACTGTGCTTTCTTAGTCATGGCAGAATAAGAAGCAATATGTAATAATTTAACTTTGACTTTGGACAAGGATGTACTGGCAGCCTCTGGCCACTGAACCTCTAAAATTTTACTCAAGTGGTCAGCCCCCAAATCTTTTAGGGTTTATTTCCTACTCTCTGGAGCAAATTTGTCTTACTGAGCCTGCAGCAAGACTAGCCATCTCTTGCTCATCCAGCCAGATCTACATATTATTGATGCAATGAATCAATGTAATAGTCTTCAGGATATAAAAAATGGTCCATATCTCTTTAGACTACATTGTGAAAAGAGAATTAACATAGTCCTGGAGAATAACTATATACCTGAGGCCATATTAATCATTCTAGCAAAGATACTTTCTTTGGCACGGTAGTTGTAGTTAGAGCTACTATTTACTTGAGCTTGCTGTAATGCAGAGTCATTCTACAGGATACATCTAGTTTCTGTAGTGGCCAAACTGGTAAGTTAATATTATATGTGATAAATATCACCATCCCTTCATTTTTTAGATTCTTAATAGTAACTCTATACTCTCCATCTATGCCCAGTTTTTCACTGTGCACTATTTTTTTAAATTTATTATCTTGGCTGAAGGCAGAGAGGGCATATTCAGAAGCTTTCATTAGGCCATTGCCCTGCACTCCAAGGACCAAAAATGCAATAGTGCCATCTTACAAGCATCTAAATCCCAATTATATAGTCAGGATAAATTAATATATAATTCAGGGTAAATGATTACCATGGGTTGTGAATGCACAACCTCAGTGACGTTTCCTCCCTGCAACTGAGCCTGGCCCAAAGGAACTGAATGTAGGAAATTCTTGGTTGGCTACCATCTTCAGGGTTGGGCAATAATTCCTTCGTTGAAGGGGGAATGGAGTTGCACAGCTCCTTGTCTACAACAATAGATTAAAATTCAGATGTAAAAGTAAACAGACAACTAATGAGAGGAGAATAATGTAATAGGGAAGAACAGGCTTTCAGAAATCAGCAATTTGTAGTTTCTAAGGGGAAAGAGATGATGCAATAAAAGTCCAGTTAGGAGCCAAGATAATCCAACAGATAAGAGAGTTGTATCACTACAATTGTCAGTAGCAAACAAAAGCAACACTCCACCTCCCCCTAAAATGAAATGTGATTTGTATAGATATCAGCTTCAAAGTAATTCCCCATGCTCTTTTTGCTACCTTTTTGCTGCTTTTGAACCTCACTTATAAAGTCTCTTAAGCCAAAATGGTTTGTAGACCATAATCAGAAACTTAAATTTAATTCTAAACATTAAGAAATACCAATTCAAAAGTTTTTTGTCAGAGTAGTGATATGATCTGATTTATACTTTTACTAGTTCTCTTAGGCTTCTCTATCAAGACTGTATTGTGAGGGGAAAAGAGTAATAAGTAGGCATTCCAGTTAAAAGACCATCACGCAAGAGTTCTGGAATAACAAAATAAGTCAGCTCCAACATAAGCACAAAAAACACTTGCCCAAAAAATGGTCAAAATCAACTTTTTTTACATTCTAGAAATTACCAAAGGCTTGCAACATTACAAGGAGCATTTTTTTGAAGAAAAATAGCTGAGTCTTCATAACGACAGCCAGTTTTGTGGCATGTTAATTTTCTCTATTTGCATCCCCCTTGCCACAGCTCTGCAATATCCTTCAAAATAATCAGTCTTGCAACAACAGTAGCTGTAAAACTCAACAATCTAGCAGCTACTGGAGAGGGCACTAGATCATCCCCCTAAGACTTACATACAAATATTGTTACTGTTTGGCATGTTTGGCAGCTCCCTAGAGAATTCTCATTCACAGAGCTTGTTTTTGTTTTATGTAATTCAGTATTCACTCAGTGGTATAAGCTCTATACCCAAGACATTTGTCAGAAACAATCAGTGGTAACTGTTTATCACAGCCGATTAGGGCAGCAATACCAATTGGAACAAACAAACAGAAACTAACCAAAAACTTTAGGTCTTAAAGTTCTAAATCTTTAAGGAATATGGGGAATAAAATGTTCTTAGGAAGACATACATCTAGAGATCTAGAAGGCCATGAACATGTGCAGGGCAATGTGCTTGCCCAGGAACAGTAGGAAAGGCCATAATCTCTCACCTCTGGCTGATGATGAGACTCTACAAAGCAGGATGTGAAGACTAAGGTAGAGTTGTTAATCAATGAAATCTTGAAGGCATACACTGACACACACTGTGTTACAACATAGCAACAACAACAAATATGAAAGTGAGGAATTCTGATGTCAACATTTTTCATATTATGCAATTTAAAATATCTAGTTTTCCACAAAAATATTGTGGCATACAAAGAAAGAGAAAAGTATGGCCTATGTATAAGCAAAAATACATTCACTAGAAGATATGCCTGAAGAAGCTCGGATGTTGGTTCACTAGACAGAGACTTTTAATGAGTTAGATATACATCTGTATGTGTGTACACATATATAAACATATTTTTCAAGTACTAATAAAAACCATGTCTAAAGAATTAAAGATATGTATAAGAACAATGTCATAATAAGGAAAATCAATAAAATATAGAAATTATTTAAAAAAACAAACAAAAATTCTGGAGTTGAAAAGCATAATAAAATTTTGAAATTTTATTTTGAAATGAAAATTTACTAGTGGGGCTCAACAGAAGAGTTGAGCTGGTGGAAGAAAGAAATAGCAAACTAGTATCTATTTTACTAGAAATAGAAAGATAGGTTAGTTGAGATTATCTAGTTGTATTAGTCCATTCTCACACTGCTATAAAGAAATACCTAAGACTGGGTAATTTATATAAAAAGAAGTTTAATGGGCTCATGGCCACAGGCTGTACAGGAAACATGGTGGCATCTGCTTCTGGGGAGGCCTCAGGGAGCTTTTACTCATGATGGAAGGCAAAGTGAGAGCAGGCGTCTTACATGGCAAGAGCAGGATTGAGAGAGAGGGGGGAGTGCCACACACTTTTAAACAACCAGATCTTATAAGAACTCAATGTCACAATGACATCACCAAGGGGGAATGGTGTTAAACCATAAGAAACTGCCCCCATGATCCAATTACCTCCCACCAGGCCCCACCTCCAACACTGGAGATTACAACTGAACATGAAATATGGATGGGGACACAGATCCAAACCATATCATTCCACCGCAGCCCCTCCCAAATATCATGTCCTTCTCAAATTGCAAAACAGTCATGCCTTCCCAACAGTCCCCTAAAGTCTTAACTCAAAAGTCCAAAGTCTCATCTGAAACAAGGCAAGTCCCTTCTTATCTATGAGCCTGTAAAATAAAAAAAAGGTTAGTTACCTCAAGATATGAATGAGGTACAGGAATTGGATAAATATTCCCTTTGCAAAAGGCAGAAATGTACCAAAAGCAAGGGGCTACAGGCCCCATGCAAGTCTGAAACCCAGCAGGGCAGTCATTAAATCCTAAATATCCAAAATAATATCATTTGACTTCATTTCTCACATCCCAGCCATGCTGATGCAAAGGGTGGGCTCCCAAGGTCTTAACCAGTACTAGCCCTGTGGCTTTCCAGGGTTCAGCTCCCACAGTTGCTCTCATGGGCTGTCACTGAGAGCCTGCAGCTTTTCCAGGCATGCGATGCAAGCTGTTGGTGGCTCTACCATTCCAGGGACTGGAGGATAGTGCTCTACATCTCACGGCTCCATGAGGCAGTGCCCCAGTGGGGACTCAGTGTGGGGGCTTCAATCCCACATTTCCCCTCTGCACTGCCCTAGTAGAGGTTTTCCATAAGGGCTCTGCCCCTGCAGCAGACTGCTGACTGGACAACCAGGCTTTTTCATACATCCTCTGAAATGTAGGTGGAGGCTCCCAAGCCTCAACTCTTCCATGCTGTGCACCCACAGGCTTAACAACACATGAAAGCTGCCAAGGCTTATGGCTTGCACTCTCTGAAGCAGCAGTCCAAGCTGTAACTGGATCCCTTATAGCCATGACTAGAACTGGAGTGGCTGGAATGCAGGGATCAGTGTCTTGAGGCTGCACTGGAAAGTAGGGCTCTGGGCCTCACCCAGAAAACCATTCAGTCCTCCTAGGCCTCCAGGCCTGTGATGAGAGGGGCTGCTGCAAAGGTCTCTGAAATGCCTTTGAGGCCTTTCCCTCATCCCCTTGGTTATTAACATTTGGCTCCTCTTAACTCATGCAAATTTCTGCATCCTGCTTGAATTCTTCCCCAGAAAATGGGTTTTCCTTCTATACTGCATGTCCAGGCAGAAAATTTTTCCAGCTTTTATGCTCTACTTCCCCTTTAAATATAACTTGCAGTTTTACATCATTGATTTGCTCACACATATGGGAATAGACTATTAGAAGCAGTCAGGCAACATCTTGACCACTTTTCTGCTTATAAATTTCTTCTACCAGATACCCTAACTCATCGCTGTCATGGTCAAATTTCCACGTATCCCTAGAGCAGGGGCACAATTCCTCCAAGTTCTTTGCTATAGCATAACAAAAGTGATGTCTGCTCCACTTCCCAATAAGTATCTCATCTCCATCTGAAATCTCCTCAGCCTGAAATTCATTGTCCATGTCAATACCAGCATTTTGATCACAGCAATTTAACAAGTCTCTAAGAAGTTCTAAATTTTCCCTCATCTTCTTGTCTTCTGGGCCCTCCACACTTTTCCAATTTCTGCCTGTGACCCAGTTCCAAAGTCACTTCTACATTTTCAGATATCTTTATAGCAATGTCCTACTCTTCAGTACCAATTTTCTGTATTAGTCTGTTCTCATGCAACTATAAAGAAATGCCTGAGATTGGGTAATTTATAAAGAAAAGAGGTTTAATTGGCTCAAAGTTCTGCAGGCTGTACAGGAACCATGGCAGCATCTGCTTCTGGGTAGTCCTCAAAGTGCTTTTACTCATGGTGGAAGGCAAAGTGGGAGCAGATGTTTTACATGGCAGGAGTAGGACCAAGAGAGAGAGGTAGGAGGTGCCACTCTTTTGTTTTGTTTTGTTTTGTTTTGTTTTGTTTTGTTTTGAAACAGAGTCTCACTCTGTCACCAGGCTGGAGTACAGTGGTGCAATCTCAGCTCACTGCAATCTCCACCTCTCAGGTTCATGCCATTCTCCTCCCTCAGCTGCCTGAGTAGCTGGGATTACAGGCACACACCACCAAACCCAGCTAATTTTTGTATTTTTTTTTTAGTAGAGATGGGGTTTCACCATGTTGGCCAGGATGGTCTCGATCTCTTGACCTTGTGATCTACCAGCCTTGGCCTTCCAAAGTGCCAGGAATACAGGCATAAACCACCTTGCCTGGCCAGTGCCACACACTTCTAAACAATCAGATCTCACAATAACTCATTATAGTGATGACACCACCAAGCGGGGATGGTGTTAAACTGTGAGAAACCACCCCCATGATCCAATCGCCTCCAACCAGAACTCATCTCCAACATTGGGGATTGCAATTGAATATGGGATTTCGGTGGCAACACAGATCCAAACCATATGAAACAGAAAGAAAATGAATATGGAAAAGAGCATAGCTACAGAGACATGTGAGACATGAACAAGGCTATCAACAAATGTATTATGGAAGTATCAGAAGGACAAGAGAGAGAAAGAAAAAGACAAAGAATATTTGAAGAAACAGTGTCTAAAAGCACCCCAAATTTCATGAAAAAGTGTAACCTACACATCCAAGAAGTTTAATTTAATAAACTACAAGTAGAATAAACCCAGAGACTCACACATTGACACATCATAATGAAAATGTCAAAAGGAGTGAATTATCATGTGGAAGAAATCCTCAATCAGGTAACAATAGATTTATTAAAAACTGTAAAGGCCAGAAAGTAGTGAGATGACTTATTCAAAGTACTGAAAGAAAATGAGTGTTAACTGAAAATTCTACATTCAGCAAACTTATCCTTTAAAAATAAATTTAAGTATTCCAGAAAAATAAAATAGGAGAGAGTGGAAAAGGACACTAGGCCATAACTTGAATCCTCACAAATAAATAAATAGCACCAGTAAAGGTAACTACATCGGTAAATATAAAAGACGGTATAAACGTATTTCTGTTTGAAACTCTTTTTCTCTGCTATATGACTTAAAACACAACTTCAACAAGCAATAATTGTAAAATGATGCTAATTGGCATTGGCTTATAATGTATAAGAATATAATTTGTATAAATAATAGCACAAAAAAGGAGAAAGAAATAGAAATATATGCATACAGGCATACACACATATATGTGGTTTTATATATTATTGAAATTAAGTTGGTATTAATCTGAAAAATATTGTTTCAAGTCCAGTCAACTACAAATTCCAAGACAATGTATAAACAATATTTCCTGAAATATAATCAAAGAGACAATACAAGGATGAAAGTAGTATTATTAAAAGTATCTACTTAACACAAAAGGGAGCAATAATGGAGGAATAGAGAAACAACAAAGAAAAAATAAAACTTATATAATTAGTAATCATGTTAAATGTAAATGGATAAACATTCCAATCAGAAGGCAGAGACTGGCAGAATGAATAGGAAAAAAAAGAGTCAACAGTATACTTTCTAAGAGAGATACACTTCAGTTGAAGACAAAAATAGACTGAAAGTTAAATGACAGGAAAAGGCATACTATGCAAACAGTGACCAAAAGAGAGTTAATGTGGCTATAATAATATCAGACAACACAGACTTCAAGACAAAAAATGTTGAAAAGCAGAGGACATTTTATAATTATAAAATGGCCAACGTATCAGCAAACAATTATAACTATATATATATTATATATGTATATATATTATATATATAACAGAATCCCAAAATACATGAAGCAAAAACTGACAGAATTGAAGGGAGAAATAGTCAGTTCAACAATGGTAGTTGGAGCATTCAATACCCCATTTTCAATATAGGATAGAACAACTATCCAAATAACAGAGATAAGATTTGAAAATTATCATAAGCTAATAAGACCTAACGGACATCTATAAAGCACTCCACCTGACAACCCCAGAATACTTATACTTCTCATGTGCACTCGAAACATTCCTCAGGATAAACTATATGCTAGGCTATGAAACAAGACTCAATAAATTTAAAATTATTGTAAATGGAGAGAGTGGTTTCTCCTATCTTAATGAAATGAAATTAAAAATCAATTATAGAAGGCCATTTGGAAAATTCACAAATATGTGGCAAACAACACATCCCTAACCAATGGGCCAAAAAATCACAAGGAAAATTGAAAATATTTTGAGATAAATGAAAACAAAACAACATAGTAAAATTTATGGAATGCAGCTAAAGTAGTGCTCAGTTGCTCAGTTATAGCTGTAAACACCTATGTAATAAAAGAAGAAAAATTTCAAATAAACAACCTAATGTTCCACTTTAAGAAACTAGAAACAAGAGCAAACTAAATCAATGCAATACAATGGGAGAAAATAGTATGAATTATAGTGGAAATTAATGGAATATAGAATATAAAAACAATACAGAAAATAGACAAAACCAATAATGTGTTATGTTAAAAGAAAAACAACAAAAAAGACAAACATGTAACCAGACTGAACAAGAAAAAGAGTCCCATTATTAAAATCAGTATTAAAAGAGGAATAATTTCTACCAAGTTTATGAAAATAAAAAATATTAAAATGGATTATTAAATAAATGTATATGAACAAATTAGATACCTAGATGAAATGAACAGATTTCTGTAAATTCACAAACTATAAAAACTAACCCCAAAAGGTATAAAAAATCCAAATAAACCTACAATGACCAAATAGGTTGAATTACTAATTTTTAAATATCTCAAAAGGAAAAGCACAGGAACACACAACTTCACTGGTATATCCTGCCAAATATTTTTAAATTAACACCAATATTAAACTCTTTCAAAGAGCAGAAGATGAATGAACACTTCTCAAGTCATTTTAAGGAGGCAGTGTTCAAACCAGATGAAAATATTACAAAAAGGAAACTACAAACCAGTATTTTTTGAGGAATATGTACACAAAAATTCTCAACAAAATAGTAGCAACAATTCAGCAACCTAGAAAGGGTCATGCACCATGAACAATTAGGATGTATCCCAGGAATGCAATGTTAATGTAAAACATGTTGCTATGGTTTGAATGTTTGTCCCCTCCAAAACTCATGTTGAAAGTTGTTTGCCTTGTGGCAGTGTTGAAAAATGGTACCTTTGGGAGGTAATAGGGCCATGAGCTCTTTCTTCTCTTGAGTGGGATTAATACCATTATAAAAGGGCAAGTTTGGCCCCTTATTGTTTCCTTACCTCCCACTTTGTCATGTGGGGACCCAGTATTCCTTTCTTCCAGAGGACCCAGCAAAAAGGCTTTTACCAAATGTCAGCTCTTGGATTTTGGACTTCCCAAACTCCTGAACTGTGAAAATATAAATTTCTGGGTTTTGTAAATTACCCAGTTGTGGTTTATCAGCACAAAATGGACTAAGATACATGAGAAAATAAATCCATGTCATATGCCATATTAATGAAAGAAAAAAAAAGCACATGACCATTTTAATAGAGAATTGGACAAATTCAACAACTCTTTATGATAAAAAATCTCAGCCAGAGTAGGAAGACAAAGAAACTTCCTAAATTTGATAAAGGGTGCCTATTAAACATGCTCAGCTAATATCATATTTAATGTTGAAAGTCTGAAATATTTCTTCATAAAATCAGGAACAAGCATGCCAACTCTCAACAATTTTATTAAACATTGTGCCTAAGGATGTTCCCAGGTAAATTAAGCAATAAAAAGAAATAAAAGTTAACCAGATTTGAAAGAAAGTAGTAAAACTATCTTGTTTCACAGATGACACATTCTTGTATATAAAAAATCTTAACTCCACCAAAAAACTATTAGAACTAATAAATGAGTTCAGCACATTGCAAGATACAAGTTAAATATAATAAAATCAATTGTATTTCTATATACTAGAAAAAAAGACAAAATTAATAAAGCAATACTATTTACAATAGCATCAAAAACAATAAAATAGGTGTATATTTAATAAAAGTAGGGCAAGATTTGTACATTAACAAGTATGAAATATTATTGAAAGAAATAAAAGAATAGCCAAATAAACAACCATTCCATGATCATGGATCAATACTGTTAAGCTGGCAATACTCCCCAAATTAATTTCTAGATTCAATACCATCTTTATCAAAACTCCAATGACTTTTTTGAGGGTCAGAAAAGGGAAAGTTGATCATCAAATTCATTTGGTGGCAACCAAACCAACAGCTAAACAATTTGGTGATATCTATACAATGGAGTACTACTCAGTTATAAAATATACATATATACGCACACACAATTGCCTGGGTCCATCCTTCAGACCCTGAACCAAAGACACACACTGACATAGATAGCATGCCTGATTGCTTTGCCAATCTTGCATTACTGGGCAAGCTAAGAGCTCCCCTTTTAATGCTGCATCCTTAAGACAAGGTCCCATAGCTGGAGCATGTCTCTTGTCCTTTTTCCTATTTATTGGAGGAGGGGGCTCATGTAAAATCTCCGTTTCCTCTTTGTTATTTTGGCCCGTGATATTGGGCCTGAGGGAAGAGGAGGCGGTAAGGCAGGTGACAGTTCCTCCTCCTTCCACTTTTTAGGTTCTTCTGTGTGTAATGGAACCGGAGCAGCTCTAACTAAAGCCCATAGTGTTAGAGCTGTTACTGGGACCCGTTGCCCTTGTGCATAATGTTGTTTAAGATTTCTCCTGGCTGCGTGCAGTAGCTCATGCCTGTGTTGGAGGCCAGGGTGGGCAGATCACGAGGTCAGGAGATCAAGATCATCCTGGCTAACACTGTGAAACCCTGCCTCTACTAAAAATACAAAAAATTAGCCGGGCATGGTGGTGGGCACCTGTAGTCCCAGCTACTCAGTAGGCTGAGGCAGGAGAATGGTGTGAAACCGGGAGGCGGAGCTTGCAATGAGCTGAGATGGTGCCACTGGGCACAGAGCAAGACTCCATCTCAAAAAAAAAAAAAAAAAAAAAAAAAGGTTTCTCCCTAACTTGTTCTCAGAGCTCTACGTATGGACTATGGTTTACAACAGTTTGCATTAGGTCCCTTAATTAAGACTGTGAAACTGAGGCTCCACTAGCCTTAAGCAGCTGTTTCAATATTTTTATATACTGTTTTTGTTGAGCTGATGACTGTTGTCCCATGATGAAACTTCAGCCTGAACAATCCCCCGCCAAACTTGGAAATCCTGACTGGGCATCAGTGACTTACTGACTCACTGACCTGCACAGTCCTTTTCACCTTCGTTTTTGGGGGGTCCATCATGCTCCCTTCGCAGTGCTCCTCACACAGGGCACCAGCTTTGTGGGGGGGGTGGTCCATCCCGCAGACACTGACCCAATAACAGATGAATAACGTACACTGACACAGATATTATGCTTGTCAGTCCAGCTGAGCATCCAGGCCACTTACAGACTCCAAGGAGAGTGCTGTAAAGAGTAGCAGCTGGGGCCCCGACTCACTGGCCTTCCCAGCATTTTTTCAGTATACATTACATGACAAAAGCTCTCAAGTAAACACCACTAGAGGTAATTACCATTGCCGATCCCCCCAGAGTAGAGAGCAATCATGCACCCGCGGATGGCCAAAGGTTAGTCTTAAGACCACATGATTAAACAAGCTATTTAGATAGACTCCTCTACATTCCTGTGTTAATTATCCTTGCTATAGCTCAAAGACGATTAGGCTGCCTTCAGCCATAATTTTATCTTAAGGCATTTGCAAAAACCTCAGGCCTTCCAAGAAGTTTGTATTTATTTTATAATTTTTCCCACCATCCTGACTGAACCCCTACATACAATAACATTAATAAATGGTAAAATGTTGTTATAGAAAAGAAATACATGCAAAATAAGTTATACTGAATAATTTATTTATGTAAAATTCAAGAATAGGCAAAACTAATCTAGGGCTATAAAAATAAGAATAGAAATTACTGGAAAGGTGGAGATGGAGTAGAAGTGGATGTGAGATAACCTTCCAGGCTTATTACAATATTTTATATTTCAACTAGGGTGTAGGATACCTGTCTGTGAACATTTATCAATCTGTATATATAAGATCAGTGCATTTCTCCTTCTGTAAATTATATCTCATTTTTTTAAGAAGTACAAGTCAAATTCACCCAATTATCAATTTTCTGAAAGCCAATTATTTATTTTTAGGTTGACCTTTTTCTCTGCCTCTTCCCCGAATCCAATTTTTCTATTTCATTTGCAAGTAAATGAACTTCCAACAGGCATCTCTTTTTTATGTTTTCAAACTTACGTCTTTCTGCACCTGCCCCAGAAGCTCCCAAAACAAATCAATTGTCAGTTTGTAGCAGTTGTTTCATGCCAAACTATTGAAACAGGAGTAAGGCAGAGCAAGATATGATGCCACAAGATAAGAGATGATAGCAGACTCCAATTTAAGTAAAATATAATGCATTTGCAAGTAAAACATCTTGTTAGGGAAAGAAAATTCAAGAACAGTGCAAAAGCAAAGAATGGGGTCAGGCCACTTAAGAAGAAACTAAACATTCAAAAAGTTGTTAGAAAAGAATTTTTAAAATACTTCCTCATTTGAAATAAAAATATGGCTCACAGTAACTTCTTGTCAGCTTCCATTTGAATATAGGAAAAATATCTTATTTTTAAAAATCCTCTTTTTAAAATAGATCTCATGGTAATAGTGAACAGCATCGTGGTTACCAGAGGCTGGAAGGAGTAGTGGGCAGGGGAGATGAAGAGGGGTTGGTTTTCATGGGTACAAAAATAGAGCTAAATAGCAAAAATAAGTTCCAGGGTTTGGTAGTACAATAGAGTAACTATTGTTAACAATCATTTATTGTATATTCCAAAATAGCTAGACAAGATTTAGAATATTCCCAACACAAAATAAATGATAAATTTTTGAGATTATGATATTCCAATTACCCAGACTCAGTAATTACACATTGCATATTTGTTTCAAAACATCACATGTATCCTATAAACATGCACAACTATGTATCCATAAAATTTAAAAATAAATGTTTTAAAATATGCTTTTTAAAATCTTCTGCTATGGCATTAAAAACAAACACATGGACCAATGGAACAGAATAGAGAACCCAGAAACAAATCCACACACAATGAATTCATTTTCAACAAAGTTGTCGAGAACATACTCTGTGGAAAAGACAGTCTCTTCAATAAATGGTTCTGGGAAAACTGAATGTCCATATGCAGAAGAAAGAAACTAGACCCCTCTCTCTCACAGTGCATAAAAACCAAGTCAAAATGGATTAAAGACTTAAATCTAAGACATAAAACTATGAAACCACTACAGGAAAAAATTGGGGAAAAGCTCCAGGACATTGGTCTGGGCAAAAAGTTCTTGAATAATACCCCACAAACACAGGCAACCAAAGTAAACATGGACAAATGGGCTCATACCAAGTCACAAAGCTTCTGCATAGCAAAGGAAACAATCATGAAAGTGAAGAGACAACCTACAGAATGGGAGAGAGTATTTGCAAACTACCCATCTGGACAAGGGATTAATAACCAGAATATATAAGGAGCTCAAACAACTCTACAGGAGAAAAAAATCTTGTAATCTGATCAGAACATAGGCAAAAGATTTGAATAGACATTTCTCAAAAGAAGACTTACAAATGACAAATATATGAAAAGGTGCTCAATATCATCGATCATCAGAGAAATGCAAATCAAAACTGCAATGAGATATCATCTCACTCTGGGTTAAAATGGCTTATATCCAAACTACAGGCAATAACAAATGCTAGTGAGGATGTGAAGAAAAGGGAATCCTTATACACTGTTGGTGGAAATATAAATTAGTACAACTACTGTGGAGAACAGCTTGAAGCTTTCTCACAAAAAAGTAAAAATAGATACCATATGATCCAGCAATCCCACTGCTGGATACATACCCAAAAGAAAGGAAATCAGTATATTGAAGAGATATCTGCACTCCCTTGTTTGTTGTAGCACTGGTCACAATAGCTAAGATTTAGAAGCAACCTAAGTGTCCATCAACAGATGAATAGATGTTGAAAATGTGGTACTTATACACAACTGAGTACTATTCAGCCATAAAAAAGAATGACATCCAGTCATTTGCAACAACATGGATGGAACTGGAGATCATTATGTTAAGTGAAATCAGGCAACTACAGAAAGACAAATGTCACATGTTCTCACTTATTGGTAGGATCTAAAAATCAAAACAATTGAACTCATGGACATAGAAAGTAGAAGGATCATTACTAGAGGCTAGGAAGAGTAGTGGGGGGAGGGGGAGGAGGTGGGTGTACTGAATGGGTACAAAAAAATAGAAAGAATGAACAAGGCATATTGTTTGATTGCACAAGACGGTGACTACAGTCAATAATAACTTACTTGTACATTTAAAAATAACTGAAAGAGTGTAGTTGGATTGCTTGTAACACAAAGAATTGAGGGGATGAATACCCCATTCTCCATGATGTGATTATTTCACATTGCATGCCTTTATTAAAATATCTTATATACCCCACAAATATATATACCTACTATGTACACACAAAAATTAATTTTTAAAAAAAAAACCTGCTGTATTAAAATTTTAGTAGCTTTCAGTGATTATTTTAATTCCTCTTCTGGGTTTCAGTCTCTCTATCTCTTTTTTTCAATTAATTTCATTTCCATGGTTGATGCTTTAAAAATGTCTTCAGCCTTTAAAGCATATTAAAATATATATGCTTTGCTCTGTATAACACTACACACACACACACACACACACACACACACACAAATTATATTTCACATTTTGTTCTTGTAATGAAAGTTATTGCATTTTTGCTGAGATTTGCTTTTAGATAATTGGCAAATATATATCACACTTCATTTAGATGTATATGAAATGCTACAATATTTTTTTCTTCTTTTATTTTTTCTTCTTTGGAAAAATGTTTTTAATATGTCCTTCTCTAAAGAAACATTATCTTTCAGAAAAATCACACAGACAGCTAAAAGATGTATTCCAACCCCATACCAATAATATTATTGCAACTTCACCATTTGGGATTTGCCTGGATGAATAAATGACAAAATAAATAAATAAATTTATTCTCTTGAGTTTATTTTTCAAGTGAGTAACCATATTTTACATTATAAAAGCAGCATCTTATTATAGCAAAGCCATAATGTCATTCTTTTTTTCAACTTTTTAATGACAGGATTTAAAACTCATAAACTCTAATCAAGTAATTTTTTGATGTACTTACTCTTAGTTACAAGGATGCCCTTTAATCATTTAAATGTTTTCTCTTTAAAAAAATAAATAAAGATACTTAACGGTAGCAATAAAATTTTTATAATTCTATTTTTGTTGGTGTATTGTGCACCTGAAGACACCACAGACAAAATTAAAAAGTAAACAAGGTGGGTAAAGTATTTGTAGTAAATAAAATCAACCACAATTAATATCTCTTGGAAGGATGTACTGAGTTCAGTCAACTCACAAAAAAGAAACAAAAACCAATCAATAAACATATGGGGGATATGTCCCCCTTGGAACCAAATATGCGTTAAAGTAGCACAACACTATTTTTACCTAGCAATTTGATAAAACTTAAAATGTCAATATTTATTGTTAAATAGGAAGCAATAAGTTAGCTGAAGGGAATGTAAATTGGAATAAGCTCTGTAAAGTACTTTAGCTACAGATAGCAAAGCCTTGGAATTGTTCATACTTTTTTATATAGAAGTTCCACTTCTAGTAATTTATCCAAAGGATAAATTGCACAATAAGCACAAAGTATTATCATAGCAGATCTCTGCCAAGTTTAAATTATTAGAATTAAAAATGTTTGATAACTGTATTAGTCCATTTTCACACTGCTGATAAAGACAGTGGACTTTCTTTCTGGACTGGGCAATTTACAAAATAAAGAGGTTTATTGTACTTACAGTTCCATATGGCTGGGTAGGCCTCATAATCATGGTGGAAGGCAAGGAGCACCAAGTCACATCTTATATGGATGGCAGCAGGCAAAGAAAGAGCTTGTGCAGGGAAACTCTCATTTTTAAGACTATGATCTCATGAGACCCCTTCACTGTCACGAGAACAATACAAGAAAGACTCACCCTCATGATTCAATCATCTCCCACTGGGTCCCTTCCACAACACATGGGAATTATGGGAGCTACAGGATGAGATTTGGGTGGGGACATAGAATGAAACCATATCAGTAACCAAAATGTACAAAATTTGGGCACTAAAGTAAATTTAAAAGAGCCTATATTTGATGAAATGCCATACAATGCCCCTCGAAATCACACTTCTGTAAGACTTAATGCTAGGAATAAATGCTCATAACTCAATCATAAGTGAAAAAACAAAAGCAAACTAATAAAAACAAACAACTATACACCTACCCAGTTTGACCACCTGTATGTGAAGGGGCTCTCTCTCTCCTGAAAAATTCAGGGGAAATTAAATTATCTTTAATTAAATTATCTTTAATCAGCACAGACTGACTTAGAATAGGCATATGCAAAAACCTCTGAAGGAGCAGAAGAGCATCCATGCAAGCAGCTACCAGCTCTGGAGAGGAAGCCCCCATACATTATATCACTGAGATTTGTCACTTACTTGAAAATGTTGGCTAAAATGGGCAATTAAAAAACATAGATAGAAATACGATGACATAAAAACAGATGATAGGCAACAGATTGATGAATCAATAGATAGAGTTATTCTTTTGCCAACCTTGTGATATCTGACTAATGCTTAGATCTCACATATAGATCTGCTGACTATAGTTTAGTGTCTTATTATTGATAAACATATACAAACTTTTAAAAATCTTTAGTTTTCTGTATATACTTTTTTAAACCTAGAACACAACTTAAAGTTAGTCATAAGTAATATAAGTGTAAACTCTTTTTTAGCTGTTTTCCATTCTTTTATTTATAATTATATATATTTGGCTCACCTAATCCTAATTTGAGAGCAATTTCTTTTTAGTGACTTCCATTATTGTGTCTTTCCACAGCTTTCATGTTAGCCTTCAAAAATATAGTAATTCCATTTCTTTATCCAGTCATATTTCATTAATTTACAGAAATTTAATGTTTTTTTGAGATAAAGTTGCCCAGGCTGTTGCCCAGGCTGGAGTGCCATGGCACAATCATAGATCACCACAAGCTTGAACTCCAGGGCTCAAGTAACTCTCCCTCCTCAGCCTCCACAGTAGCTGGGACTACAGGCACATCCCTGTAGTCCGGGTAATTTTTTGTAGTTTTACTTGAGACAAGGTCTTGCTATATTGCCCAAGCGTGTCTTGAACTCCTGGCCTGAAACGATTCTCCTGCCTTTGCCTCCCCAAATCCTGGAATTATAGGCATTACCCACAATGCCTGTCCATAAATTTAAATTTTAATTTGAGTTACTTTATAACAAAAAGTCTAAACTATGTGACATTAGCTTAGTGGTCAAGTCAGAAAGGAAGATGAAATGAGGAAGCAATAATTACAATTTATGTAATGCAGTGCTAAAAAGTGGAGAAAAAGAATAGCAAGATTAAACATCACTCCAAATAGCTGAGTAAACACCAAAAGTCATCATGGAACTTAATTTTAATGCCTGATTAATTCTGAAAAATCTGCTATTAGCTACAATACAGAGATTCACAGTAAGAAATCTATAGCTATTTATTCTTTTGCTAACAGTATTTACCATATGTTACAAACAGCTGAATTGTCTTTTCCGAGCTCAGTGAAAAGACTATGAGTTATAATTCTAAAATTTCTACTGTTTTGGTTTTCTGTATATCATTTCCAACAACCTTGTAAATTGTCTCAATATGATATATGGTAGGAATTTTAAAACACGTGTTGCCTCCATTTGTAGCCTCCTCACTATTCCCCACAAGTAACAGGACCTTTAATCTAGCTATACATAGTAAAACTCCAAGTAGAAGAGATGGGCGTGGTTAGAAGGGACAGAATGGAATTCTCACAAGAAGGTTGGCTGGGATTGCATTATGGTTTGAACGATGGTGTCCCCTCCAAATTCATGTCAAAATGTAATTCCCAATGCAGCAGTTTAAAGAGGAGGGACCTTCTGAGTAGTAATTAAGTCAAAAGGGCAGAGACCTCATAAATTGATTAATGGCCTCCTAAAACAGGCTTCAGGGAGAGTTAGCCTCTGCTGCTCTTCCACTGTTTCTTACGTGATGATGTGCCATTCCTTCCCTCCAGAAGATATAGCAACAACAGTACACCATCTTGGAAGAAGAGACCAGGTCCTTACCAGACACCAACGTTGCTGGCATCTTGATCATAGACTTCCAAACCTCCAGAACTCCAGCATAAATTTATATTTTATATAAATTACCTAGTCTCAGGTATTTTACTATTACAACCCCAATGGATGAAGAGAGCTTGTTCCCTTGCTGAGGGTGCACATAAGAACACTTTGTCTGTTTTTGGTTGAGCAATTTGGGAGAGCCCAGTTTAGACTAGCTACATCATATATAAAATAGTTTTTCCACTCAGGTACTTAAATAGCATATACATGTGCTGCAAGCTACTGGTGACTATACATTTTTTTACAATGATAAATTTTTTGCAATGCAGACAAGTTTACCATAGTTAAAATTATGTTTGAATACTCTTTGTGTGGTTTTCTTTCTGAACACTGTTGGAATAAAATTCTCCATGACTTTCTCATATTTCCCTATGTCTTGTAAGCAGTGTTACTAGCAGATATTTTTCTGGACTATCTTTTGAAGGATGTTTGGATAGCAAGGACCCATGGAAGATGGAGATATTATCTACCTCTGAGGCAGAGTGCAGGTCTGTTTTCTGTGCAATATAATAAAAATAATGTCTCCTTTCAGAGCAAAGATTGGTCAAGTTTGCTTTCAGCCATCTTATAATACATTGGGGTTTCCTAAGCATGAGGTTTCTCAGCTGTGATACTAACACAGTGGGCACAGCATCCACCTTGACCCATCTATACATTGCTCCTGTGGGGCTTAGTGTGGGTAAGAGCAAGGGGAAAAATGAAACTTGAAATTCATGCTACCTGCTGTGCCAAGGGTAATACAATCCTTTGTCTTTGAACAAAAATAAAATTCCATGTCTGCTGGTGACATCCGTGAAACAGTGGCAAGCTAACTTGTTAATTTACAGGTAGAATAAAAATCTCAGATCCTTCATAGTTCTTGATAAACTTCTAAATTTAAAATTAATACTTTTGCACACATGACCTCATCTGCTTTGAGAGAGTGATCTGTATTTGCAATACCTCTTAATATTGCCAGGTTGTCACTATAAATATATGGATTCAGAAGTTTCCTAATTTTAGTATAATAGATTCCCTAAAATGTGACGTTCAAAGAACATGTTTTTTTTTTAACTAATATTATTTTCCAGAAAGAGACTTGGACTTCAGAGGAATCATCTATTCACTTTCAGAGTCTTGTGGACTTTTATATCTTCAGCATTCAGAGATAGAATTAGCAAAAAAGAGGGCTAGTTTGGCCATTCTTATCTGTGTCAACTACAGAGGAACTGTCACCTAGCTCATGTCACTGAAAATTTTTCTTTCTGATTCCTGTTCAGTTCCCTGGAAAGGTATGTATGGTTTGTTTTAAAATGTACATTTCTTCTGTCAAGGCATATATCCACTGCTAAAATATAAAATATCTTTTTAACTGTATTTAACTTTTATTCCCCATATGCCTTGGCAGAATTAGCTAAACCTGCAGATATGAATATTAAGATTGGGTATGAATCATGTAGGTGTCCTATTAGGAGCTTTCACAAATCCTTGAACTGATTCACGTTCAGCCATAAGCATCTCACCTATACTCCTGCTATAGCAGCCTAATTTATCTCTGTATATTAGTCAGGTTCTTCAGAGAAATAGACCACATAGGATACCTATAGATATAGAGGAATATATTCATTTATTAGGAATTGGGTTGCACAATTATGGAGGCTGAGATGTCCCACTATCTGCCATCTGCAAGCTGGTAGGCCATGAAAGCCAGTGGTATAGTTTCAGACCAAGCCTGAAGACCTGAGAACCAGGGATCTGATGGTGTAAGTTATGGTTCGAATCTAAGGCCCAAGAATGAGGAAAGCCAATGTTTGTAGACAGGAGAAGATGGATGACCCTGTTCAAGTAGAGAGAGCAAATTTGTCTTTTCTCTATTTTTTAATTTTGTTTGGACTTTCAATGGATTGGATTATGCCCATCTACATTGGTGAGGGCCACTTTCTTAATCTACTTATTCAAATGCTAATATCTTCCAAAAATTCCTTCATATTAACACCAAGAAATAATGTTTTACCAGCTGTCTGGGCATTCTTTAGCCCTGTCAACTTAACATATAAAATTAACCGCCACATCTTGATTTCACTATTGCCTTCAAACAATCTTCTACAGATAGCCACCAAAGTAATTTCAAACATAAATTGTACCATAAAATATTCTGTAACTAAAATGATTGTTTTGGATATATATTCTCTAACTCTTAAATGGTCCTTAATCAATAAATCTGCACCATACATTAAATCCATTCAGTTAGTTTGGCATACATTTGGAGCATCTACAAGAAAGGAATATTGCTCAAGGTTAAAGATTCTATAAATATTTCACTGAGTTTTTATTTATGGCTGAGGTGAGCATTTGTTTACACCTGCTTTCAAAACTTTCCAAGGTAAAATTATTGCACGTCTGCTCTCTGATTTAAAATTTGTGAGTTTCAATTGCACATTCATTTAGATACTGGGTCAAGCCTCAGATTACATTTTAACAATAACACTAATATTTCCCACAGGTAGCCTCAGCCCAACTCCATGCAGAAAAAGAGTGTTTCTATAAGATGTGTCTTTATCAAGTTTCTCGCTTTTAAATCTTTTTTTACTCCTTTCAAATATCAAACACTAGTTTTACATTTAATCAACAACTCAGAATGCCTGTACTCCAAGTACTTGTCAGAGTATAACCACAAAATCAATACTGATCAATACTTCTCACAAACTATGTTGAATGAAACTATTTATAGATGATTATCTGAATAGGTAAATTCTTATCTGAAGAACAGATAAACTCATTCATCTACTATGAAATATCTCATTGGGTTAAGTATGATTGTCAAAGAACTCTGAAACTTTTGGCTTGACCAAAAACTTACTGTGAAAGAAATTCAATTTGACATTAGGCTATCATTATTTTTTGAGAATTTTTTAAAATAATAAATTGCATTTCAGTAACAGGCATAGCTTAATATTTTGTGTTGACTATGTGCCCAGCACCATTCTAAGAATCATATGCAGCCGGGAGCGGTGGCTCACACCTGTAATTCCAGCACTTTGAGAGGCCAAGGCAGGTGGATCACGAGGTCAGGAGATCAAGACCTTCCCGGCCAACATGGGTGAAATCTCATCTCTACTAAAAATACAAAACTCAGCTTGGCATAGTGGCACATGCCTAGAGTCCCAGCTACTCAGGAGGCTGAGGCAGGAGAATCACTTGAACCCGGGAGGCAGAGGCTGCAGTGAGCCGAGATCGCACCCACTACACCACTCCAGCCTGGCAACAGAGCGAGACTCCATCTCAACAACAACAACAACAACAACAAAAAGAATCGTGCATCAGATTTCATTTACTATTCACAAAAAAAAAAAAAAAAACTTGAGTTATACCCTACTGTTTTCAATATTTTAACAATGAGGAAACTAAACCAACAAAGAATTTTCTCAAGCCCATTCATCTTATAAATGGTGGTAGGAAAATTTGAACCCAATTTAAGATGCCATTCCCTTAATCATTACAGAAACCACTACTGTAGTTAATTTCAGGATGTAACTAAGAAGCGTTTTATTGCATTTATATAGTGCCTCTCCATGAGGACTCATGGAAGGAATAGTTTCTTCATATCAGTAGAAAGAAAAAAAAAGTTATTCTTCTTTGAAGCCAAAATTTCTCCTTAATTTTCTAGAAGTTATAAATTATTTGACTAAAAATTTATTCATTTTTGGATTGCTACTCAAAAGTTTGGACCCACAGTGGTTCATATTGGAGCAATTGATCAATTTTATAAACATACATTTTACATATTAGACTCATCAAATTTCCCTCCTGTTGATATTAAATGTAAATATTTATCAGATATAAATATAAATCAGACACAGCTAATTGGTGGTAGTCAGAAAATCTAAGTTTCTGGTCTCCAAATATTCTTTCTATTGTGCTATCCCCAAATATTTTCTGATGAAGAAAGATAAGGCAAATACAAAAAAAAAATAATAATAAGATGAAACCAGCCTACAAACAGCCGAGTAAACACTAGAGACCACAACATTGGTTTATTGCATGGTTAACTCTGAAAAACTAAAATTCACTAACTGCAACTTTACAGACTGTGTGTGTTTGTGTGTGTGTGTGTGCGTGTACATATCTATAAGGGAAGGAAGGAAAGAAAGGAGGGATGGGGGAACAGAGAGGGGAAGGAATTTATTGTCACCTGTTAAGTAAGAAAAATGATAAATCTTTTCATCTCATTTTGTAGTTAATTTAAACTGGACTTCACTAAAGAAGTCAAAACAAGGCTGGGTATGGTGGCTTACACCTGTAACCCCAACATTTTGGGAGGCCAAGGTGGGAGGGTTGCTTGAGCCCAGGAGTTCAAGACCAGCCTGAGCAACATGGCAAGACCCCTCTCCAACAATTAGAAACTTAGCCAGGTGTGGTGGCATGTGCCTATAGTCCCAGCTACTAGCAGGGGGGTGGGGGTAGGGGCACTGAGGTGGGAAGATCACTTAAGCCCAGGAGGTTAAGGCTGCAGTGGGCGGTGTTCATGCCAATGCACTCCAGCCTGGATGACAGAGCAAGACCCTATCTCAGGGGAAAAAAAAGTTACATAATTATAATATTATACATGCCTAGTTCTTCTGCTAAGAGAATTTCTCTGTTATATACCTACATGACCCTGGTTTCCTCATATAAATCCATACTTCCAGTCACTGGAACTGGACCAAGAGTGAGTACCTGATATCAGGGTAGCCAATCCACCTGTTTGCACATGAGTCATGGCCAGGAAAAAATGAATACATTTACGAATTAGATTTTTTTCTCTGTCAACAAATTGAAGAGGGGATACTGAAAGATTATGTTGGTTAGCAGTGGAGCTATAATTGAATTGTATCATGCAGTTGTGTTAGGCCATAGCAAGCTATAAGTAGACACAGAGTGAGGAGGTTTGTTATTAAGTAAGGCATGAGAGTTTATTTTTTATAGCATGGTCAGGGAAGCTCTTTTTGTGATGGCATTTAAATGAAGATATGATAAGAGTGAGGAGGAGAGGTATAGTGGGTTGACAGTGCCTCCTCCCCCAAAAAAAGTTATGTCCAAGTCCTACCCTGCTACCTAGGAATATGACTTTATTTAGAAATAAGGTCTTTGTAGACATAATTAAGTTAAAATTCTCAAGATGAGATTATCCTGGATTAGGGTGGGCTCTCTACCCTATGACTGATATTCTTATAAGAGAATAGAGAAGGAGATGGGGAGACACAGAGACACAAAAGAAGGTGATATGAAGATGGAGGCAGAGATTAGAGTGACACATCTACAAGCCAAGGCTTGCTGGAAGACACCAGAAACTAGGAGAGATGCTTGGAATGGGTCTCCAAAAAGAGCCACACTGCCAACACTTGACTTTGGACTTCTGACCTCTGAAACTGTGACAAAATAAATTTCTGCTGTTCTCAGTCACCTATTTTGTGGTACTTTATTATAGCATCCCTAGAAAACAAATGCAGTGGGTAAGCCATATACATTTCTGAGGGAAGAACCTGCTTAGCAGGTTGGCTCTGAGTAGGAGAGAAATGGATGGTAGGAGATGTGGCCAGAGATTATGCATGTGAATTTGATATGTCTGTTATAACGCCAAGTCCCTGTAGCCAGGGAATGTTTTTGTTTTTCTGATTTATTTTTATCATGGTAAGTAGGAAGCTCCATAGAGTTCAAGTGGAGTTGATTTTTAAATTTTTGACAAAATATGGAAGTTACTTGTCAGCTTTGTGTATAGGCCCCCATCACCTCAAATGGGCCACATACAGGCAGCTGAGGAAAGCAGTGACACAGAGGAGGCACAGAGAAAGAGGCAGCAAGTCCAGAGAGAGAGATGGTAGAGATGAAAAATGACAAATTAGGAAGAAGCCAGTCCAGATTCTATCAAGGGTTCACATTTTGCTCAGTCAGCCTCAAGTTCTCTGAAATAACTGGTATAACAAAGTAATAGAAAATTGTAATATCTTTCTGGAAAATTCTGATTTACCAGATATGTGAAAATACATTGGTCTATTAACAACTCACTATGAATAAGTTTGTCAGATCAATTTTCCAAGAGCAAGCAACTGATAGAATTAATGGATAGTTAATAGAGGTTTAACCAAAAGCAAGGTTCGTCTCTGAGAAAAGTGAGATGCTAGAGTGAGATTCCATAGCAGATCACCTTCAAGACAGAAAAATGCACAAGAGCATCTATCCAGGAGGCCTCAAGAGTAGATAAGGAAAGATGAAAGAATTTAAGCTTTAAACATCAGGAAAGAATTGGAACAATGAGCTCCACTGATCAGTTCGTTTGTCCGTCTCTTTCATGTGTCTCTCTATAGATCTCCCTGTTTTATGACCTCTCCACAGACAAGCTTCATTTCCTTCACTGTCCATGCAATAAAACAACCAACCAATAATGCATGGGACTCCTGTATTACAATCTTGGAACCAAGGAAAAAATGACTTCCATTTTCACCTGTATTTCCAGGGAATGGCCTCAGTTACTCAAATGGTCTCATCTCTGGCCCTATCAACCATGGAAATGAATAAAATTACATAACAATAATAGTTCAATTCTCACTGCAACTATATGAATGAATGGGGAGATGATTTCTGAAGAAATTTTTAACCAATAACACAATAGGTAGGTATTAGATAATATAATATAAATAGCAAATATAATTATAATCAGCATATGCCCACCCTATTCTATTCAATTTAGGTAGTCTCTTTCCCCAGTCTATGCTCACCATTGTTAAGGGCAGTGAATCCATACTGGTATGCAGCAACCTCTATTCTTGCCTCCTCAGAGGAAAGAATTTGAGGGGCATAAGGCAGAGTGAGAGACTGAGGCAGGAGTAAAAGTTGAGTAAAAGTTTAGAGCAGGAATGAAAGAAAGAGGGACAAGTGGGCGACTTGACAGATCAAGTGCCCTGTTTGACCTGACCTTTGACTCGTGGTTTTATACACCGGCATATTTCCAGAGTCTTGCATCCCTTCTGCCCTCATTGTTTTCTTAGGGTTGCTGTCCGCATGCACAGTGGCCTGCCAGCACTTGAGAGGGGCCACATTTGCAGTGTGTTTACGAAGTTGTGCACATGGTCACTTGAGGCATTTTTCCCTTACCAGCTGCATGTTCGTAGAGGAAGATTGTATACCAGTTAAACTCTGCCATTTTGCCTCTTAGTGCACATGCTTGAAACAACTCACCTGACTCCTAAAATCTTATCAGAGAGCTGATCACCAGTTTCAGGTTTTTCTGTCTATTGGGAGACTGTCTTTCCCTGGCACTTGATGCAACTAATTATTAGGTTTGTGCATAAGTAATTGCTGTTTTGCCATTACTTTTATTTTAGAGAAACAGTTAACAACCACTTGACCATCACCTGATGGTCATCGGACATTCCTGGTTGGGGAGAGGGGCCCTCTCCTTCCCTGCTCATGTCTGACTAGCTGCCTACTATAACATTTCACACGTCAGGAGTCCAAGACCCCAATTCTTTGGGGAAAATGGATGAAGGTCAGTCTTCTGTAACTGCCCCCTGCTGACAGAGGGACCGTGGTGGTTGTTCTGTGGGCCTTAGGCTCTTGTTACCTGTCAGGGCAGTGTGACTCCATGGGATGGTAAAAGCAGTATCTAGCCAGGTCCAAGGGAGAGAGGGGCAGGATTTCACCTCTGTCTTGTCCCACTGATGGGGCATTCTATCGGCCCCCTACAGAAGGGTGGCTCTTGAATATTAAGGGGATGTATCACTCACTGAGGATTATCTGGTGCTTGATGGCCTGAAGGCAAGAGAAGACAAATCAGGTTATTAGATTTAGAAGTTGTCAAAACGAAATAACAGGGTGAGGACAGCTCCAGAAAAATATCCTGAAGCTGCTGCCATGCCCACATAGCTGAAAGCTATAGTCATGCCTGCTAAGACTTAGGGGGATGGAGCTGCTAGCCAATTCCAATATGTGCCCAGCATTAGAATCTTGATCCAGATTTTTGCATTACTCATCCCTCCTATTTCTTTTGAGCTGAAGCTAGAGATCACTAGTTGGTTCACAGAAATAAGCAGGGTTAGTCTGAATTGCAGATAAATCTCAAAAACTATTGATGAGACTAGAATCTAATAACAAGTACCATGGTACATTAACATAATTTTTCTCTCACCAGTTCTCATTTCTATTAAAAACAAATCATGATAGAACTGATTTATTTGCGAAATAAGCTTTAGTCTTATTATACTTGGCCTGGCTATTTGTATAAAGCACAGCAAGAATAACTATTTGCCATATGAGCTACTTTTTAAATTGGCTTTGATGGAACTTTGTTCCATGAGAAATCTCAGAGAAGACTTTTTAAAACCTTAAGCCCAGCCATGGGTTTAAATCTTCAAATACCTGTGCCATCAAGTAACTGTATGAGTTGAATAAATACCTTTCTGCTTGAGGTCCCAAGATAACTTGGGGCTCCTGGGCCTGTCAGAAAGTGATATTCTTTACTTACCACAGGTCAGGAATCCTGTACAGGAACTGTGTAGAGTAGGTATGAGGCCAGTTTTCCCAAAGGGCTTTTATTGGATCTATAAGTCAAATATGATTCCTTAAAGGAAAGCACAAATTCCAGTTAGCAAGGCTTTACAAAGTCTTGGTAAAACAACCAGTTTCCAATTGTGTCCTGTTGCAAAAGAAAACAGATTCTTACTGCACTTATGCAAATAACTATATTCACATGTTAAGAATATTCATAGTTTCCTAATTCTAGAGAAATCAGGTAGAGAGAAACAAATATGCTCCAAATTTTGTTTACAGCAGTATACTTTACTCAATTGTTAAAAGGTGTAAATAGAAGAATTATTTCAGTCTTCTATTAGGTCAGTCCATACAGTTGACTTATGCTCTGCTTAATATTCGTGAGCATTTCAGCTCTCCTTAAGTGTCCTGAAAGTTTTTCCTCTATTCTCATGTCACAATCTGCAAATCAGAAACCTGCATTTAAGAACACCAGTTAGAGTCTGATAGCTGATTATAAAAACACATTTTAAAGAACATCAAAACAAGACAACAATTGTATGTAGATTAAAAAGGTCTTAGGGAAGCCACAGTCAAAGGCACAATTGACAAGGAAATTTGTTAACCTCTGTGGCACAAAATAATTTGATACTTATAACTATTACTGATAATATATACTAAGTTACATCAGAATTACAGGAGTTTCACATGATTATGGCCAAATATTACCTTTGCTTTAGTGTACTATTAATGTTAAATCCAGTTCCTAATAAAACCTTATAGACAAATCTACTCAATCTTAATCAGTTTGACTATAAGGTAAGATTCTCATCACCCTTTATAATTTTCTGTTAAAGAACAGAACAACGCTCTAAAAAACATGCTGTGCTTTTATTCCAATGTTAAATTTATGGAAAAACTGAAAAATACCCCTTTAACTTTAGCCAACATGATCACACACAGAATTTCTTTGACAAAATTATTTGACAAACCTCCTACAACTTGCTTTAACCTTCAGCTTTATCCTATCCACCTAATAACAATCCTTTAACCCTCTAAGCTAGGCAAAAAAAATTACATTCCTATGCCTTCTTATAATCTTTTACTAAAAGTACATTCTACTTTCCTTACATGCCTTGCATTGAAAACTGTTTTTCCAGTAACCTCAAATATATGTTACACTGTTAGCACTTAGCAACTTTTACTTTTAGTGTACAACCTGGTAAGTAAACGATTTTAGTTATGTACTAGGTGTGGAGCCTAGGACATCAGATGGAAGTGCAGATAAGGTTTGACTCTTACAAGCATAGCTAGGGGGCATGGCTAACTCCAAATCAGAAGGGAGTTAGCCATGGCTAACTCTGTATGTCCCCAGGCCTTATCTGGGGGAGAATTTAATGGCTTTAAAGCAGGCAAGCTGTACATTTAAGAGTCATAGTAGCAGTGTATGAAGCATTTAGTATGCCTAATAACCTTTAAAATTATATATTATTTCTTTATGTAAATTCCCTTTCATGAATCTTTTTATGACCTACACAGAACATCTATGACATGCTTGGACTTTCTGACTTGTCCTAAACATCCCTCTTTTTAAACAACATTTTAAACAACTCTTTTTAAACAGTCATTTTACTTTAGGACAATAATTTACCATACAAGATCCTTTCTCATATAAAATCTACTTTCTGTATAACCTTTCTTACCAAAAATATTTCTTTACCTTAATATTCTTTGAATTAGACAGAAGTCATTTCCCTTTCTGTTAGGAAGTCATGGTTTGTACTATGTGTTGCCATGAGAGTCCTGTGAAGGGGGAACAGATAAGGAGTTTATCTATATACTGTAGGAGTTATCCCCCTTCAAGAGATTGCTCAGTTAGATTTTTTGCTAGGGTCTATCCAAATAAGGGTGGGCTATTTCTAAACCCCTGAGGAAAGACAGTCCAAGTCAAAGTTATTGGTTAAAGATTTAGGTATCTTTCCCAGAAGAAATAGGGATACTAGAGCAAAAGACAAATTTAGAGGTTGAGTAAATATTAAGCTGGCACCCATTTTGAAAAGTATATTTTTGCCCCAAAGGGTCGTGATCCTTTTCTTTAGGAGAAGGAGCTGTCATTTACCCCATTACCTGACAGGATTTGGAGGACAGCTGCTCAAAGGATATTAGCACAGAGTAGGAAGCTCTTGAACCTAAAAGGTGAATTTATAATTTTACTTGCCACCTCCAAAGTTGCTCTTGCCCTATTGTTGATGATGTCTAATCTTGGAGTTGGCTGGAGCAGAGAGCCCCTTCAGCTCAAGCTCATCAAAGGTTGAGATTCCATCCTGGGGGCCCTTTGGCCTTCAGGGCAGTCCAGTTTTAGTGGTTGAGCTTGCGGCAGAGGGGGCAAGCAATGCAGGGCTTTTTCCTATTTAACCCATTGGGGAGTTTGCCTTCCAGTGAGCCTGGCTTTCCATACCGATGGCAGTTACCTGGAGGAGTGTCCTTAGGATGACCTGGAGGGGACTGGAGAGCTTATAAAGCAGCCAATAGTTGAGCCTGCCTCTTATCTTTGTGTTTGTTCTTCTTTTTCCCTCTGTCCTCTTTATTCTGCTCTCAGTTGTAAAAGACTGAAGAGGCTAATTTGAGGATTTCCTGCATAAGGTTACTGGGGTCTCAGGCTGATGTTTGTATTTTCACCCAGTTCATTTTTAGGTCAAACAGTATTACAAAGTAAAACTAGTTTTTGGCTTTTTTTTAAGGTTTAGGAGAATCAAACTTTTTCCAGTTTTTGGGAATAATCCAAGGGGCAAATCCTCTGGTATGGAGATGGAATTACTCATCTGTGAAGAGACAAGAGAGGAGAAAAAAAGGAAAAAGAAGGTGTCCCTCTTACTTTCCTATTATCCTGAATAGGGCATCCCCTATTTGTCCTTAGCATTCTGGAATAAATCTGTCTTACTGTGTACCCTTAACCTTGGTCTCATCTTGTCACAATTACCCACTTGAGAACACAGGAGATACTGGAGTGACAGGGAGCCAACTGTTCATCCTTGGGATTCTGAAATAACCAGTCTTAACCTTGTCTTTATCTCTGTTCTAGTGGTAATGTGTTAGCCTGGAACCAACCTTCATCTCTCTCTAATGGGTCCCTTGAACCTGTGGTCTTGGGCTGGGCTATATCCTTGTCTCCATGACCTTACAGTGACTCTCACTCAGAGTATTCTACCAACAAAACGATTATCTCTTTTCTCAGCTTCCTATTTCCCATGGTCTTTGAGTAGATGAGAAGCCTGTTTTTTAGCTAACTACTGCGAGGGACTGGACTTCTCTCCCTTTGAATATGATCTTGAAGGTCTTGATGCATGTTGAAAAGGGTATGGAAGTGTCAGAGAATTTGAGGGAACAGGAGTAGGAGTAAGTGGGAGGAAGCAAGAGGGATACTCATAAAAAGCCTTCATATACTTGCAGAAACAGCAGCCCTTAGATTTGAGAAGGAAACGTTTATTTGCCCTCTTGACATAAAGCAGTAACCTCCAGAGGACTTGGGCCTTGGGGAAAGAACTTGCAAATGACAAGAGAATAACTGTTCTTCCTCCTAAAGGGGTGCTAACTCAAAAAAAGAAGGTAGGTGGGATCCTTAAAAAAACACCGAGTGAGGCCCCATGCAGGCAGACAAACTGCTTCAAAAGCCACCAAAAAACTTAGCCCTGGAGTATAACAGGGACAAAAAGTATATGGTAAGTCATAAAGAGCTGGCAGAGTCCAGGTTCCAATTACTGTTGGTCCCAGCAATGTGCCAGCAGATGGGAAGAGTTGGAAGTAATCTGAGCTGGTAGGGTAAAAACAAATAAATCTCAGGGGATATTTGCAAGAGAGCCTGCGTATTTGCTTCCATGCTAATGCAAGAGCCACAGGTACATGACTAACAGGGATTATGTATTTAAGAAGTCATGTGGCATGTGAGGTGAAAGTAAAGAAGAGGCAGAGATGGATGGTCTTGTGGTGCACACGGCCATTTCAGAATACGCATGGAGAACAGGTCGTGGGGGTTTTGGGGAAAGAGCCAATTTTAGTTGGAAAAGCAGAGGAAACTGCAGACATTGCATGGTCTTACACTTTAGACTTACCACTCTCACAAGCCTCTCATCCAGGAGGGCCATTAGTGTCTCAGTTCTACTCTGTGCAGACTCCAAGGTCCTTCCCAACACTGCAAGCCACCCATCAGAGTGAGCTGAGGGATCAGCCACGGGGAGCAGAGCCACCGTGGCTGAAAGCGGGTTGGTTAGTAAGCAAGACAGTGAAAGGGGAGAAGGAAACTGTGTACAAGGATTGAACACCTTCAGCCAAAGAAGGCAAGGCATAGAGGTGTGTTACCACTAGGGAATGTATCCAAGTCATGTGGCACCAAAGTATGTCAGCAGCAGTGAATCTGTATGGGCCTGAAGCAACCTCAATTCTTACTCCCTCAGAAGAAAGAATTTGAAGGGCATAAAGCAGAGTGAGAGACTGAGGCATGTTTTAGAGCAGCCGTGAAAGTTTATTAAAAAGTTTAGAGCAGGAACAAAAGGAAATAAATTGTACCTGGAAGAGGGCCAAGCAGGCAACTTGAGAGATCAAGTGCCCTGTTTGATCTTTGACTTGGAGTTTTACATGTTGGCATACTTCTGAGGTCTTTCATCCCTTCTCCCAATTCTTCCCTTGGGGTGGCCTATTTGTATGTGCAGTGGCCTGCCAGCTCTTGGGAGTGGCTGCATGCTCAGTGTGTTTACTGGAATTGTGCATGTGCTCACTTCAAGCATTTTTCTCATACCAGTTGAGTGTTCCTAGGGGAATTCATACACCAGTTAAACTTTGCCATTTTTCCTCTTAGTGTTCATGCTCGAGCCCAGTCACCCAACTCCTGAGACCTTATCAGGAAGCTGATCACCAGTTTCAGGTTTTTCTATCTATTGGGAGACTACCTTTCCCTGGCGCTGGATGTGCCCAACTATTATTTTAGAGAGACCGCTAACAACTGCCTGACCGTCATCTGATGTTCAGCTGACATTTCTGGTGGGATGCAAGGAGCCCTCTCTTGCCCTGATCATGTGTGACCAACTACCTACTGTAACACCATTACTGATTCTATTAGATTCATGAAAATGCTGTGTAACACACAGAAGCTGCTAATATTTTCAGGAATCCATTATTCTCATTTCATGTTGATAGCAATGTCATTGAGAAGCTCTTTGAGAAGTAATTTGGCAATCGTTATCAGGAACCAAGAATATGTTTTCTCTTTACATATTTCTAAAGAAAAAAATTGAAATAAAGCTTAACAACGGTGAGCATATCAGTATTATTAGCAACTTTTCCCGCTTTCACTTTCCTCTCTCTCTCTCTCGTAACCTCAGTAGTGTCTCCTCTATTTCCATTTTCATTCTCCACTCTTCTCAAAAGTCGTTGTCTTAACTGAAGCCTTAATATCTCGCCTTGTACCTTAGGCATTTGCAATATATTTTTATCAGGACAGCACCTCTCTGAAAGAAATGTTAGTACCCATTCTTAACATTATTTATGACTATGACAAATTGGTAAAACTTAACAGTTAAACACTACAGAAACAGGCAGTTATAGCCATTAATGCGATTATCTTAAAACTAACAAGAACATGGAATAATTGCCATAAACAAATGCTAGGGTAAAAAGACTGAATTCAAAATTTAATCCATGAAGTGAATATAACCACTAAAAAATGAGATGGATATATATGAATAACACCTTAAAGGAACAATGAAAAAGAGCAAATAAAATGTATCACCAGTGGTTTAATATACAGACTTTTGAGTGAATATATTTCTTTCAGAATCTTTGCTATGATTATAATTTTATTTGCATAATAAACACATATAAAACATAGTGAAAAAGGAGTTACAAACAAGATATAGTATTATGCCTTGAGCCTCCATGGACAGTTTTGATTTGGAGATTCTCAATGAAATCTCAGCTCTCCTACTCTGACCCCTCCCACTACACACTCAAATTAGCTGCAGTGCTGCAAAGGATAATTTTTAATAATAATTTTAAATCAGAAGAACAGAAACTTTCCTACTCACTGCCCACACATTCTTCCGTTTCTATCTCTTTAGAGAAATAATTCCTTAGCCGTGCCATTAGGTTTCTTCTTTTTTCTTTTTTTTTTTTAATTTCTTTTTTTATTTTGAGACGGAGTCTCCCTCTGTGCCCAGGCTGGAGTGCAGTGGCGCAATGGCGCAATCTTGGCTCTCTGCAAGCTCCGCCTCCTGCGTTCATGCCATTCTCCTGCCTCAGTCTCCCGAGTAGCTGGGACTACAGGCACCCACCACCACGCCCGGCTAATTTTTTTATATTTTTAGTAACACGGGGTTTCACTGTGTTAGCCAGGATGGTCTCGATCTCCTGACCTCGTGATCCGCCCGCCTCGGCCTCCCAAAGTGCTGGGATTACAGGCATGAGCCACCGCGCCCGACCGCCATTAGGTTTCTAAACATAGACCTCCAGATTCCCTTGTCTGCAGAAAGCTTAAAGTCATGTGCACACAGCAATGGCTCAAAATTCCCATGAAGAGCAGCAAGAAACCAAGTTTCTCCAAAATTCCTATTGTATGGCAGGTCCCACATCTCCTCAGCATCTCTCTTGGGTTTTGTTCCCAGTCATTCCTCTTATATTTGTTTGTTTTGGAAAACCTTCAATCATTTGTCTCCTTTTGGATGCAGGAGAAATCAGAAATGTTTCTGATTTACCAAAGCACTCTTAGAAAAGCACATGACAATTTTTGTCAATTTATTCTTCATAATTAGGCCATCTGCACTGATGACAGAGCTTGAATGCTTTGGAAGTCTTAAGATTTGGAACATTATGATTTCTGTTTTGTAGCTTTTCTAACATTGCCTCCCTTCCATGTATTTGTTGAGAGCAATTTTACTTCCTAAACTCCACTTCATACTTCTCCTTGGATATGAAATCATTCCTCTTCTCAAAAGTTAAACTAAAATGAACCTTGTGTACCCTGGTATTCCTAAAAAGTCAAAACCAGAATGTAAACATTGTTTCTTTAAGATATGTGTCTCAGTTATTTGTCCTCATCTTTTAAATTGTACTTTATCTTAATGTATCTTTGAAGTTTTTCTTTTGACAGATAATGGAAAATGAGAGGGAAGGAGGACGAAGGAAAAAGGAGCACAAGCCTGCATTTACTCAGCAGAGAAGCAGCACCAAAATAACTTCCACTATTGTATTCTTTTCCCCCTCCAGCAAAGGTGGTATAGTTTCAGACTGGGAACAATTTGTCTCCTTCTGCTTCAGATGACTCTCTTGCTTTAACTAACATTGTGGGTAGGGGGAGTGGACACGATCTGTTCCAAATGTTCTTGGGCAGAATAACAGAGTTTAGGTTAAATGAACCTAAGAATGCACACAGCACCATTCTGCATTTACCATATTAAACAACAACCAAAAAAAAAAAGCAGATAATTTTTTATAGCTTCACATGCTTCTCCTCTTTGCCAGTGGTTTTCCCAGTAGCTCTCAAGCTATTTTTAAACCCAAAAAAAAAAATAACAAAGCACTGACACTTTTTCTGAGGACAGATGAGCCTTTAATCTTTCATAACATGCCAGTGAATTTAGTTGGGACATAGTTTTTGGTATAAGTTGTCTGTGATTTGTGTTGCTAGGTTATAAAAATGTCTATGGCCCAGTCAATTTTTCCATTTTTTTTGGAGAATGGAATCCTGCAGTAGTTGGGGTAGCTATTCTACAGCCATTCTCCTTTCGTAGACATTTTGTGGCCCTTAATATATTGTCTTAGATCTAGGCAACAACCCATCTATGGAAAAATCTCCATAGCAAGGGGCACCAAATTACAATGATAGGCTAAAACAACCCCAGAGAGCGTGGAAACACCAACACCCTGCCCCCCATCCCCAAACTATATGGCTGATGCACAGTCCTCTGGGAAATGAGCTGAGAAAACCACCATAACATGTAATAAATTCTCAGTGAATGAATGGATAACCCAATATGTAACACTACAGAAGTAGTTATATCTGAGAAATATTTAATAAATGTACTTGTGGAGACAGCTTACCTTTTTAAAATTCTGAACAGATATTTTTATGGAGGTAAAATACACATAACATAAAACTTAACATTTCCCCCCATTTTAAGTGTACAATCCAGTGGTATTAATTACATTCACAATGATGTGCAACCGTCACCACTATCCACTTCCAGAACTTTGTATTCTGTACCTATTAAACAATAACTCCCCATTGACCCCTCTCCCCACCCGTGGTAACCTCTGTTTCTGTCTTTATGGATTTGCCTATTCCAGGTACCTCATGTATGTGAATAATATAATATTTGTCTTTTTGTGGCTGGCTTATTTTAAACTGCATATGCTTTCCAGGTTTGCCCTTATTAGGGCATTATCAGAATTTTATTCCCTTTTAAGGCTGAATAATATTCCATCGAATATTATTGTATATTAATATATACACCACAATTTGTTTGTCTCGTTGTCTGCTGTGTAAAAGGGTTGTTCCACCTTTTAGCTATTGTAAATAATGTTGCTATGAACACTGGTGTACAAGTATCTGTCTGAGTCTGTGCTTCCAGTTGTTTTGTGTAAATCTTAGAAGTGTAATTGCATGATCATGTGGTAATTTTAGGTTTAACTTTTTGAGGACTCTACATATTGTCTTCCATAGTGGCTGTATTATTTACATTCCTAGCAGCAGTGCACAGGGATCCCAAATTCAGGAAGATATTTTACTTTTTAAATCCCACCTCTCCCTCTGTGTGTGTCAAGCATTTATTGAACATGTATAATCAACAAGATGTCAGAGTGAGTTAAGGACAAATGAGGCACTGTTAAACTTGTGTTCTTTGAATTGAAAAAAAAGGTCCTGATAAGAGTTTGGGTAGTTCAAAATTAAAATCAGATGTTCATTGATTTATATAAAAGTATGTATTGCTTATCGGTTTAAGTTATTTGCATTAATAGGGTATTTTCTTTGCTTTATTCCTGTGCATATTATTTTTAGATCCTAGCAATAACAAAAAATGAGTACACTAATAAATATTCATGTTGGCTACAGTCAACTCATTGCAAATATTGTAACTTATTTTAGTCTGCCCAATATTTAGTAATACTAGAAGAGGCAAGAACAAGATAGTTATTATAACCACTATTATTTTTAAATGCTTACTAGGTGGTAAAAACTGGGTTAAGTGCTTTACATACATTATCCATGAATTAGGAACTATTATGTACATGCTAGGAATACAGAAAGTGAGACTTGAAGACACTGGGGAAATTCATCCAAGGTCACATCGCTTGGTAGATGTGGTAGAGTTTACTCATACCAACTCATCCTGGTCAGATTCAAGTTCAGAATCCTAATTGCCTCATTTATTTTGACAGTGTTTGGTAATGGTTAAATACACAGGAGTTTTTATGAGAGGAAATATTAAGAAATAATTTTCAAGTTTCATCCTAATTTTCAAGTTTCATCCTGACTCTTGGCAGCCATTAACAGTGTTCCAATTGCTTCTACACATAGTTTGAAACAGCTGGAATAGGATTATATTGCTATTATTTATCAATTTAGAATGTTGTTATTATTTACTTCTGGGAAATCACATACTTCCTCAGAATAGTATGTATCTATATTTATTGAATATATGAAAGTTTCTTTCCACTTTTGAATATAAAGCCCAGCAGAATTGGAACTAGAACATTTAATCAATTTAAGGAATTTCAGAAAGTTTAGCAAAAACTCATCTAAAAAATTTTTCTACAGATAAACTCTTCCTTTGGCTTCCTATTTTACTTAAAGTAAAATCTCAAACCTATTACCTAAAACTCATCTGTCAGACCTCATGGCCACAACTCCCACATCATTCACTCTCCTCCAGGTTTACAGGACCCTGTGGCTGTTGCTCTAACACACCAAGCAAACTCCCACATCAGGACATTTTCACTTGCTATCTCCTATTTGAAATCCTGTGCTTCCTGGTATTCACATGGCTCATTTCTTAGTTCCTTCAGGTATCAATCAAATGTCACATTCCTGACAACCCTCTATAAAATAACACCACATATCCCCTCATCTCTATCAGTCACCCAGTCTTCACTTTGCTTTATTCATCTTTATAGTACATTTCATTATGTAATATATTATATGTTTGTGTTAGTTATCCATATCCTTCCATTAGAAAATGAGGGTCTTGATTTTGTTCAATTCTATATTTTCTTTATGTAGGATGTAACTGGCTCTCAATCAATATTTGTTGTTCGAAGAAAGAGAGAAGGAAGGAGGATATAAATTATTTCATTTATATGCAGAGCAAGCAACATAAAATATCCTTAAATCCAGGCAATTTGTGGTGCTAACAGAGATCTTACTGCAGTATTTTGAATCCAGACTGTTGTCCTTCCTTTAGGTTTATAGAGCACTGTTTAATATTTTCCAGAAAAAAAACTCAGTTTGAAAGATAATTTAAATGAGAGAGATAAGCCACTGAATGGAAGACAAACTCAAACAGCATGGGAAAAGAAAAACAATGGAAAGCAACAGGTGAGGCATATCCAGTTGCCAATAGTGTTCTCATGGTCCAGCTACCTCCATCCCATTTAGGGATGACGGTAGCAGTATTAAAAGATTTTTTCAAAGCATTCTTTAGACTATAGCTATAAACTTTTAACTGGAGAACCTCTCTAGAAATAAAAATTTGATGTAGATTTCTTCTTTATTTTCTTTCTTTCTTTCTATTTATTTATAGAGACACCATCTCACTCTATCACCCAGGCTGGAGTGCAGTGGCGTGATCATAGTTCACTGTCGCCTCAAATTCCTGGGCTCAAGTAAGCCTCCTGCCTCAGCCTTCTGACTAGCTGGGACTACAGGCATGTGCCACCAAGCCCAAGCTAATTTTTTTTTTTAATATTTTACAGAGAGGAAGTCTCACTATCTTAGCCTATCTGGTCTTGAACTTCTGTCCTCAAGCAATTCTCCTGCCTCGGCCTCCCAAAGTGGATTTCGTCTTCAAATATTCATAATGGATACAGTTTACCAGGCACAATCTAAGGCACAAACACAGCTTCTGGATATATTAGCATTGCCCTCCTCCCTATACCCCATTTATATCACAAAGATGCTAAGCTCCATGTGAGGTGAGGAAATGTGTAAAGTGAATGTTATAAATGTTAACAGCAGCAGTTCATAAATCACCTATTAAAGACTGGGACACCTAAGACACTGTGTGCTCTACAACAGTGCAAAAAAAATCTCCAGTTTCTCTTCAGACAAACGATTTTTCTCAAGAAAGACTACAAGCACTATTTTTTGAGTAACCACATTAAAAAAAAACCTAACTCCTGTCTTAACCATTCTAATTAAGCTACAGCTATGCTTCCAGACCAAGAACAGGTACTCGCAGGTGGAGCTGCAACTCAGCAACAGAACATGTAAAATTTGAAGCCATAACTTTGAGAACTTTGTTCCCCGTAATGTGCTCAGGCATTTCTGTGCAGCATGTCTTGTCACCATGCCTGCTGCTGCTCAATGCACAGTCACGCAAGCTGACAAATAGGTCAACATCCTGAAGTGTAGTCTCAAAGGTGCTCAGAATTCTTCCAGGTGAGCTTTATTTCTTCTACAAGTTTTATTGTTTTGCCATTCACACTTAAACTGTAATATACCTAGCATTAAATTTTATGCATAGTGGAAAGAAGGGATCAAATTTCATTTTTTTTCATATAGGTATCCAAATGAGGCAACACTAATACTGAATAATCTATTGTCTCTACTCTTCAGTATCACTGAAATAATATTTTAATTTTTCCTATGTTTGGTTTGTTTTTCAAGAAATCTTTCCACTTCAACTAGAATTGTATTTGTTTATAACATTCTGTTGTCATTCTCTTAATGTCTATAGAATCTATAGTGACAATCTTTCCCTTCCTGAATGTTCATTTTTGTTTGACATTTTCTTTATCAATTTCGCTAAAGTGGTATATATTTTGTAGTCATTTTTTGCATAACTGAGTTTGACTTAATATTCCATTCATTTTTTCCATTTTTAAAAATGTCTGCTCTGTATTTCCTCCTTTATTTGGCTTACTTTAGTTTTAATATGTTTATATTTTTTGAAATTCTTACAATGAAAACATATCACTGACAGTGAATATAGACATTAAACGTTAAAAATTTCCCTTTAAGCACTGTGTCTCACAAATTTTGATGTGTTGTACCTTTAACCTTTATTTTTATTTAATTCAAAATATTTTGTAATTTCTCCCATGATTTCTTGAGCCATTAGTCATTTATAAGTATATTGTTTAATTTCCAGTTGAGGTTTTTATAGATAATCATTGATCTTTAATTTATTTTCTATGGTATAGAACATACTCTGTATGATATCAATCTTTTGAAATATATTGAGACATATTTATGACCTGTAGATGGTCTATTTTTGGGAATGTACCACATACACTTGAAAAGAATATATATTCCACAACTTGGACTATATATCCAATTGTAGAGCACTTCATCCAATATGGAATATTGGATGAAGTGCTCTACAATTGATCTTAGCCAAAAGTCTGAGAAGTGATAGACAAAGTCCTCTAAATATTATTAATTAGGTCAAGGCTAAAATTGTGTATATTTTTACTGATTTATATCTAATTGTTCTATCAATTACTCATAGAGCAGTGTCAAATTTTCCAGCTATGTTCATATGTCAGTTTCTCCCATTAGCTCTGTTTATTTTTTTATGTATGTGTTTTCAAGCTCAACTATTAGGGGCATATATAGTTAGAATTGTTATGTCTTCTTGATTCATTGACCCTTTTATCATTATGAAATGATAAAATGGCCCTCTTTCTCTCAGATAATCCTATTTGTCTTGAAATACATCTTATCTGATATTAGTATAATCACATCAGCTCTTTGATGGTTACTATTTGCATGACATATATTTTTCTATTGATTTTCTTTCAATTTGTCTGGGTTTCAGCAACTGAGTTGTTTGTTCTCAATAGCATATTTTAGGTGTTTGTTATAAATAGCATATTTAGGTGTTGTTATAAATAGCATATTTTCAGAACTTTTAAAATCTAGTAGTATAATCTCTGCTTTTTACTGAGTGTCTAGTTTATCTTTGTAAAATGTAATAATACAGTGGAGTTTAGAGGCAACATTTTTAAATGTTTAGATCTAACATTTTATACACCAGAGATTACAAAATTAATTCTTATAACAGTCTACTTACATTTAATCTTATACCACATTACATAAAATGTTAAGAACTTTGCCAGAATATCCTTCCATTTACCCTCCCCTCATGTTCTTTTTGCTATTGTTGTCTTTTATTTTATGCTTTACACCTACATACTACAAGCCCCAAAATCCAAACATATAATATAGCAAATAACTTTTAAGAAATTCAGGGAAAAATAGTCTTTTATATTTACTCTCATTTTACCATTTTTGGAGCTCTTTATTGTTGCCTGTAAATCCAAGTTTATATTTAATGTTATTTCCTTTCATCCTGAATAATTTATTCTACCTTCCTTGTACTCCAGATCATCTTGAATTATTTCAGCTGTTACATATCTGTGAATGTCTATCTGGCTTTTATTTTTTATATAGAATGCTACATATAAAATATTAGATTGACCCTTTTTTTCCCTCTGAGTACCAAAGTTATAATGTCATTGTCTACCCACCTTTGTTTCTCATGAGAAGATGGTGCATTTTGTATTATTTTTCACACTTACAAACTTTATCTAACCCCTACTCCCAACTGCTTCCAAGGTTTCTTTCTTTACTTTTGGTTTTCAGTCATTTGACTATGATGTTCCTAGTGTTATGTGTATATATTATTTTTTTGATGCTTAAGGTATATGTTTCTCTAGGTTGGTGTTTATTCACCAAATCTGGAGAAATTTAGCCATCATTTCTGTTTTTAAAAAATTTCTTTTAACCTTTTTTCAAGACAGGGTCTCACTCTGTTGCCCAGGCTGGAGAGCAATGGTGTGATCATTGCAGCTTCAAACTTCTTGCCAGGCACAAGGGATTCTCCCACCTCAGACTCCTGGGTAGCTAGAACTACAGGTTCATGCCACGACACTTGGCTAATTTTCTTTCTTTCTTTTTTTTTTTTCTTTAAGAGATTAGGTATCATTATGTTGCCTGGGCCAGTCTAGAACTCCTGGTCTCAAGCAGTCCTACCACCTTGGCCTCCCAAAGCTTTGGGATTACAGGCATGAGCCACCATGCCCAGTCTAGATATCATTTCTTTGAATAATGTTCTTATTCATATCTTGTGCTTATTCTTTGTATATTCCAGTTACACACACATTAGTATGATATTATCCTACAATGCACTGAGGTTCCATTCATTTTTTAAATTATTTTTCTCTCTATTCTTCAGATTATATGATTTCTATTAATTTGTCCTCAAATTCACTGACCAATCTTTTCTTCTGCCATCTTCTCTCTGCTATTAAACCTCACCAGTAAATTTTCAAGTAATATTACATTTCAAGTAATATACTTTTAAATAGAATTCTTATTTTTTTCTTTCTTATAACATCCATTTCTCTGCTCAGATTCTTCATCTCTTCAGCATCATTTCCTTTACATCCTTGAACATGCCTATAGTAGCTGAATTTTAAATCTTTGTCTTCCAATTCTATCATCTCCAAGAATGTTTCAATTATGTACTTTTACTTTTAAAAATCAGCCACATTTTCCTGTTTTTTTTTTCCCCCATGTGTAGTAACTTTTAGTTTTATGCTATGCATTATGGATTGTAAAAACTAGACTCCGGATTCTAGAATCTTCCTCTAAAGAGTGCTGATTTGTGGTTAGTAAATAACTAAATTACTATGTATCTTCAACTTGTGTGGGCTTGATTTTATAATTTCTTGGGGAGGATTTGTTTCAGTTTAGCCTAGTCCTGAGGAAATAATCATTATTCCTAAGTCATAGCCCTTCTGGGGTTTCAATTAAAAGCAAATCTCATTTGGAAATATTTAAGTGTCAATTCCCATGATCCTTGTGCTGGGCAGAAATTCAAATCTTTGCTTAGCATTTTCAGCCTACAGGCAGGTTTTCTTTCTATATTCCTTGGAATCTCCACTGTGCATGCACAGTTCTGGTTTATCCAACGATGTGAGAGAAGTTTATATGCAGATTTTGGGTCGTTCCTCTTTTTCAAGTATTTTCCTATTCAATTTCCAGCTGGCTGGCAGTCCTGAACTCTAACTCTAACCACTTAAGCTATGAAAACTGTGGCTTTTTGCTTGAGTTTTACTCCCTGGCACCACAGACAAATATTGTTTATCACTGGCAGATCTGAGGCACAAGATCAGGGACACCTGGCTTAGAACTAGTGCTAGAGAATGAAATAGCACCAGGCTAGAAAATGGAGGGTAAGCATTCATCTGGGAGTGAATCTTTCGTGGCCAAAAGTTAAAGGAAGAGAATCCAGCAGCTCCTAGGCCTGGAATCATTATTCCTACGGATCAATCAGAACCAGATAAGTCAGGGAAAGGCACCAGTCCAATAATAACTTATTAAGCAGAAGTGATCAAAAACACATTAACTTGTTCTAAAATGTTGTAAGAACTTTCCAGGGTATTGATTCCCCCTTGTGTCTTACGTCACTCACTACAAAAGAACACCTTGTAGTAATAGTCATTTGATTATGCTGTCATAAAATATTTTACGTAACCAAAAAAATACTTCCGTTGTTGCTGTCTTACTATTTGTCTATTATGGCTATAAAAGAGTAAAAACATTTTCATTCCCTTTCATCCAAAAACTTTACAATCTAACAGTTAATGAAAGGTACTCTTAGAAAGATAGGATGACAAGGGACTACTGAAATCATGAAACCTGCCACCTTCATTTTACAAAGGGGAAAACTGGAGAGTAAGGGACTAGATCATGTCCCCGGACAGTGAATGATAGAGTCAGATCGGAACCTAGCTCTCCTTCCTGAGTCAACGACCCTGTTCCATCTATTTCACTGCATACTGTCTCCTCCATGATTCCCTGGGGCCCTGGAAAGCATCCAGCCTATAAACTTCCTCAAATTGGCAAAGCATCCTAAAATACATACATGGTTATTTTGGACATAATCACTATTTAGTTATCTCTGAATAAAATCTCGAGAAAAATCAGTAGCTCTACGGAATCACTTAATTTACCAAGGATGGTATTTTAGTCTCTAGGAACATCTATCTAAATTTAGACTTTTCCTGCAGCAATATTTCTTTAAACTGTACACCACGAACCACAAATTATCCAGTTACATCACTTCGCTTTTAAGTCATTGGTTTTTTTAAAAAAAATAGGTAAATAGTGACCCCCAGTGGCAAAACTTGTTAGTATCCGCACACTGTAAAGAATTGAAATAAAATGAGATGCTGGTCAGGACAGTTTTGACTGATTGTAGGATATTAGTGTCCAGTAAACATACCCTAACAAACATTAAAAAAAAGAAAATGACTCTCATGTATTCCTATGGAATATCTCTAAAAGAGAGATGGCAAGTTATTTCTTATTGTGTAATTGAATACTATTGTTTACTTTTACTTGTAGTGCCATTTTTTTTTACTATATTCAAAAATTAATTTGGAAATTGATTTAAAAAGCTATAACCATGAATATAAACTAACATATTCAGAAATAACTGACCTTAAGCTACATTTTTATGTTGGTGCTACTCCGGTAAAATCCAGAACACAATCCGTATATCCAAGCTTGCAGATTGACTCATATGTATTAAGTGAGTGAGAGACCAGTAGGCAATGATTATCTCTTTGCTAAATAAATATTGCCATTCCAGGAGGCATATGCTGAAGCTGTGAAGATTCTCCAAATTCTTAAACATTATTATAGCATATAATTTCCTTCATAAAATGCCATAACTAAATGGAAAAAAAAGTTCTTCACACCCTTATCGATTTCATAAAACAGCTCTAAATTTTTGCACTTATAGAGCTATAAAAATTAATTCTCCCTAGAGTACTCACTGAAATAATTTCATGACCTATATTTTCACATTTTAAGGTAAAATACATAGTGATCTTGCATATGACATACAGTTATGCCATAGGGAATTTAACTGCTTGGTTTCAACACAGCCCGTGCTTCTATTTCATAAGCAGTCATTTTGTGAGACTTCTTTACTTTCTCATTATTTCCTGTTCATCTTCTTTTCAGGTCCACTTTCAACAGAATAAATAGAGTTATTTATCACATATGTGATGAATCAAAAGCACTAAATCCTTGTGCATGTGTGTGTGCATGCGTGCATGTACGTGCATAATTTACAAATATCAATCATCTTCTGGATCTGGTGGAAATTACTTTGAATTATTGCTAGGATTTAAAATATACATCAAAACGTGGACATTTACAGCTAGATGCTCTATTTGAAAATCATATTGTCTATGGAGCCAATAAGATGAGCTCTCATTTAAGGTAACAAGTATCAACATGCTTCTAAAGGAAAATATTAATAACATAAGTGTGAACTTGTGACTGATTTAGAGAAAACAGAAAGCAAGCTAGAGCATAAATGGAAGCTGTTTAAAATTTTTTGTGTGATGTCTGTAAGATATAGAAAAACTAATCCTGACTTTGACAGTAAGCTGTTTACTCTGTTTAGTTCATGAGAACTCCATCTGTCCAAGTTATTTTGCTGCATGAAGAAAGGGACAGGAAATTTGCATGTAAAGACCTATTTACAAATTGATGTAATTTCATTTTAGAAAACTGTGGAAATCTACTACTTGGAGTTTTTAGTTTCTAGACTTCTGTTTCCAACTAAATAGTTTATTTATTGAGTAAATAATCATTAAGATCATTTAGGTTCTCTGGGATGTTAACATAACAAAACAGTGGATAAAATACACTAACAGTTGATTTAACTCTGAGAATATATTCACAATAAATTATCCCACTTTTGATGTTTTTATTTCCCCCACAGGAGCAACATTCAATAAACAAGTCACAGGATTACATAACTGACAAACATCACCAGAATACATAAATATGTTACTATTCCTTTTAGTCTGAAGCTATAGCTACTACATAATATTGAAGTGTATATATTAAATGTTGATTTGGGTGACATTATATTGATTACAACCTTTTATTCAAGAGCATGTCTAAAAGCTTAGCAATAACTAAGATTCATATTAGTAACCTGGAGGCCCTAAAACATTCTTCTATGTGATTAATAAAAGATTAATTATAATGTTTATGTAGTTTTCTGTTAACTAGGTAGCAAAAGTAACAGTAACATGAGGAGTAATAATAGTAATAGCAACAGCAGCTTACATTTATTGAGAAAGATGTGTTCATCATTGTCCTAGTCTTTATATCAATTATGTTGACTAATACAACCTTATGAAGTAGAGATAAGAAAAATAGGTGGTAAGTGGTATAAGGTAGGTGTTCAAGGTGACATAAGTAATAAGTGGTGAAAGTTAAGTGTTCAAGGTCAGACAGATGGCAAGTGGTAGCAATTACATGTCCAAGGTCACAAAGGTATTAACTGGTAGAGGTTTTGTGCCCAAGGTCACATAGACGCTAAGAAGTTAGTTATTCAAGTTGAAATAAAGGTAAAGGTTATTTTCTCTACTGTGGAACAGGTGGAAAGTGACAGAGTTATATGTTCAAGACCACAAAGGTGGTATGTGGTAGGATTTACATATCTGAGGCTATATAGGTGGCAAGTAATAGTCTCTCTAGTCTCAGTTTTATCATCAGTAATCTGCAGTTTTGGTCTGGTTGACTGTGGAAGACACCGCTAGTTGCCCCAAATCTGTCTTTTTTTCTGACACAGTAAGGCAGCTATAGCTGACATGACTGCCTAACGAGGACTTTATTTCCCAGTGCCCCTTGTAGACAGGTGCAGCTTAGTGATTGAGTTCTTACTAATGAAATGTCAGCAGAAGTGACACGTAATTACTTCTGGCCTAGCCTGTAAAACCTTGCACGGAGACCCTGTATCCAGGCTCACTTCACAAGCTGAAAGAAAGTACCTGAACAGGGAAGCTGTTGAGGACAATGGCTTAGGGTTTCACCCAGAAACAAACTAGAAATAAGCCAGTTCTCTAAAGGATTGGCTGGAGCATAGCTGTATGCCAACCTATAATGCTCACCTCAGACTGTAAGATGCAAAAAATGTTTATTTTCTCTAAGCCACTAAACTTGTTTTATTTGTTATATCAGCTGAGCCTTCCCTTAACTAACTTGCAGATGCCTTGAATTCTAAAATGCTGAAGTTTTAAATAATTGAAAAGTTGGTAATGTTATGGTCATAAATTTTAAAACGTATAAAGCAATAAATCATTTGATAAATCTAGAATCCCTAGCACTGACTCCTTTCCATAAGATATTTTATAATATACATCATGTCTGATGTTTAGTTCTCTGGATTCTAATCCTTTGCCTTTCTTTATATCATGGCATCACTTATTATAACTTCAACACCCCCTATCATATTTCCTTAGACTTTAATCCATACTAAAATATTAAGTAAAAACCACAATAAAGAGATCATGGTATTTTGCTACAGATAAGAAATTGTGCCAGATCAGTTTTCCAGCATTTGAACAACTTTATGCTCAGAATCCACGATTAAACTGAAAGAGATTTTCTTTCCATAATACCAATCACCTTTAGTTTTAATGAATATAAAAGAGATGAAAACTGTGAAAATAAATCAATGCATTCTTCCTCAGAAAAGCAGTTTGCAGTAAATAGTATGTTGGATAATTTAAATTATAAAAAATGTTTGATTTTTTTTAAAACAGTCCTGTGGAAATTATTCCAGTTTTGGAAAGATGGGGGCAAGTCTCAGACATGTTGCAAATTAGCTAATAGTAGCAGCTCCATCTTGTTCCATTCACAAGTGTTTCAAAATATCCATTAAGCACCCTATGAATCACGGGTGGGATGGTGTGTCACAAAAATATGTAAAACACAATTCTAACTTTACAGAAGTTTCCAATCTAGTTAGGGAGAGGAAACTAATACATTTGATGTTAAATACAAATGTGAAAGACATTCATCGAAAGAATAGTTCAATACATGCTGAAGTGAATTAGAGAAAAATTCCCAGGACAAAAGCATCTCAATTTTAATTTTGATTGGCAGCTCAAGGACTGTTTCAAAAGTGTGAAGAAACTGGAATGAACAAAGTTAATAAAAATAGTGGGACATTTCCAGGTCAGGAGAAGTAAGGAGGTGGAAATCTGGGCCGGACTAGAACAAAAATAAAGGAAGAAAAGGAAAGATGGTGCTAAATTATTGAAGACTTTGAAATGTAAGTTTAGAATTTGTGTTTGACACCATAGGAAATAAGAATAAATTATATATTTCCAAGAGAGTTGCCTGCTGAAATGTTTTAGAAATATTACTATGAAAGCTTTGTGGGAAATGAACTGAATTGATGAGAAATTGAAGACAAATAGACATCAGTTTCATGGAAATATGAAATACACATGTTGGTAAACCACAATAAGCATCATTGAGGATGTGGAGAAATCATAACCCTTATGCTCTGCTGGTAGAAAAAGAAAATGGTGAGGCTGCCTTGGAAAACAATTTGGCAGTTTTTCAAAATCCTAGACATAGAGTTACTATATGACCCAGAAATTCCATTCCCAGGTACATACCAAAGGGATTGAATGTGTATGTCTACACAAAAGTTTGAACATGAATGTTCATAGAAACATTCATCATAATAACCAAAAATGGAAATAACCTAATGTCCATTGGCTGATAAATGAAAAGGTAAAATGTGGTATATGCATACAATGGAATATTACTTGGCAATAAAAATAATGAAATACTGATACATGTTACCACATGGATGAACCTATAAAACATTATGCTAAGGATAAGACACCAGTCATAAAAGGCCAAATATCACATGACTCCATTTATATGAAATGTCCATAATAGTCAAATCTATAGAAGCAGGAAATAGATCAGGGGTTACCTAGGGTCAAAGGGGTGGAGGGCTATTGGGAGTGAATACTAGTGAGTAAAGGGTTTCTTTTGAGGCAGATAAAAACAAATGTTCTAAAATCATTGTGATGATGGTTGCACAGCTTTGTGAATATACTAAAAACCATTTAATTGCATACCTTAAATGGTTAACTTTTATGGCATATGAATTATATCTTAATAAAGTTATGTTTAAAAAGGATTTGTTGGGATAAAGATAATAGCTGGGAAAACCTTGAAATTATAGATTTACAAATAGAGCTACTATACTGATACTAGAATAAACCCTGTAAATTTCATGTATAAATATTTAGAACAAATGTATATTTTTTAATTTATATATTTATTATATATATATAAAATGTCACAAGGCCCACCCAAATTGAAGGGGAGGGGACACAGATCTGCCTGTTGATGAAAAGAACTGCAAAGTCACATTCCTAAGGGTGTGGAGATGGGGAGGAATAGATAATTGTCACCTTATTTTTCAATCTAACTGAAGTGAATGGTGGGGGGAGCATCAATAATGAATCCCTGGTTTCTTGCCTAAGAAACTGGGCAAATGATGGTGCCACTTACAGAGATGGGGCCAGTCAGGCCCTATACTGGTTTTCCCCCAGAAAATGAATAAATGTTCCATGCATGTTTCCAGTATTCTAAAAAGTAAATCTATACAAATGGCACAGCAATAATAACTGTAAGAACTGTGGTAGAATAATCAATGTAAGACCCAATTTAAGAAAACAGTTATTACTGAAAACAATACAGCATTGGGGGTAAGAGTAGAATCTACTAAACTCTCATAGCAAACACTGCCAGAATGTGTAGAATAAGTCATGATTTCCTTTGACATGTGAAGCCATATAAAGTCCAGTCTCACATGTGTCACATCAAGCTTCTTGTGGGAATTCACAAAATGCAACAATTTTCAAGGATGTTATATACACAGGCTTTATATTTAATGTGCTTTGCTATGTTTAAATCAAGTTCAAGGTCCTCCTAGGAGTAGGAAAATCCCATATGTACTATTATAGAAAAGAGCAGAGTGGGTTTGTAACAGAGGAGTCTTTGAGGTGAGGGGACACGACTGAAGGTATGCATTGTCACAAGCCAGGATGCACAATTGTACAAGAAAAAGGAAGTTAAAGTAGTTACGATTTGTCAACATGTATTCTTTGCTTAGCTCAAAGCATATTTTCAGACTATCAGCTGGTTTTATGAATGGGGTTCGACTTTTTGAATTTAACTTGCTTCTAATTATTGACTCCCATGCTCAGTGCAAGTTTCCCATGACCAAATGAAGTAAAAACTTTAGTTTTCTATCTTGGTATTCAAGGATTTCCCTAGAATTCCCCAATTTATCTCTTGCCCATATTTCTCAATCCTCTCTTACATTTAGCCAAAACAATTGTCCAAGTATGCTGTCCCACAAACACACCTTGTCCTTTGTTTCTTTGCCTTTACTTACCTCTTTATTCTCTACCTGATGCTTCCTCATGATTTCAACTCTTCAAAAATTGTATTTGTCTTTCAACTTAGGACTCCAACCAATTCCAGGAGCTTATTAGAATTTCTGTTTCTTGAACTTCCACTCTACTTTGTGAATAATCCTTGTCATTTATTTCAGTCTGGCTTCTACTGCATTTTTGTTTATCCCCTACATTCTTGTATATTTCCTGATGAGACATGAATCCACTTGCAGGGTGAAGTTGCCAGGAGCGGGATGTGAGAAGTGAGATCTGAAGCCCCCCAACTCCACCAACAAAATGGTTCCATTGTTATCTGCTTCATATACTGGTCTATAGAATTCCACGTAATATGTCATTAGAAAAAAAAAGAGTTCTGTAGGTGTTTAAAAGTTTTAAAACTACTGTTTACTTATTTTTGCATCCTCTGGTGTTCTAGACATAATCTTCTTCCCATGGTAGTGGGCAGCAGTATATGTAAGCTAAAATTGTTATGATATATAAAATTGTTCTCTTACTGCCAGAAGGAACAATAAAGGAATATCAAATATGAGAAATCACATATTAAGTCAGTTGGCATATATTACTGATAATTGCAAATCATTTGCTAAAAAATAAAAGTGGCAATCCAGCAGAAAAATAAGCACTTTTAAGCACTATTACATAAGGTAATTGTCAGTGATGGGTTCAATTGGGATCAAATAGCCATGAAAAGAAGCAAAATCACAACTTCCTAAATCATCAGAACTTCTTAAAATAAGTGGTGAACTAAGATACGAGCAAGTATTAAATTGTAGTGTGTATTCACTCCTGCACTCCTGACATAAGTATTCAATCATAACTATAATATTTCATACCATCTTAAGCCTCCATCTTTGCTTTATCCAGTCTGGTGGGCAAAATAATGCCCATCAACATATGATCACATCCTAATCCCACAGACCTGTGAATATGTTACATTAGATAGCAAGGGAGAGTTAAGGTTGCAGACAGAATTAAGGTTGCTTAGCAGCTGAAGTTATGGTAAGGAAATTATCCTGGATTATCCAGGTGGATTCAAATGTAACCACAAGGTTTTCTTTCTTTTCTTTTTTTTTTTTTTTCAGATGAAGTCTCGCTCTGTCACCAGGCTGGAGCATAGTGGTGTGATCTTGGCTAACTGCAACGTCCGCCTCCCGGGTTCAAACAATTCTCCTGCCTCAGCCTCCCGAGTAGCTGGAACTACAGGCATGAGCCACCATGCCCGGATTATTTTTGTATTTTTAGTAGAGACGAGGTTTCACCATGTTGGCGAGGACACAAGGTTTTCTTAAATGTAGAAGAAAGAAACAGGACAGTCTGAACCAGAGAGATGGCATTATAAGAATGGTTTTGCTGGCTTCGAAGATTTCAAAAGAAACTTGAATCAAGAAATCCAGGAATCTTCCAGGAGTTGTAAAAGGCAAGAAAATGGATTCTTTCTTGGAGCCTCCATGAGGGAATACAGCCCTGTCAACACCTTTATTTTAGTCCAATAAGACCCATTTCATATTTTGACCCCTAGAACCATAAGATAAATTTGTCTTGTTTGAAGCCATTAAGTTTGTGGTAATTTTACACAGCAGCAATAGGGAGCTAATACACTTCCCAAGTTATTTAAACCATCCCCCAGATGCCCAGAAACTGCTCCCTCCTTACTAAATATCTTTCCTATTTCAGTCACCTGTCATTACTCCCAAACTATATTTATTTGTAAGATGATCATTATAATTTGATAAGATAGTGGTATTTTCTATGAATTTCTTTGTCAGAAAAATTACCGGGAGAGTTATTACCAGGCCTAATGAATATTTAAGCCATGATTATTCAGCTATTTTAATTAATGTCATTTCAGACACCAATCTAGAAGCAAAATGTATTCTTGACTCCTCAAATAGTACACACTAACTTTATTGTTATTTTTAATTTTAAGGAGATAAACTTGCTGTTTGTGTTATGAGTTGATCTCTCCTAAAAAACCTATTTTTAGAAAATTGGGCATTGTTGTTACAAAGAGAATAAAATGCCTAGGAATGTAGCTAACAAGGGAAGTGAAAGCCCTCTTTCTGGAGAACTACAAACCATTGCTCAAGAAAATCAGAGAGGACAAAAATAAATGGAAAAACATTCCATGCTCATTAATAGAAAGAACAAATATTGTGAAAATGGCCATACTGCACAAAGTAATTTACAGATTCTATGCTATTCCCATTAAACTACCATTGATATTCTTCACAGAATTAAAAAAAAAGCTACTTTAAAATTCATGTGGAAGCAAAAAAGAGCCCGTATAGCCAAGACAATCCTAAGCAAACAAAGAACAAAAGTAGAGGCATCATGCTGACTTTGAACTATACCAGAAGGCTACAGTAACCAAAACAACATGATACAGGTACAAAAACAGACACCAGACCAATAGAACAGAATAGAGGTCTTAGAAATAAGACCACATATTTATAACCATCTGATATTCAACAAACCTGACAAATACATGCAATGGAGAAAGGATCTCCTATTCAGTAAATCGTGCTGGGAAAACCACTAGCTGTATATAGAAAACTGAAACTGGACCCCTTCCTTACACTTTATACAAAAATTAATTCAAGATGGACTAAAGACTTAAATGTAAAACCCAGAACCATAAAAACCCTAGAAGAAAACCTAGGCAACACCATTCAGAACATAGGCATGGGTGAAGACTTCATGACAAAAATGGCAAAATCAATTGCAAGAAAAGCCAAAATGGACAAATGGGGTCTAATTAAACTAAGGAGCTTCTGCACAGCAAAAGAAACTGTCATCAGAGTAAACAGGCAACCTACAGAATGGGAGAAAATTTTTGCAATTTATCCATCTGACAAATGTCTAATATCCAGAAATTACATGGAACTTAAACATATTTACAAGAAAAAGACAACCCCATCAAAAACTGGGAAAACGATGTGAACAGACACTTCTCAAAAGAATATATTTACGTGGCCAAAAAACATATGAAAAAGGCTCAATATCACTGATCATCAGAGAAATGCAAATCAAAACCACAATGAGATACAATCTCATGCCAGTCAGAATGGCGATTATTAAAAAGTCAGAAAACAATAGATGCTGGCAAGGCTGTGGAGAAATAAGAATGCTTTTACATTGTTGACGGGAATGTAAATTAGTTCAACCATTGTGGAAGACAGTATGGTAATTCCTCAAGGATCTAGAGCCAGAAATACCATTTAACCCAGCAATCAGATTACTGGGTATATACCCAAAGGAATATAAATCACTCTATTATAAAGCTACATGTACACATATATTCATTGCTATTCTTATTCACAATAGCAAAGACATGGAATTAACCCAAATGCCCATCAATGATAGACCAGACAAAGAAAATGTGGTACATATACACCATAGAATACTATGCAGTCATAAGAAGAAAGAGATCATGTCCTTTCCGGGACATGGATGGAGCTGGAAGCCATTATCCTCCAAACACCACATGTTCTCACTGATAAGTGAGAGCTGAACAATGAGAACACATGGACACTAGGAGGAGGAGAACAACACACACTGGGGCCTGTCGGAAGGGGCTGGGAGAGGGAGAGTATCAGGATAAATAGCTAATACACATGGGGCTTAATACCTAGGTGATGGGTTCACAGGTGCAGCAAACCACCATGGCACATATTAACCTATGTAACAAACCTGCACATCCTGCACATGTATCAAATAAATAAAGACACACACACACACATATACACATATATATATGGATGAAGAGGAAAAAGAAGAAAATTAGGCATTGTTTCATCTTCCTATAATAGGTATGTAGGTGGAGCATAAGTGAATGAGAATAATTATAGTGATCTCATTTTTAACACAATTTCATCAAGATATTTCAAATGTATTTAAAAGATTGTCAAGGTCAGATAAAATTAAGAATTGAAGAAGAAATCATATTAGTGTTTATGGATGCATAGATTTCTTCTGTTTAAAAAATACATTTATGGAGTACCTTTTAGAAAATGTGACTCTTTTAATGTAAAAATTAAAAAAAATCACTAGAGAGGTTCCAAGATGGCTGAATAGGAACAGCTCCAGTCTACAGCTCCCAGCGTGAGCGACACAGAAGACAGGTGATTTCTGCATTTCCAACTGAGGTACTGGGTTCATCTCACTGAGGCTTGTCAGACAGTGGATGCAGGAGAGTGGGTGCAGCCCACGGACCATGAGCTGAAGCAAGTGAAGCATCGCTTCACCCAGAAAGCGCAAGGGGTTGGGGAATTCCCTTTCCTAGCCAGGGGAAGCTGTGACAGATGGCACCTGGAAAATCAGGTCATTCCCAACCTAATACTGAGCTTTTCCATTGGTCTTAGCAAATGGCACACCAGGAGATTATATCCCGCACATGGCTCAGAGGGTCCCATGCCCACAGAGCCTTGATCACTGCTGGCACAGCAGTCTGAGATCAAACTGCAAGGCAGCAGCAAGGCTGGGGGAGGGGCACTGGCCATTGCTGAGGCTTGAGTCAGTATACAAAGCAGCCAGGAAGCTCGAACTGGGTGGAGTCCACCACAGCTAAAGGAGGCCTGCCTGCCTCTGTAGACTCCACATCTGGGGGCAAGGGATAACTGAGCTAAAGGCAGCAGAAACTTCCACAGACCTAAACATCCCTGTCTGACAGCTTTGAAGAGGGTAGTGGTTCTCCCAGCATGGAGTTTGAGATCTGAGAACAGACAGACTGCCTCCTCAAGTGGGTCCCTGACCCCCGAGTAGCCTAACTGGGAGGCAACTCCCAGTAGGGGCCGACTGACACTTCATACGGCCAGGTGCCCCTCTGAGACGAAGCTTCCAGAGGAATGATCAGGCAGCAACATTTGCCGTTCTGCAATCTTTGCTATTCTGCAGCCTCTGCTGGTGACACCGAGGGAAACAGGGTCTGGAGTGGACCTGCAGCAAACTCCAACAGACCTGCAGCTGAAGGTCCTGACTGTTAGAAGGAAAACTAACAAACAGAAAGGACATCCACACCAAAAACCCATCTGTACGTGACCATCATCAAAGACCACAGGTAGATAAAACCACAAAGATGGGGAGAAACCAGAGCAGAAAAGCTGAAAATTCTAAAAATCACGGCACCTCTTCTCCAAAGGAACGCAGCTCCTCGCCAGCAATGGAACAAAGCTGGACAGAGAATGACTTTGATGAGTTGAGAGAAGAAGGCTTCAGAAGATGAGCAATAACGAACTTCTCTGAGCTAAAGGGGGATATTCGAACCCACTGCAAAGATAAAAACCTTGTAAAAAGATTGGACGAATGGCTAACTAGAATAAATAACATAGAGAAGACCTTAAATGACCTGATGGAGCTGAAAACCACGGCACAAGAACTACAAGATGCATGAAAAAGCTTCAGTAGACAATTCAATCAACTGGAAGAAAGGGTATCAGTGAATGAAGATCAAATGAATGAAATCAAGCAAGAAGAGAAGTTTAGAGAAAAAAGAGTAAAAAGAAATGAGCAAAGCCTCCAAGAAATATGGGACTATGTGAAAACACCAAATCTATGTCTGATTGGTGTACCTGAAAGTGATGGGGAAAATGGAATCAAGTTGGAAAACACTCTTCAGGATATTATCCAGGAGAATTTCCCCAACCTAGCAAGGCAGGCCAACATTCAAATTCAGGAAATACAGAGAATGCCACAAAGATACTCCTCAAGAAGAGCAACTCCAATACACATAATTGTCAGATTCACCAAAGTTGAAATGAAGGAAAAATGTTAAGGGCAGACAGAGAGAAAGGTCAAGTTACCCACAAAGGGAAGCCCATCAGACTAACAATGTATCTCTCGGCAGAAACTCTACAAGCCAGAAGAGAGTGGGGGCCAATATTCAACATTCTTAAAGAAAAGAATTTTCAACCCAGAATTTCATATCCAGCCAAACTAAGCTTCATAAGTGAAGCAGAAATAAAATCCTTTACAGACAAGCAAATGCCGAGAGATTTTGTCACCACCAGGCCTGCCTTACAAGAGCTCCTGAAGGAAGCACTAAACATGGAAAGGAACAACCAGTAACAGCCACTGCAAAAACATGCCAAATTGTAAAGATCATCAATGCTAGGAAGAAACTGCACCAACTAACAAGCAAAATAAACAGCTAACATCATAATGACAGGATCAACTTCACACATAAATATTAACCTTAAATGTAAATGGGCTACATGCTCCAATTAAAAGACACAGACTGGTAAGTTGGATAAAGAGTCAAGACCCATCAGTGTGCTATATTCAGGAGACCCATCTCACATGCAGAGACACACATTGGCTCAAAATAACGGGATGGAGGAAGATCTACTAAGCAAGTGGAAAACAAAAAAAAGCAGGAGTTGCAATCCAAGTCTCTGATAAAACAGACTTTAAACCAACAAAGATCAAAAGAGATAAAGAGGGCCATTACATAATGGTAAAGGGATCAATTCAACAAGAAGAGCTAACTATCCTAAACATATATGCACCCAATACAGGAGCACCAAGATTCATAAAGCAAGTCCTTAGAGACCTACAAAGAGACTTAGACTCCCAAACAATAATAATGGGAGACTTTAACACCCCACTGTCAACATTAGACAGATCAATGAGACAGAAAGTTGACAACAATGTACAGGAAGTGAACTCAGCTCTGCACCAAGAGGACCTAATAGACATCTACAGAACTCTCCACCCCAAATCAACAGAATATACATTCTTCTCAGCACCACATCACACTTATTTCAAAATTGACCACATAGTTGGAAGTAATGCACTCCTCAGCAAATGTAAAAGAACAGAAATTATAACAAACTGTCTCTCAGACCACAGTGCAATCAAACTAGAACTCAGGCTAAAGAAACTCACTCAAAATCGCTCAACTACATGGAAACTGAACAACCTGCTCCTGAATGACTACTGGGTACATAATGAAATGAAGGCAGAAATAAAGATGTTCTTTGAAACCAACGAGAACAAAGACACAACATACCAGAATCTCTGAGACACATTTAAGCAGTGTGTAGAGGGAAATTTATAGCACTAAATGCCCACAAGAGAAAGCAGGAAAGATCTAAAATTGACACCGTAACATCACAATTAAAAGAACTAGAGAAGCAAGAGCAAACACATGCAAAAGCTAGCAGAAGGCAAGAAATAACTAAGATCAGGGCAGAACTGAAGGAGACAGAGACACAAAAGACCCTTCAAAAAATCAATGAATCCAGGAGGTGGTTTTTTGAAAAGACAACAACATTGATAGACCGCTAGCAAGACTAACAAAGAATAAAAGAGAGAAGAATCAAATAGATGCAATAAAAAATGATAAAGGGGATATCACCACCGATCCCACAGAGATACAAACTACCATCAGAGAATACTATAAACACCTTCACACAAATAAACTAGAAAATCTAGAAGAAATGGATAAATTCCTGGACACATACACCCTCCCAAGACTAAAGCAGGAAGAAACTGAATCTCTGAATAGACCAATAACAGGCTCTGAAATTCAGGCAATAATTTACAGCCTACCAACCAGAAAAAGTCCAGGACCAGACAGATTCACAGCCGAATTCTACCAGAGATACAGAGATGAGCTGGTACCATTCCTTCTGAAACTATTTCAATCAATAGAAAAAGAAGGAATCCTCCCTAACTCATTTTATGAGGCCAGCATCATCCTGATTCCAAAGCCTGGCAGAGGCACAACAAAAAAAGAGAATTTTAGACCAATATCCTTGATGAACATTGATGCAAAAATCCTCAATAAAATACTGGCAAACTGAATCCAGCAGCACATCAAAAAGCTTATCCACCATGATCAAGTGGGCTTCTTCCCTGGGATGCAAGGCTGGTTCAACATACGCAAATCAATAAACGTAATCCATCATATAAACAGAACCAAAAACAAAAACCACATGATTATCTCAAAAGATGCAGGAAAGACCTTTGACAAAATTCAACAGCCCTTCAAGCTAAAAACTCTCAATAAGTTAGGTATTGATGGGACATATCTGAAAATAATAAGAGCTATCTATGACAAACCCATTCAGCGAATATCATACTGAATGGGCAAGAACTGGAAGCATTCCCTTTGAAAACTGGCACAAGACAGGGATGCCCTCTCTCACCACTCCTATTCAACATAGTGTTGGAAATTCTGGCCAGGGCAATCAGGCAGGAGAAAGAAATAAAGGGTATTCAATTAGGAAAAGAGGAAGTCAAATTGTCCCTGTTTGCAGACGACATGATTGTATATTTAGAAAACCCCATCATCTCAGCCCAAAATCTCCTTAAACTGATAAGCAACTTCAGCAAAGTCTCAGGATACAAAATCAATGTGCAAAAATCACAAGCATTCCTATATACGAATAACAGATGAACAGAGAGCCAAATCATGAATGAACTCCCATTCACAATTGCTTCAAAGAGAATAAAATACCTAGGAATCCAACCTATAAGGGATGCGAACGACCTCTTCAAGGAGAACTACAAACCACTGCTCAATGAAATAAAAAAGGACACAAACAAATGGAAGGACATTCCATGCTCACGGATAGGAAGAATCAATATCGTGAAAATGGCCATACTGCCCAAGGTAATTTATAGATTCAATGCCATCCCCATCAAGCTACCAATGACTTTCTTCACAGAATTGGAAAAAACTACTTTAAAGTTCATATGGAACCAAAAAAGAGCCTGTATTGCCAATACAATCCTAAGCCAAAAGAACAAAGCTGGAGGCATCATGCTACCTGACTTCAAACTATACTACAAGGCTACAGTAACCAAAACAGCATGGTACTGGTACCAAAACAGAGATATAGACCAATGGAACAGAACAGAGCCCTCAGAAATAATACCATACATCTACAACCATCTGATCTTTGACAAACCTGACCAAAACAAGAAATGGGGAAAGGATTCCCTATTTAATAAATGGTGCTGAGAAAACTGGCTAGCCATATGTAGAAAGCTGAAACTGGATCCCTTCCTCACACCTTATAGAAACATTAATTCAAGATGGATTAAAGACTTAAATGTCAGACCTAAACCATAAAAACCCTAGAAGAAAACCTAGGCAATACCATTCAGGACATAGGCATGGGCAAGGACTTCATGTCTAAAACACCAAAAGCAATGGCAACAAAGCCAAAATTGAGGAATGGGATCTAATTAAACTAAAGAGCTTCTGCACAGCAAAAGAAACTACCATCAAAGTGAACAGGCAACCTACAGAATGGGAGAAAATTTTTGCAATCTACTCATCTGACAAAGGGCTAATATCCAGAATCTACAAAGAATTTAAACAAATTTACAAGAAAAAAACATACAACCTCATCAAAAAGTGGGTGAAGGATATGAACAGATGCTTCTCAAAAGAAGACATTTATGCAGCCAACAGAAACATGAAAAAATGCTCATCATCACTGTCCATCAGAGAAATGCAAATCAAAACCACAATGAGATACCATCTCACACCAGTTAGAATGGCGATCATTAAAAAGTCAGAAAACAACAGGTGCTGGAGAGGATGTGGAGAAATAGGAACACTTTTACACTGTTGCTGGGACTGTAAACTAGTTCAAGCATTGCAGAAGACAGTGTGGCAATTCCTCAAGGATCTAGAACTAGAAATACCATTTGGCCCAGCCATCCCATTACTGAGTATATACCCAAATGATTATAAATCATACTGCCATAAAGACACTTGCATATGTATGTTTACTGTGGCACTATTCACAATAGCAATGACTTGGAACCAACCCAAATGTCCATCAACGATAGACTGGGTTAAGAAAATGTGGCACATAAACACCATGGAATACTATGCAGCCATAAAAAAGGATGAGTTCATGTCCTTTGTAGGAACATGGATGAAGCTGGAAACCATCATACTCAGCAAACTATCCCAAGGACAGAAAACCAAACACTGCATGTTCTCACTCATAGTTGGGAATTGAACAATGAGAACACTTGGACACAGAGTGGGGAACACCACACACCAGGGCCTCTTGTGGGGTGGAGAGATGGGGGAGGGATGGCATTAGGACATATACCTAATGTAAATGATGAGTTAATGGGTGCAGCACACCAACATGGCACATGTATACATATGTAACAAACCTGCATGTTGTGCACATGTATCCTAGAACTTAAAGTGTAATAAGAAAAAAAAAATCACCAGTCAAGATTTGCCAATATACTGACTTTCGACAGTGAATCTCTCTAAATCTCAGTTTTTTCATATCTAAAACTGAGCTGATTTTACCTAGATTGGTTCTGAGGATAAAATGAGATGATATATTTAAGGCAACTTGTAACCTGCTAAATAACTTTTTTTTTTTTTTTAAGAGATAGGGAGTCTCACTCTATCACACAGGCTGGAGTGTAGTAATACAATAATAGCTCACTGCAGCCTCAAACTCCTGGGCTCAAGGGATCCTCTTGCCTCAGCTTCCTGAGGAGCTGGGACTACAGGTGCACCCCACTATGTCTGGCTCCAAATCACTCATTTTCCCAGATCCTACTATTAGCCAAACACCAAAAAGGGCACACAATTGTTAACACATTAACACATAATTAGGCAATATATTAATAATTAACATATAATATTATATATATTACATATATAAGAGAATTCTATGATGACCCACGAATAACACAAATTGGGAGGGAAATGATGAGGTATCTCTGTACTTAGGGTATCAGAGTGCCTACTATGTGCCAGGCACTAGGCATTCTAAGTGTTTTATGCATGTTATATCATTTAACCCTCCAATCATGCTATTGTTTTTTTCTTTTTATTAATGAGAAAGGCTTAGAAAATTTACTAACTTTTCCAAGGTCTGGCAACAATAAGTTTTAAATCCAAGTCTATTTACTTACTTATTCATTTAACAAATAATTACTAAGCATCTATGTTGTGTGAGACAGTGTCCCAAAGATGATCAGTGAAGTCTTATGACAAAGATGTTAAATCTGACATGTTGTTAGACACCTAAGTGTAATTGTCAAGCAGGCAATTGTAATTGTCAAGCAGGTGAATATATGAGAGAAGGCAACATTTGGGTAATTGCCTAAAGGTAGCCAGGGAGTTTGGCATGCAGACCTCTGAGTGGAAAGCACTTAAGGGAGAATAAACAACAAGTAGAAAGGCCCTTGGATGAAAGGCTGGTATGGCTGAGGCTAAGTGAGAACACGGAAAAGCACCAGAAAATGAAATCAGAATGACAAAGGGTGGAGAGGGGAAGATCATACATGACCTTGTAGATCATAGTCAGGTCTTTAAGCTTGTTCATGATACGAAAATGAGATTTTTTTTCTAGGAGGCCATGTTTTAATGGATCACTTTGGCTTATTACACTGAAAACAATCAAGAGAGGAAACAAAGACTGGTTAGAACACATCTTCAATAATCCAGAAAACAGAAGGTACCAACTTGTACAAGTATGATAACAGTAGAAGAGTGACAAACCGTAAGATTCTCAATATATTTGAAAGTTGAACCTACAGGATTTGCAGATAATTTAATGTGGAGTGTAAGAGAAAGAAAGGAGTCAAAAATGACAGCAACATTTGCAGCCTGAACAACCAGAAAGATCAGTTGCCATTAACTTTTGGGAAGAAAGGATTAGATTGGAAATATCAGGAGCTTAGACTTGGACATAGTAAGGTTGATATTCTTATTAGACATTCAAGTATATTTGTCAGGTAGGAAACTGGATATTTCAGACTGGAGTTTGAGGCAAGAGTCTGGGCAGGAGAAATAAATTTGGAACTCATCAACATATAAATTTAAATCCCAGATCTGTTTGATTCCTAGCTCTTAACTGTTGAGAGCAATTTTCCATTGCATTTCTTCAATTTTTGTATAGCAAATATTCTTGGAAATAAGAAAGACTTTCTCCCTCTAGGTCAGAGAACAGATTTGTCTCCTGATCAAGATAATAAAGACATTGTCTCTCTCAGGAACAAAAATCGGATATGTTGACTTAAAACATGCAGCTCCTTAAAAGATTGACTTCCCAAGCTCAGCATTTCTCAGCTGCAACACAAACCCACTGTGTGTGCAGCGCCCACCAGGGCCCACTCTGCATCACCCCCATAAGCTGAAGAAAGGGCAAGGGAAACAATGCAATCCTGAAACCCATACTGCCTAATGCCCCATGAGTAAGAAACTGACTAAATCTATTCAGGTTCATTATTTCCTTACCAACCAAATTTACAGAAGTGTGGGAAGTGAGTCAATCTAGCAGCTTAAATAGTAGTGGCTGCTTAGGGACTACTTGACCACTTAACAAAACCTACTAATATTTTTGGCTATCTGGGAAAAATGGAACTTAATATTGAGGGACTAGAAATGAGGTGGGACGGGACAGAGACAGAATGGAAAAACAAACATTCCAGACAGAAGGAACAGCATAATAAAGGTCTTGAGGTGAAGAAGAGTGTAACTATTAAGGGAAACCAGAACTAAGCCTACTAAAGACTTCATCCAGAGATCTTTTGACCTGCACATTATACCATAAACTTCTATCTTTCTGAGGCTAAAACAAAACTTATCTTTCCATATCATTATTGTGTAAGTTAAACTGTCTGAGAATAAATAATCCCCATTGAGGTACAAGTGCATTGCAGGTAAATTGGGTCAGGAAAGAAGCTTACAAGTCTCAGACTTAAAAGTAATAAAAACTGTATCTCAATAAAACTAAGCACAATAGCTCAGTACAAATAGCATATAGTGGGAGTACAAAACTGAAGGAGGTGGGTATGGAGAGCGAGTATAGATTCAGGAGGGGCCTTTCATGCTCTGCTTTGAAGGAAGTTAAACTTTGTCTTGAGGTTTAATGAGAATCATTGAAAATTTTGTAACAAGGGCAAAGACATTCTCTGGTTTGAAGTTTACATATAAAATCACTCAGATACTAGAGAGAAAGTTGAACTGGAGAAGAAGAATTGTGATAGAAGCAGATAAGCCAGTGAGGCTGTTGTTGCAGTAATCCATACCAGAAATAATACAGTTCAGTACAAAGATATTAGCAAAGGGGGTTAAAAGAAGGAGTCAAATTCAAAATACATTTAGCAGTGAAAATCAATTAACCTTAAATTTCAATAGACTAATTCCAACTGTACGTAAGAGAATAATTTGGGGTCATTTTCTTGTGTAATAAGAAAAGAGATGGGCACATGTATTAGTCAGGGTCCTCCAAAGAAATAGAACCAAAAGGACATATATAGATATGTAAAGAAAGATTTATCATGAGGAATTGGTTCATTTGATTATGAAGGCTGAGAAGTCCCCAAATCTTCCCTCTGCAAATTAGAGGCCTGGGAATGCTGCGGCATAGTTCCAGCCCAAACCCGAAGTCCTGAGAACCAGGGAAGCCCGTGATCTAAACCCAATCCAAGTCTGAAGGCCTGAAATCAGGAGTACCGATATCCAAAGGTGGAAGAAGACGGATGGCTCAGCTCCTGAAAAGAGAACAAATTTGCCCTTCCTCCGGATTTTTGTTCTGTTCAGGCCCTCAGTGGTCTCAGATGATGTCCACTCATCAGTGAGGGCCATCTCACTAATCCAAATTCAAAACTCTTACAGAAATATCCTCACAATCAAACCGAGAAATAATATTTTACCAGCTATCTGGGCATCCTTAAGTCTAGTCAAGTTGATACATAAAATGACCTTCACAACACAGTTGCTAAACTCTTGTCAGAACTCTGTGTTGACATGTCTATGCAGCTCTTTCTCTTTTTCAAGCAGTAGCCTTGAGCATCATATCTTCAAACAGCAATGTTCATAACAGGAAGTAAAAGGATGAGCCCTCTGCATAGGCATCTCTGTTTCGTAATCAGAGAGAAAGGTCTTTCCCAGAAGACTTGAAGCTCATCTTCCTCAATGTCCCATTAATGAGGATTAGGTAAAATGTCCATTCCTTAAATGCAAGGAAAATTGAGAAAGCAAAATCTGGCCTTTCAGCCTCTAAAATAGGTGGCAGTTTCCAGCAATAAGAAGAGAGGGTTGAAACTGGCTGGTGTAGAGATAAGCAATAATGTCTCCAAGAGTCGTTGATTAGATGTGGAGGCTGAGAAAGAAAGTGAAGTCCAAATTATTGCCAAGACACCTGGCTTGGGCCATTGGCCAGATGGTATTGCCATTCACTGAAATAAACAATGAAATAAGAATGGATATGGGGTAAAGAGTGCTGAGATCTCTTTGAACACATCTGAATTTCCAGCTGTAAAGCCTAGAGCTCAGTTTCATAGGAACTTAGAGCTCAAGCTTGAGAGGAAGGCTAGAGTTTAAAATTTCAGACAATATAACTGAAGTCATAGGATGGAAGTGTTTGTTCAGAGATAATGTATAAAGTGAGAAGAGAGCCAAAGAAGAAATCTGGGAAAGAAAAGCCCATTTGAGAGATTAAAAAGGAAAGTCCACAAAGGTAAGAAGGAAAGCAGGAAGAGAAAAATATTTTTAAATGGAAGAGAGGTCAATGGAACTAAATGCTTCCCAGAGATCAAATAGGAAGATCAAGAGTGCCCATCAATTTTAACAGTGAATATGTCATGGTGACTGTTGCCAAGCAAGACAAATATCTAGGAAGTTAATTGTAGAGGATTTTTTTATTGTTGGTATTGGGTTGTTATACTGTTTATTTTTGAATAAGACCATTGTGAGCCCATGAGGAGAGAGCTGGAAGACAAGGGAGCAAGGGCAAACTATAATAGCTATACAATTGTAATATACAATTGTCAGGAAGTGTCTGTGCCTTGGATCTTTGTAGAACCAGCACGGTCACCTATTAAGTCTACCTCCTTCTTCCCAACATATAAAATATTAGCAGCCACTTCTCCAGTTTCACCTTTTGCCTTTTATTGCCATTTCATTCTCTAAAGAATACATTTTCTTTTTCAAGGTTAACTTTGTTGATACTAGTTTGTTCACTACTCACAAAAATGGAAAAAAATGAAATTTAAGGGACATACTATCCAAAGACAAGCACAATTCCCATGGTAATAATCTGAGACAGAGCCCCAGTTCATATGGAAAAGTTGCTATTCAAGAAAATCTCCTAAAATTTCTGATCACTCTATTTTGTGTTTTCTTTTTGAGTTATCTGGTAAATCTGTTAAATCTAACAAATGAAAATGGACACTATGTTTTATATTGTAGAAAACTTCAGTTTAATGGATTTTTAAGTAGTTTTTGCTGCCTGTTGCTGCTATTCTATAGAAGGGCATCCAGAGTGACCTGCTATCCATAAAGATGGACTAGAAAAAGCAAAACCCACAGTTTATATGAAAATGCAGTAGTACTATCAGCATAGCCTGTCTTATATCAGTTTCAATCACGCCCTCTTGTGTAAAAGTGTAGCACAGCAGCAGCTTTCATTGTAAATAGAAATAACATTGAATACCGAGCACCTACCATGTTCAGGCTTTATGCTAAATGCCAAGAATATAGCTGAGGACAGACCTACAAAGTCCTCATATTCATGAAAGTTATTCAGGACTCATTTTAATAACTCTGGAAGTTTAAATTCTATTCCAAAACCTCTATGAATATGAAGCATTTCACTGTATGGTACAAATAGTTTTATCAATAAAAGAGAAGTATTGTCAATAATTTCTTTGGCATATAATCTTAAATTATTTATTCAGTATGCCTCTAAACTTTTCTCTTTAGCTTCCATTGGTAAATTTTAGAATACACTGACTAAGTTTTACAGCTATTTTTTTACAACAATATATTCTTCAATACAATACCTTGTGATATTTAATTCTAAAGCCCTTATTTAATCTTAGTGTTAGTTGTCATTGGAAAGCCTCTGAGGCTATAATTTCACAGTTTATGATCCCAGGAAAACTTCCTTTATTAATTTACAGTCAAGAGACAGCGCTTTACTCTGTTATTAAAATTGAAATTCCCTAAATCTCATTATATATTCTTACCATCTGCATTTTTATGATTCTTGTCTAAAGAAATCTTAAGAACATCTCAGTTCTGATATAAATTTTTCAGACTTTACTGTCTGGCTTTTTTGTCTTTCAAAATCAAAAACTCTTGTTTTAATTTAAAAGAATAGTGACTAAATTGAAATGGCAGCATATAAATGATGTTTTATGTTGCTCAGAATGAACCTTCCTATAATAAACGCAAATATGATAAGATGTAAACCATGGTGGACAGGTTTGGTAAAATTAGATTTTAATAAAATATTTAAATCAATAATCATTCATGCTAGCTTTTGATTACACAAAGACTATTGCTTCACCATTAGCAGTTAAATCATCTTATCTCTGCAACAGGCGCTTGTTCCTTCATTTCTACTTGTGAACACTGCACCTTGCTCATTTAATCAATTGTCCTCTTACTCTTTCTGTGATAAGCCTTTATTCTACTTCAGTGTTTGTGTGGAGGGGGACAATCTGGTTAAAGTTAGTCTTGCAAGTGGTGACTTTAGCATTTCCCCCAACTTCATCAAGCCTAAAATGACTGAAATAAACGTAAAATTTAATTAAAAATAATTAGCCTGCTATGCAAATGTATCTTCAAGTCAGTTTCCCCATCTCTCCTTATAACCAGATGGCTGACTAAAATCCCAAATCACATTAACAATCTAAATGCCCCTTTCACCCTCTTAGACTGTACATTTTCTGTAAGAAGTGGGTGATGTGAGCATATTCCACTTTCCTGTAGGAAGGCTTTTATTCTATCTGATTATATTTTCAACTATCTGGCTAAAATTATGAATGAAAGCTTATTAAACCCTTAGACATCCTGTATTGCTTGCCTTGTCAATGGAGGCCCAACTCATGAGCTAAGAAACCTGATCTGACACACATTTTCTCCTGCATGAGGCAAAATGTGTGGCAACACCTTTGCTCAGGAGCATGAAACCCATCTTGGAACATATATCCAACATCTCTGAGAGCCTTGTCATCATTCCTGAGGGTACAGGGAACAAAACAAGGCCACATCCTTTCTCCGATGCATTACGGCAGATGTGTATCCATTAGCAATAGCTACCATGATGTGCAATAAGTGAACACAAAGCTCAATCAGATTAGAAAGGAAGTAGAATAAGGAAGTAGAGAATTAAGGTTATTTTTGCAGTCAGTATGCCACAAGATGGCAAGTAATTATTTCTATAAAATTATCTTCTTTCTGAATCAAATCTGACCTTATTTTTGCTTTTATTACATAATCTGAGCAAAAAAATTTATACACAAACACATGCATATACAAACTTTCTGGGTACCCTTTAGTAATATACACGCGCTCGCTCATGCTGATCTACATTTCTTCAGTTTCTACTTCTAGCACCAAGATCCTCCAAGATTTTGACTGACTTCTCATCTACGGGCTTACAAATGTTTTCAATTTCCTTTTACATAATTCAGACAAGAAAAATGAAATACAAAATATTAAGAAAGACATTAACCTTCAATTTATATGAAACTTCCAAATAACATCTTTTTATTTTTATTTCCTGAGAATTTTGAACTTGATTCCATGAACACAGTATTTTTCAATCAGGTTTTATGCTTAACACAGTTATAAATAATTGCTGATAATGACTTTTTAATAAAGATCTCTCTGAAAATTTAATACTCACCCTTTATAGAGAGCAAACAAGTTGTAACAACTGGCAGAAGAAAATGTATTGCTTTTTCACCAACCACAGCAACACATTTTTCAGCATTAGACAGAATTTGGGTAATGAGATTTTACTGAATTGTATTGGAAGGGGCCAACCATTCTTTAAATCCAGCTGAGATCATTCATAGGGATTTGATTTACCCTCTTGACTTAACTAAGGAATGGGACAAAATGTATGAAACAACATCTTTGAAAACACTGGACATTCAGCAGTGAAGGACAGAGTTTCCTAAGTGATGAGGAACAAAAAAACGAGCCCTACGGTTGTCTTAGATTAATGTCTACAGAAAGTTTCCATGTTGTAGTATAGGGCAAAGGAACTCAGACAGAGACCCACTGTCTCACTGTTGAGAGGACAGAACTGGGAGTCCAGGAAAGCCAAGGTGGCTAAGTTTGCAAGGCAAAGAACCAAGAGGAGAGAGCTACACAGAAAGAGAACTCTGGAGATCTCTGCACAGTAAGAGAACTCTGGAAGTGTTCCCCTGGAGGATTCAGCTGAGTATTGATCAGCACAAGTATCTGAGGAAATTATGTGAGCCTAGGGAAAGAGATACCTGAAAGGTTAGAGAACAGTGTCTGAGGCACATGTAGGGAAAGACGTATTGTCTGTACCCACAACTAGAAGAGAAAACACCATAATTCATGAAGTAAAGTTTAGAATACTAAGAAAGTTCTTACTTCCGTAATAGGGAAAGTTGACCTTAGAAAAAAGCCCTGCTCTAATCCTACCTAAAGATGAATAAAAACAAGTCTGAAATGGACCAAACGATTTCCTAACAGTTCTAAGTAACTTAGCCATGTCCCAAAACAAATCTCAAGGATATTTTTAGGAAAACAATAATATCCAGCACTCAAAAAGGTAAAATTCACAATGTGACTATCAAATGGAAAATTAACAGGCACACAAAGAAGTAGAAAAGTATGTACAATAAAAGGAATAAAAGTTGATCAATTTAAAGATAATCAGAAATAACACAAATAATAGAATTAGTAGATAAGAATATAAAAACATTTATCATAACTCTATTCCATATTTTCAAGAAGTTAAAGAGAAAATTTTCAAAAGGAAAACCTAGCAAACTCTATCAGAATCAATTGTTTCAAAACTCTATATATTAACAAAAGACTTGCAGAAACCTGGGGATGACTTACTCAATGAAAGTGGCTAAATATTAGTAAGAATAGTGAGTTTTGTGGTGTTTTAGCATACCCTAGGCACATCTTCACTCCCCAGATCAGTGGCAGAAACAAGGCTGCAGCACTTTCAAAGCCTCATTTCGAAAGAACAGCCATACTTAGCCTGTTTGTTTAAGACAGAAGAACTGTGGAAGAATCCACTGAAAGACTTGTCTTTATTTTGCCTAACTCAGAACTCATCTAGTGATAAAGTCACTACCAATAGGAAGGAGGCATTTGTCAAAAATTCTTAACAGGCAAACTGTTTAGTTGCTGCTGGCTGAGTTGATGGTTAATACTTGGGGTAAACAATAGATCAACCAAAAAACATGGAAATGCTGGGGAATAAGATATCATTGGAGACTTGAAAACTCCAACATGTTCTTTGGAATCTAGAATGTCAAACACATGCATAGGTTGATGTACACGCTCAACAAAGACCCGAGAGACCCCAAGCTCTCACCCATGGCTAACCTATAGGCTCTGTGCAAGGAGGAAGTAAAGGCTAAAGCAGAGTTGTAAACTGCCTGTGTTGCAGGTGTGTCCCAACACACACACACGCACACACACACACACACACAATCACTCAGCAAGGACTGTGGAATTATTCAGACATTTAAGGGAATCTCTGCGTAATCATTATCTGATCATTAGGCTAACAGAACAGAGATTTCAGTGGCCACACACATGAAAGAATTTACTTGTGACTTTTGTGCAGAAAAGTCACTAAACAAACAAACAAACAAACAAACAATTACTACAAACAGCAACAAAAAACTCTGGAAACTAGTAAAAGAAGAGAAATCTTAAGCCAAAGCAAGCAGAAGGAAGGGAATAATAAAGAGGAGAGTGGAAATAAAAGAAATAGGAAATAGAAAAATAATGCAGAAGAATCAACAAAACCAAAAGTTGGTTTTTTGAAAAGATCAACAAAACTGATGAACTTTTAAGAAAAAAAAAAGAAAATGATTCCAATAACTAAAATCAAGAATGAAAGAGAGGATATTTCTACCAACCTCACAAAAACTAAAAGGATTAGAAAGAAGTACACTGAATGATTATATGCCAACAAACTAGGTAATCTAGATTATATGCCAACAAACTAGGAATCTAGATGAAACAAATTCCTAGAAATGCACAAACTACCAAAACTGACTCAAGAAAGGAAATCCAAATAGATAAATAGTAAGTAAAGAGACTGAATTAGCCATCGAACAACTTCTAACAGATAAAAAGCCCTGGAACAGACCATTTCACTGGCAAATTCTAGGAATTAACATCAGTTTTTCTCAACAAAAAGAGGAGAGTAAACTTTCTAACTAATTCTATGAGGCCCATATTACTCTGATACCAAAGCCAGACAAAGACGTCAAAAGAAAAGAAAACTACAGATTAGTGGCATTACAAAGATAGATGTTAAAATCCTCAACAAAACACTAACTAACGAAATCCAGCAACATCTAAAAAGAATTGTACATTACCAAATGAGATTTAGCCCACGTATGTAAAGTTAGTTCAATATAAGGAAAATCAGTGTAAACACCATTTAATAGACTAAAGCAAAAAACCCAATAGTTATCTCAACAAACACAGAAAAGTAACAGAATCCAATACACTTTTATTTAAAAAAGCCCTCAGCAAACTAAAAATAGAAGGGGACTCCCTTAATCTGATAAATGGCATCCATGAAAAACACACAAACCTCATGCTTAATGGTGAAAGACTGAAAGCTCTTCTCCAAAATTAGGAACAAGACAAGGATGTCTTGTATTAAATATTGCTGTGGAGGTTCTAGCCAGAGCAAATAACATGAAAAAGGAATAAATGTCACTCAAATTGGAAAGGAAGTAAAACTAACTATATATAATCTTACATATAGAAAATCCTTACACACACACACACACACAGACACACACACACAACTCTTATAGCTAATAAGCTAGTTCAGCAAAGTTGCAGAATACAAGACTGACATTTAAAACTCAGTTGTTTTTTGTCTTTGTTTGTTTTGCTTATTAACCCAGTCCTGGCTTTATTTTTATTTTTTAAACACAGTTTAATTGAGCAATGAATTATTTGCAAGTCTAGAAGTACTGGCTTTATGGATTGTTTTGGGCACCATGATCTTTGACATATGAGTATTTTCATTTTGTTTTGCTTTGCTTTTTGTTTTGCATTTTGTTGTTTTTAAAATAACTTCAACTTTTTTCTTAGATTAAGGGGTACATGTGCAGGTTTGTTATTTGGGTATATTGAGTGACATTGAAGTTTGGGGTATGAGTGATCCCATCACCCACTAAGCATAGAACCCAATAGGTAGCTTTTCACCCCTCCCTCTCCTGACTAATAGAACCTAGTGTCTATTTTTCCCATCTTTCTGTCCATGTGCACTCAAATGTTTAGCTCCCACTGATAAATGAGAACATATGGTATTTGGTTTTCTGTTCCTGCATTAATTTGCTTAGGATAATGGCCTCCAGCTGCATCCATGTTGCCGCAAAGAATGTGATTTCATTCTTTATTGTGGATGCCTAGTATTCCATGGTGTGTATGTATCACATTTTATTTATCCAATACACCATCGATGAGCACCTAGGTTGATTCCATGTCTTTGCCATTGTGAATAGTGCTGTGGTGAAAATACAAGTGCATGTGTCTTTTTTGGTAGAAAAATTTAATTTCCTTTCAGTATACATGCAAGTAATGGGAATGCTGGGTTGAACAGTAGTTCTGTTTTAAGTTCTTTGAGAAATCTTCAAACTGCTTTCCATACTGGCTGAACTAATTTAAATTCCCACCAACAGTGTATCAATGTTCCCTTTTCTCCATAGCCTTACCAGCATCTGTTATTTTTTAAACTTTTAATAATAGCCATTCTGACTGGTGTGAGATGGTACCTCATTGTGGTTTTGCAAAACCTGTTGTGTTCTTGTACATTAGCAAAGAACAATGCAAATATGAAATTAAGAAAACAATTCCCTTTACAATAGCATCAAAAAGATACTTAGGAATAAATTTAACCAAAAAGGTTCAAGACTTATGTGCTGAAAACTGCAAAACATTGCTGAAAGAAATTAAGAGCTAAATAAGTGGAAAGACATCCTGTGTTCATGGACTGATCGACTTAATATAGTTCAGATGGTAATACTCACCAATTGATCGATATATTCAGCATAATTACTATAAAATTTCAATGGCCTTTTTTTTTCCAGAAATGGTCAAGCTGATCCTAAAATTCACATGGAAATGCAAGGTATCCAGGATAGCCAAAACAGCCTAAAAGAAAGACATGGATGACTCACATTTTCTGATTTTGAGCTTTATTACAAATTGATCTTAATCAAAATAGTGTGGTTCTGGCATAAAGATAGACATGTAGCTCAATGGAATAGAACTGAGAGCCCATGTTTCTGTGGTCAACTGATTTTCAGTAAGTTTGCCAAGGGGGGAAAGAACAGTCTTTCAAGGGGAGAAAGAACAGTCTTTTTTATCTATGATGCTTTAACAATTGAATGTCTACCTGTAAATGAATGAAGTTGAACCTCTACCACATACGATATATAAAAATTAACTCAAAGACTTAAATGTAAAAGATAAAACTACAAAACTTTTATAACAGATCATAGGTGTGAATCTTCCTGACCTTGAGAATTTTAAGATTTGAAGTCACCGCTTCCCTTTCCTCCCTGGTTAAGGGAACAGCTCCCACAGCAGCTGCTCATGACCTGTGCCCTGACTGATCCCTTCCACCCCCGTTCCCTTGGCACCCTGTTTTGGCCACTGTGTAGGGCCACAGACATACCCTAAATGTTAGCCAGTGTAAACAGGATAGTTCTCAAAAACAGCGCTTATCAAGCTATCTGTGGTGAAGGATATATTTTTTTTAAATTTTCAATTTGTCACAAACCAGTGCTTTTGTAAAATATGATAAAAATGAATAACTGGAAAAATAAAAGGAAAAAAGACACAAAATACAAGCCCAAATTTTTCTAGTTACATAGCTAGCACATCAAAATCATGACATCTGAAGAAAAAGTAGATAAACTGGACTTCATCAAATTAAAAAAATGTTTTTCCTTCCAAGGACAGTATCAAGAAACTGAAAAGATAAATCATAAAATAGGGAAATATTTCTAAATCATATATCTGATATGGCTCTACTATTGAGAATATATGAAAACCTCTTATAATTCAACAATAAAAAACAAATAGCCCAATTTAAAAATCAAGAAATGATTTGAATAGACAGTTCTCCAAATAAGATATCAAAAGTGCAATTATCACATGAAAAGACGCTCAACATCATAAGTCTTTAGAGAAACGCATATTCGAATCATTTCATATCCACTAGAATCACTATAATAAAAAAGATAGAAAATAACAAGTGTTGGCAAGGGTGTGAGAAATTTTTAATCCTCATGCATTTTTGGTGGAATATGAAATGGTACAGTTGCTGTGAAAACAGTTTGGCAGCTCTTCAAAAAGTTAATCATCTAGTTACCATATGGCTGAGGAATTCCACTTCCAGGTATATATCCAAGAGAATTGAAAATAAATGTTCACACAAAAACTTTTGTTTAAATGCTCATAGCAGCAGGAAACAATCCAAATGTCTATTAACTAGCAAGTAGATAAACAAAATGTGGTATATCAACACAATGGAATATTACTCTGCAATAAAATGTAATGAAGTACAACATGGATGGAGCTAGAAAATATGGTGCAAAGTGAAAGAAACAAGACAAAAAAAGGCCACATATGGATTCCATTTATATGAAATATCTAGAATAGGCAAATCCACAGAGAGAGGAAGTATACTAGTGGTTGCCAGGAAATCAGGTAGGGGAGGGAGAATTGGAAGTGACTGCTAACAGGTGATGAGGTCTCTTTTGATGTGGGGTGGGGGATAGAAATAGAAAAACAGAATTAGATAGTGGTGATGGTTACATATCATTGTGAGTATACTGAAAGTCACTGAACTGTATACTTTAAAAGCCTGAGTTTATAGTATGTGAATTACATCTCGATGAAAATTATGTAATAGATAACCTGAATAATCCTGTATTTATTCAGGAAATTGGATTTATAGTTAAATTTTTTCAAAAAAGAAAACTCTATGTACGTACGGCTTCTCTAGTGAATTCTATCAAGTATTTAAAGAATACATTATGTTACTATAATTCAACACAAATTATTCCAAAACATTGAAGAGGGAAATTTTCCCACTCAATTTATAAGTTTGTTATTACTATGATACTAAAACTAGACAAAGACTTCACACACAAAAAAAAACTAATAAACAAAAAAACTATGGACTGATATCCCTCATACACATAGGTGTAAAATTTTTAAACAAAATTTTAGAACATTGAACCCAACAATAAATGTATAAGAAAGACCCTGACCAAGAAAAACAATGACCAAATCTAATTTTCTCCAGCAATAAAAGTGCACTCAACATTGAATTCACCAACATATTAGAGTGGAAAACCATACAACCATTTCAATAGATACATAGAAAGTGTTTGACAAAATTCAACATCCATTGTTGATTAATAAAACAACTATCAGCTATTAGTGAAATGCCTGATACCAAGGCTGGGTAGGAAAAATACAAGGTACACTCAGAGTCGTTCCGTGTTGGAGTCTTCATAACATACAGTCATGCATCACTTAATTATGGGGATACATTCTGAGAAATGCATCTTCAGACGATTTCATTATAGTGTGAATGTTATACAGTATATGCACACAAACCTAGCATATATACACAAACTACACATATATGGTATAGCCTATTGCTCCTAGACTACAAACCTGTACAGCATATTACTGAATACGGTAAGCAATGTAACACAATGGTATATATTTGCATATCTAAACAAAGAAAAGGTATAGTAAAAAAAAAAGTATAAAAATTAAAAAATATTAACAGTACACCTGTATAGGACATTTACCATGAAAGGAGCTTGCAGGACTGGAGGGTGCTCTGGGTAAGTCAGTGAATGAGTGGTGAGTGAATGTGAAGACCTAGGACATTACTGTACACTACTGTAGATTTTATAAACAATGTAGAGTTAGGCTACACTAAATTTATAAAACGATGTTTTTTTTCTTCAATAGTAAATTTAATTTCCTGTAGCTTTCTTACTTTATATTTAAATTTTTAAAAAACTTTTTGGCCGGGAGTGGTGGCTCACGCCTGTAATCCCAGCACTATAGGAGGCTGAGGAGGGGGGACCATGGGGTCCGGAGATCGAGACCATCCTGGCTAACACAGTGAAACCCCGTCTCTACTAAAAACACAAAAAATTAGCCGGGTGTGGTGGCATGCGCCTGTAGTCCCAGCTACTCGGGAGGCCGAGGCAGGAGAATTGCTTGAATCTGGGAGGTAGAGTTTGCAGTCAGCCAAGATTGCGACACTGCATTCCAGCCTGGACAACAGAGTGAGACTCTGTCTCAGAAAAAAAAAAAACTTTTTGACTCTAGTAACAACGTTAAGGTTAAAACACACATTGGAGAGCTGTCCAAAAATATTTTGTTTCTTTATATCCTTATTCTATAAGTTTTTTTATTTTAAAATCTATTTTTAATTTTTTTCCTATTCAAATTTTTTTGTTAAAATGAAGACACAAACACACATGTTAGCCTAGGCCTACACAAGGTCAGGATTATCAATCTCCCTGTCTTTCACTTTCACATCTTATCCCACTGGAAGTTCATCAGGGCAATAATGCACATGGAGCTCTCATCTATAATAACAATGCCTTCTTCTGGAATACCTCCTGAAAGACCTCCTTGAGGCTGTTTTATAGTTAACTTTTAAAAATATAAATAGGGCCAAGCATGGTGGCTCACGCCTATAATCCCAGCACTTTGGGAGGCCGAGGCAGGCAGATCACGAGGTCAGGAGTTCGAGACCAGCGTGGCTAATAAGTGAAACCCCGTCTCTACTAAAAATAAAACAAAATTAGACGGGCGTGGTGGCAGCTGCCTGTAATCCCAGCTACTCAGGAGGCTGAGGCAGGAGAATTGCTTGAACTCAGGAGGCAGAGGTTGCAGTGAGCCAAGATTGTGCCATTGCACTCCAGCCTGGGTGACAGTGCGAGACTCTGTCTCAAAAAAATAAACAAATAAATAAAAATAAAAATAGAAATAGAATGAATACACTCTAAAATAATGATAAAGAGTATAATATAGCAAATACATATACCAGTAACATAGTCATTTATTATCAAGTATTATATCCTGTACATAATTGTATGTGCTAGACTTTTATGAGACTGGAAGCACAGTAGGTTTACACCTATGTAGCCACAAACACGAGTGGTGTTGCTCTACAACTTTACGTTTACTACAATGTCGCTAGGTGATAGGAATTTTTCAGTTCTGTTATAATCTTATGGGACCATTGCCAAATATCCAGTCCATTCTTTACCTAAACTTCCTTATGTGGCACATATCTGTAATTCAAGACTGTAATTCAGTCTCCACCTTTCTACAGCATTCTTTCTAAAACACGTATGTTCTAGTCTCTTATCTTCAATTCATAAAGCTTAAGTGACTCCCTATTGCCTACAATACAAAGCCTAAATTCTATGCATAGCCTACAAACTACTTCATCATTTTACCTCAATCTTTTTTGGAGAGACAGGGTCTTGCTATGTTGCCCAGGCTGGTCTCCAACTCCTGGGTTCAAGCCATCCATGCACCATGACCTCTGAAAGTGCTGGGATTACAGGCGTGAGTCACCGAATCTGGCCAAAAATCGCTTTTGCAAACTTACTGAAGGCGATAGTACTAATAAACCTGTCTATTATCAGTATGTGAGCAATGTTGCTGTTTGAAGCTAAATCAACGAGAATGTAACATCCTACTCTTCACTAAAGGATGCAAGAGGAGTCATTACATTCAAAGAAGCAGGCTGGATTTACAACCCAGGTGAAAAACTTCATATAACGAGTTTGAGGACACAGCGTTTTACATTTTTTTAACTTGTAGTTTCCACAGAAACAGAACCTTAAGTTGGCTAGGAGTCAAGATTGTATTGTTCCTAACAGAACCCTAAACGGTGTTATTAATGGAACAGTGTTCCTGATGGAACATGGTGAAGACACAACACACTTTTCTCCTTTTGAATGATAGCTGCTTTCTTTACAATAATTTCCACAGCCCAATTCCTTCCCACTCCTGTATAAACATCTGTGATACCCAGCTCAAAGCTGATTCCAGCTTCCCCTATCCCTTTCTTAGACTCATTCAGCAAAAGCCAGTACCCTATTATATAGTGTTTTCTCTTACTGAGACGCTCCCGATTTCCCATGGTACTGTTTGCCCTTTTGCAAACTTTGATGAGTTTTTTGACACAAGACGCTTATCTGTCATTGCGTTTGCAAATATGCATTCAATAGCTTGGAGTAGAGAGAGAAATGTATTCATAAATGGCAAATATATTCATGTTGCCAAACAGCAACATAAGCAACAAAGTACGTGTGAGCACTACGGTCTTACATACTAAATCTCATAAGCCTAAAGAATCTACTGCAAATCCCTCTTTGAAAGATGGGGGGGAGGGGAAAGTAGCGTAAAGTGATGACCCAGAAACTGCGATCTTCCAGGCAAGAAGAGCGCCCAGCCGCACCGCACTCGGACCGAACTCCTCGCGTCTCACCTCAGGCGTCCTAAAGGCGGTGCGCATGCGCAGCGCCCGCCAGCCACGCCGCGGTTCCTTCCTGCGCCTTTATCTGCATCCGGGTCCGTGGGATTCGCGCTCCACTGGTCAGCTGGGGTCGCTCTCGGGTGGTTGGGTGTTGCTTGTTCCCGCTGTTCCAGCATCGAAGAACCATTGGGTCTGCCGGTAAGTTTAGCGGGGGGTGCGGCGGGGGCGCCAAGAAGGGGACTCGGGTCGGGGGACCCGACGGCAACTTCGCCCTGTGCGGCCTTTGTGCTGAGACTGGGACGCCGGGCCGGGGCGGAATGGGTGCTCAGGAACCTCGAGGCTGGGGGCGCGTGGGGTCTCCCGTATTGCCACTCGCGGACCTGGTTGTCCTCTCCGGATTTGTGCCTACGGGAGAAGGCGTCCCTGCCCTCTCCTCTCTCGCGGCTTCTTCTTGACACCTCTCTCTACACTCGTTAAAAATTCCTAACAGTCATCCTCATTTGCATTCGCTGTCCTTTGCCAAGTGAGGGCCAGGCAAACGCGCAGCTGAGGGGAATCTGCAGCCCCCGCCTCCCGGGCAGGAACCACAGCCTTCTTTGCTGTCTCTCGTCCCTCCTCGGGTCGGTCCCACACGCGCGGCCAGGCCACCCTTACGCTTTCAGGACAGGTCAGGTTGAGTAGGGAAAAGCTCAGAGCAGAGGTTCTGCAAGTGTAGATTCTGGTCTTGGCCCCGCCATTAACTAGCTGTGTAACTTCACGGGTGTAGAAGTTGTCATCCACCATTGAAGTTTTGCGATTTATATTCAGCAGCCCTTTTTCCTAGCGATGCACATCCAAAATGAATCAGCACCTGAAGGAAGACGAGGGAAAGGGTGGTGCTCTGTTGTTTTTTGATGCTGTCTTGTGATGCCAGAGAATTGCATAAGGCGACAATAGTTTGGATCTCTGAGGATTGGCAAAAACTGGAAAAGTCAAATCTTAAAAACTTAAATGTGGTGAAGAAATTCTTCTTTGCTCTGGGTGAAGGGATTCATTTGGGACTTTTGGAGGTGACTCTGCGCCCTCCAGAGAGTTTAAGAAAACAAAAAGTTGCCTGTACCTTGGTCTGAGAGACTTGCTTAAACTTCGTTTCAGTGAGATGTGTGGTGTTCTTAACAAATTTCACCTGATTATGAATATCCCCTGTGATAATTTGCAAAAGCAGAGATTCCTTGGACTTCATTTCAGATCTTTTGAAACACTGTGTCTAGGGAGAGGGACCTGAGAATCTGTATTTTTAACTAGCATCGTAAGTGATTCTCAACCGGTAAGACATCTTTGGCTAATGTCTCTTTGAGTCAGAAACACTTAGTTTTAAAGCCAGCTCCCCGGGCCACTTTTTAACGTCAGCAATAAACTTCTCGTAGTTGCAGTTTTCTGTATATGAAGAGTGAGAATAATGCTTTCAACCTCAGAGACAAGTGATTCTAAGCCCTTTGACAATAGAGTTAATCATTTTTGTGTCTACAGAACCTAGCATAGTGCTTAGAATATAATAGGTCTTCAAACGTGTGTTGAACTGAGAAAAATAACATGCCCAGGATGCAGAAGACATTGGAAAGCTCTAATGCTTCTCGTCCTCCTTACCTTATTTTTTTTCCGTTTTATTAACAATCAGCTGGCCATATATTCTTGTTAGAAGTAAATATATCTTTTGATGTTCATTACAGCCAATAATTCTTTCTGATTCTTTGGTTTAACTCTAAAATTGTTTTTGACATTAGATTATGGATTATATTTAAGTGGAGGCTGAGTCCAGTTGTTGGACTGAATTTATGACTTACTATGTAATTTATTTTCTGTAAATAAATAATTGTTATCGGGCCAGAATTCTAGATCATGGTGACCATGATTTTTTGTTGTTGTGTCAGAATTCGAAACTGTTACCTTCTTAAAGACATTTAGATTCCATACATTTATTTTAATAAGACCTTTTAATCTCATTAATTTAGAAAATTTGACTTATTACTCTATGTAAAGTGTGTGGGTACAAAACTCAGGAATGCTGAAACCATGTTATAAAAAGCTTGGTATTGGTGACTGATCCATTTAATATAAAAATAAGAATTAAAAATCTAAGAATTATGGGAATTATTACAGAATGTTCAGTAAATGTTATAAGGGGACGTTTATAAACTATTGATGGTAATGTCAGTTCAACTTCTGTAGAAAAAAGTATGAAGATTTCTCAAAGAACTGAAAATAGAACTACCATTTGATCAGGCAATCTCACTACTGGGTATCTACCCGAAGGAAAATAATTCATTATATCAAAAAGATACCCGCATTCATTTTTATCTCAGCACTATTCACAGTGAGGCAGTAGAATAGGGTCTGGAGGCAGAGGACTTAAGGCCAATTCGTGCTGACTTCCTAAAGCTAAATCAAAGGAAAACACCAAGGTCTGGGGGCAGGAAATCTAAGGCCAATTTGTGCTGACTTCCTAAAAGAGAAAACACCTGCGTCTGGGGGCAGGTAACCTAAAGCCAGTTAACCAATTAACGCAAACTTCCTAAAGCTAGACCAAAAGGAAAAAACCCATCTCCCCATGCCCAAGTAGCAAAGGACCAAAGGCTACTCTCCCTACGATCGACTGCCTTCCACCACCTCTCAGATGGAAGGGGAAAGTGCCTTGGATTGTCCGTGGACTAAGCATGGGCCATCCCTTCATCTGCATAGGGAGCCAATTCACCTCAGCCTTTAATTAGCCACGGACCAAATCCTTCATGCAGATAAGGGGTAACCGATAAGGGACCTCAAAAGGAGTATTAAAACCCAGAAAACTTTGTAACCGGACCCTTGAGCCGCTTGCTTGGGCCCACTCCCACCCCATGGGGTGCTTTCTTGCTTCAGTATCCCTGCTTTCGCTGCTTCATTCCTGTGTTTCGTTCCTTTTGTGCAGTTCTTTGTTCAAAATGCCAAGGAACTGGACACCTCACACTCATGACCTTCCTTCCAATAACAACAGTAGCAAAGATAAGAAATCAACCTGAGTGTCCATCAGTGAATGATTGGATAAAGAAAATGTGGTATATATATACACCGCGAAATTCAGCCATTGAAAATGAAATCATGTCCTTTGCAGTAACTGGAGGCCATCATCTTAAGTGAAACAACTCCCAAATAGAAAGAAAAATACCACATGTTCTCACTTACAAGTGGGAGTTAAATAATGTGTACACGTGGTGATGGAAAGTAGACTGATATTAGAGGCTTAGAAGGGTTGGGGAGTAGGAGTGGGTAGATGATGAGAAATTGCTAGGATCATTGTACATTATTCAGGTGATAGATACACCAAAACCCCAGACCTAGTCACTAAATAATATATCCATGTAACAAAATTGCATTTGTACCCCTTAAATTTATACCATTTTTTTAAAAAAAAGGAAAACAATATGTCTTACAGATAACAGAAGCTGTGAGTTACTGTAAGAATGCTGATTTCCACATCTTTCATGGTATAAGTCAACCTACATTGTGTAAAATGGAATTATGTAGCTTTTAAGTGACTCCGATCTCTTAATATACGTATAATAATTTTTCTTAATTTTAGAATAATTTTTGAGGAACTAAAATTGCTTTTTGTCAAGAAATTTCTCCTCCAGAGATGAGCAGTTTATTTAGTTCACTTTGTTTTCTTTTTCTTCTGTTGAATTCTCTTATTAAAAATAACATGTCTAGTGTGATCCTATTGTTATAATTTGAATTCTGACCTTGTTGCTTACTACCTGTGTGACCTTAGTCAAATTATGTGAGTCCATTTCCTCATCTATAACTGGGCATTTTATTTACTTCACAAGATGGTTGTAAGGATTAAAATATGTACACTTGTCCCTAGTATCTGTTGGGGATTGATTCTAGGATCCCCCTTCAGATACCAAAATCCACAGATGCTTAAGTCCCTCATATTGTATGACATAGTACTTGCATATCACCTGCACCCATACTCCCATATACTTTATCTCTAGATTACTTATAATACCTAATACAATGTAAATACTGTGTAAATAGTTGTTATACTGTATTGTTTAGGGAATAATGACAAAAAAAAGTCTGTACCTGTTTAATACAGATGCAAACATCTTTTTCCCCTAAATATTTTCAGTTCTTGGTTGGCTGAATCCTCGAATATGGAATCCACAGAAGGCTAACTATACTTAAATGACCTAGCCCACTGCCTTAAACTCAGTGTCTGCTCAAAAGAGAACAGCTATTACTATTTTTTAAATTCAGATTGTATATGTGCATGTCCTTCTTCAGTAATGTACTTTTAAAAATCATCAGTATATTCTGTTTCAGTGCTCTATTTATTATTTACATCTTTTAAAAAGTTACTGAATTTAAATTATCTGTTTATTATGTAAAGTGTTCTACAATGGACTTTTCTCAGGTTTGAACTTGTTCTGGAAGCTGTGCGTCACCGTAATGAGGCTTGTAATTCTTGATAACTATGACTTGGCTAGTGAATGGGCAGCCAAATACATCTGTAATCGCATCATTCAGTTCAAACCTGGACAGGACAGATATTTTACACTGGGTTTACCAACAGGTAATTAACTACTTTTTCCATTTTATATTCTGATATTATCTAAATTTAATTCTGATGGAATTGAAGGGTTTCTTTTAAGATACTTTCCCCATTCATTTATTGGCATGTCACTAATTGAACATCATAGTATAAAAGGCCAGAAAAATGCATATATATAAAATCTACTATCTACAATGTGTTACTAGTTCTTGTGCCAAAATTTAGTCTCACCTGTCACTCCAAAATGCAATAGGAAATATTGTAACTTAAGTGTTGTTCATATTTTTTGTACATTTTTCTAGTAGTCCTTTGTTTTGGGGAACATTGCTTTTACCATTCATACCAGTTTTTAGTTGATTGGCTTTCTTATTAATCATTAAGAGGTACCTAAGGTATGTACTGTTGCCTCTTAATTTAACTTCACCTGCCTTATAAATCCTTATTAATATAGAAGTTATAAATTATATATTATATAATGTTTATTAGCCTTTTACTATTTGCTTCTTCTATTATAGATGTATTACAAGTGAAAAATATATCTTCATCACAGTAATTACATATTTTATTGAATTCAGTTTTCCATTAAGCATTCTCTTAAAAAACGACTAGGTGGTGTCATTTGATCTTATGGCACTTTATTTGACCCATGATTTTCACAGAGTGTTAGACCTGGAACTAAAGTTGCTCCTTATTGACTACAAGGCATTTGTTCTATACCCCTGAGCCTTGGTTTCCTTACCTATAAGAAAGATAAGGATAATAACTTAAGATGCTGTTTTGAGATTCAGCTAAGATAGTGTATGTGTAAGTCCCTTGTATACTGTAGTCTATAAATTTATAGTTCCCGTGTGTTTTATTTAAACAGACTGTTTTCTCCAGCTCCTCCCCTCATACATGGTAATTACATAAAAACTACAATTGTAATTTTTTCCCACTTGAGTAATTTCCGTGAATGGTACTCTTCAAGTTGATTGTTTTGTTTTGCTTTTTCTCTTTTGGTCCAGGGCAGTAGATCTTGGTGAGAATGGCAAAAGGGTTTTTTTTTTTTCACTGGACACACCAGTACTACACCCCCAGCACCCTCAGTTCTGATATGTGACCCCTTGGGGTTGAACGTGGTTTCTGTATAGTTTCTATACTGTTACCCTTCATTACACTCAGCCTACCTCTGTTAATAACATTGTGTTAATTATGATGCAGAAAAAAACAGTAATTTGAGTGGGGACAGAAAGACTTAGTCTTAAATGTCAGCAGTGCTAAACATCTTTTTGTGTATTTAGATCTACAACGTTTGCTTTATTTTGGGTAGTATAACTGCTAGTAATATACCTGCCAAGTGAGGATCTCTGGAAAACCTTGTTGAAATTTTCCATTACTCTCCTTCATTGACCATCGACAAGTTAATTATGTCCTCTTCCCCCACTGCTTCTGAGACTTGAACATACATGTCGGTAATTGCTTGTACCAGGCTGCATTGTAATTATCTCCCTATCAAGCGCAATTTCTGGGCAATATCTGTTCAATTTTATATTTACTCACGTGACCTTAATGAGCTTGACATTTAAAGGCCTGCATGCTGTGAACCTGATCTGCTTCCCAAAACTTATTCCCACCATCTCCTTACACAGAACTGGGCTAGGCATATTTGACTGCTTGCAGTTCAAGAATAGGCTTGAAGTTGCTGGCTGCTTTGCTTTGCTTTGCTTTCACTCATATTCCTAGCATGTTATTTAATGGAATCTATATGAACTCTGGCACCAGACCTATCTAGATTGGAATCCCTGGTTTCACAGCCATATGACATTTGGCAAATTCCTTAATCTTTTTGACCCAGTTATTTTGTCTTCAAAATGGGAAAGATAATGCCAGTTTCTCAAGATTGTGAGCTTTATGTGAGGTAATATATAAAAACATTAGCGCAGCATCTAGCCACATGGTAGACAGATGTCATCGTTGAACCTCCCGCTCCATCTTTTCTCTGCTCTGAGTTAGTTTCCTCTTTGTTGAAAGTGTATCCCTTAATCAAGACTGAATTGAAATGCCATTTTCTTTTATTGTTCTTCCAACTCGCAAGATTGTAGTCTTTTTTATTTGATGTTCTGCAATACTCAGACTTCTTTTAGATTATTTATAATGTTTTTCCTGTGTTATGGTTATTTTGTACTTGCTTATCCCTATATTGTGAGTTCTTAAAGAAAATGTCTTAATCTTTGTTTTATATAAATCATAGTAGGTACTTGCTAAATTGTGTTAGTAATGACTATTACAAAGCAAATATAAAAATTAAGTTTCTTTAACCAGTTCTTTTTTTTTCTTCAGTCTTTTTTTTTGGCCACATTGATTACAAAATAGAAAATGAATTTGTCACCTCCATTGTGACAGCTCACCTTTTTATTCATATATCCTTAAATTGAGAGACTCCTATAACTCATCTCTTGACACTAAAAGAGAGAAGAGATTCACTTATCCTTCGAGAAAGGAAGAGGGAAAGCATATTTATCCATCTTTTAGACAGGTTTCATGTTAGTGGGCTATAGTTGTTGAGAAACGTAAAATTTTACTACATAATTTTTAAATTAATAATTGTAATTGAAAACAACATATGTGCTTAGCTTTTAGAAAATCTTTTTTTCTTCTGCTGTGTGGTATTTATTTATAGCCTTGTCTATTCTGACATCTCAAACAAGAGGCAGTCTTTTTACTATTCTTGAATTTCCTTTGTATTTGTTTTTGTCAGAGACTGTTTAGTTTTATCAGATTTCTGTATAATACTTGGGTTGGAATTTTTTGTGCAGCCTTTTGTTTTACACTGTTCTGTTTTGTGATGGTGGGTTAGCTAGGAATCAGTACTCCAACTAGGATTGGGACGGCCAGATAACTTGTTAGAAGAATGCAGTCAATCTAGCCTTTCAGTTTGAAGTTAAAATGAAAAAAAAAGTAACAAATTTAGAAAACAAAGATGAAGGCCATCCTCGAGTGGCTAAATATATTTATTTTTATTTTGTCATATCATGAAGCGCCATCTTTTCACATATCAAACTATGATTTTATAAAACAATAGAATCAAGAACTCAGATGAAATATCCTCTTTCCTATAAGTTCTATCTTAAGCAAAAATAACTTCTTTTTCTCACCTTACACATTTTAGCTGATGCATGCTGAAGTTATCAAAAGATGAGAAACAGGGGCTCCATTTAGAAAGCTGTAAGGCTAAAGTCCCTACTCAGTGTTTGCCAGTTGGAGATTCTATTTTGAAAGTAGGGGCAATATTTAAATTTAGCCCTGTTTTCCCTTTTAATTTCAGTAAATGGTCAACACTTGACCTATTTACATATCATTTGTGCAAGAACTCAAGATTTTTTTTTCAGAAAGGGAGATTTTTAAAAAGTCAGTTATATATTCTAGAAGCTTCTAATCTTAGAATTTGTTATAGTATATCCCAGTACCCAACAACTCAAGGATAATTTTCCAAACTTTAATTTTTATTGACAGATTTCCAGCTTTATTCAGCAAATTCTGGTTTACCAAAATTTCAAAGTACTTGTTAGTTGATTATGTATTTAAGTTAATAATTGCCTAATAAATCAGAACTACAGAATATTATTAAGTAAGAAAAACACAGGTAAAGTTAATAAAAAGTTTATTTAATAGATTATTAAGTCATTTTAGAAAATGGAATTTTTATGTCTTTTAGGGAGTACACCTTTAGGATGCTATAAAAAACTAATAGAATATCATAAGAATGGACACCTTTCTTTTAAATATGTGAAGACCTTTAATATGGATGAATATGTAGGTAAGCTATACTTAAATATATTGACCATTATTTGGGTATGTTATATTTGGAATAAAATGAATGTAGTTTTAGAATACAAGTATATTTGAATTTATGTTTTGAATATAATATTAATGTATGAATATATTTCTAAAATGTACTGCTTTCAGATGAGATTGGGAGTTTATTTAAAAACCTGTATTTTTGTGATAGTAGCACAGAATAGTGGAAGGAATGAAGGACTAGAAATCAGAAGCTCTGCATTCATCCTGGGCTCTGCCACTCAACAGTGATGTAACTTTAAGCCAGTCTACTCACATTTCTTATTCTCTTTTTTTCTTAAGGCAGAGTTAAAACCAGTGTTGTCAGGATAAACTAACGTACATGTAAAAGTAATTAGTTAAGTATTTTTTCAAATCAAAAGCTATATTGGTAGCCCTGGAGCTTTTATAATTTATTGTTAACTTGCCTACCTGAAATCTGTGATGCATAGAAACTCTGTGTTAAAATTTAAATATAGAAATGTGTATTTAATGGTAGCATAAATGATAGCCAAAGAAGTGTTGTGATCCCACATAATCTGCACACATACAGGATGAATAGAGGAGGAACATGGCTATCATTTCACTTGAATGGCTACTTAATTTATTTTGAGCTTAACATGTAAGTCAATTTCATTGGTTAAAATTTTGTGTTTGAGAAGAGTATAGTTACTAAGTGCACATGAGCTAGACTTTCTGTGTTTGAATCCTAACTCCTTTGCGAACTATGGGACCTTTGGGAAAGATTCTTGTGTTTCAATTGTTCACCTACAAAATGAGATAATAGTGTTCCATAGATGTTTTATCAATTAATGCATACATTTAGGGTGATTAATACTAGGCATATAATCATATATTCCACATAAGAATGCTTTTAAATTGAATATGGTATAGAGAAGTTAGATTTATTAAATAGCACTTATGACTTAAAAAGAAAAATAAACTTTAGATTTATTTCAGGAATACTTATATTTTTATTAACTTCATCTTTAGGACTTCCAAGAAATCATCCTGAAAGCTACCATTCTTATATGTGGAATAATTTTTTTAAGCATATCGATATAGATCCTAATAATGCACATATCCTTGACGGGAATGCTGCAGATTTACAAGCAGAATGTGATGCTTTTGAAAACAAAATAAAAGAAGCTGGAGGAATAGATCTTTTTGTTGGAGGTATGTAAAAACCTTTTGTCATTAACTGTTTGTTAGTGTTTGAATTAGGGATTTTTAAATTTAAAAAATAAATCTTCCCATTGTGTAATGTAAAGAGCACCTGTGGCTGTCCGTAATACGCGTTTATTCTGCTACTGATTCCTGTTTTCATTTTCTTCAGAAAATAATCTTAAAATTCCCGTCTTAATCTTCAAATTGACAGCTGGAATTGTTTACCTTATGCCTTGAGAGGTAGATCCCAATCCCCGTTAAACTCTGTTAATTACCTCTTTAAAGTTGACAGTTTACCACATCTTTCAAAATGAGTAATATGTTTCTTTACCTAAATGATAGCTTCTTTTTACTATTTCTTTAAAACTCTAGCCAGCCTACTTATCAAATTACAGAGTTTAAACGTTTGCATGAGGAACAGGTGGATTTTAGTAGATTACTTTAATTGTTTCATCTTACTGAGTAATCAGTTAAGAATGATGTAAAACTTTTTACTTACCAGCCTTAAGTTAATATGAGTTAAGCTGTATAATTGTCATAATAAATTCCAAAATTAATGTTTAATTTACCAAATTCCACTTGTAATTTATATATGTGTGTGTATATATAATCTACAGTTAAAAATAAGTTTTTTCCTTTGTAATGACAACGTGGTTTTCTATTATCAGTGTAAACTATCGCAGACAGCTAGCTAATTGCTATAAGAATAGTTCAACATCAACTAAACTAAAATCAAAATTTTTTGCCAGATTCTTTAATATTCAACTAAAAATACTAATGCTGTAAATTATCTGTATATAACTTATTATTAACTTAATAGAACACTGATCAAAATTACATGAATTTGATCTTCAATAGAGCTGTCCTGAGGTTAATTTATACTTGAAGTGGCCAAGTATGGTTGAGATAGTTGATTATCATTGGGGGAAATTTGGTTTTAAAGTCAGACGTAAAATTGTATCCTGTTTTAGCCACTTAGTATCTGTATGACCTGGGAAAGTTTATTGAAGTTCAGTATAGGTACATCATTTGTAAAAGAGGATTAATATTAAACATTCCAAAATTTGTGAGAATTAATCATGTTGTAACATGTATAAAATGCCTTACACAGTGCTTGGTATATAGTTGGTACTCCATAAGTGCTACTTCAGTCTTCTCTTTCTCTCTCAACTGTAAATGCGGAAATAATTGTCCCTTAGAATTACTGAATTCCTTGGGATTTTTACCGAATTCCCTCTAGGGACATCCAGGAAGACTGAAATCTTCTCTTTAAGATAGTTTTTACTTCTACCTAGCAGAGTCAATAACATTTACTTTCTTGATAGAATGGTTGTTTATTGGAGCAAGAAACCAAGTTAGACTATTGCTTTTCAAATTAGAAGGTTATCTGTTTTAAATAAAATTTACTAATATTACTTCAGTAATCCTAGAGAACATTTGCATACTCCTGCTTTGTACGTATGACTCAATTTTGAGATAATTAACCATTTGTACCTTCCAATATTCAGGCTAGACAGTAGATATTTGAGAGTGTCTGAGGGGTGCATAGACCATCTAATCTTTAGATTTTCTAAGCTCCACACCAAAATCTGGTAGAATTACTGGAGTACCACATACTTCAACTGCTTATATCAAAAAATGTTTTCACTCATTTACTATAATGCAAAAAAAGGCTCTTAGTTGTTTGAGGTTCATTATTAAAAGTGGCTGCTTGAAAATATCTTCATTTGTAGACTTTCTTTCCCCCTTGTTAATTTATTGACCTTACATAAGTATGCATGTGACAAATCTCTTGTAGACCCAAAGGTAGGAAATAGATTTTACTATGGGGAATAACACTGATAAGAACACTTGATTTTATTCCTTTGCCTGCCTTCCAGAAAGCATTCATAGCATAAAATAATGTTTAAGCCTGTAATTCTTATCCAAGATGTCTGGTAGAACTTTCCTCTTTCCTTATAACTTTAAATCATTTCGTACTTCTTTTCAGCTAATTTTTTTTGGGAGGGGGTTATGTTTCTTCAGTATAAACCACCTCAGTTCTCCTTTTGAAATAGATGTTGCATAAGTTATAATTATATATGTTTATCACTGACACCACTAAAAAGAATTTGACTTGGTTTTTTAACCAGTTTGTCTTAAGCTTCCTGTAGTTGTTTCCCCGCTCCTCCCCGCTCCCAAATATATTTTAAGAGAGTTCCTGTGCCTCTTACATTAACATCTTCACTGTAGTCATGGATGATCCAATGCCTGACATTTTATATGTACCATCTAAAGGACATAATTGTGCAGAGAGAGAGAAGGATTATTGCATTTTCTTTGAACTTTTCCTTATTTGGGATGCCCTATTATTGGATATGTATTCATGAAAGAATCTCATTTGTTGATCTAGGTTTATCATCATTGGATTTTTAGATGAGGATTGGCATCTGGGTCTTACAACTACCCTTCTTTTGTTCCAGGGTTTGGTTAATAAAAACTCTAAGAACTGTGCCAAATGGGATCAAAATATCAGCTTTATTAAAGGTAAAGTTGAAATAGAGATTGCAGTTTGGGCTTGAAGCCAGAATGGGGTTTTTCACTCCTGCCCTTTGAATTGGAAACAGTAGAATGAGAAGAGCTCAAAAATGTTAATCTGCTATTGCTCATTCCAGGGAATTAGAGCAGAGGTCCCTTTCCTCTGAGGGAAGAGGGAAAGAAAAAGGAGGAAATACATACTCAAATGTTCTAATTCCTCCTCTGATGGCAAACGTGTTCAGAGAAAGGGTAAAAGGTGTATCATGCAATTCCTGACTTAACCCCAGCAATAAGATATACAAACATGGATTTTTAAAAATAAAATCTAGGGCTGGGATCCGGTGGCTCACACCTATAATCCCAGCACTTTGGGAGGCTGAGGTGCGCAGATCACCTGAGGTTGGGAGTTCGACACCAGCCTGACCAACATGGAGAAACCCCGTCTCTACTAAAAAAAAATACAAAATTAGCTGGGCGTGGTGGTGCATGCCTGTAATCCCAGCTACTCGGGAGGCTGAGGCAGGAGAATCACTTGAACCTGGGAGGCCGAGGTTGTGGTGAGCTGATATCGTGCCATTGCACTCCAGCCTGGGCAACAAGAGTGAAACTCCGTCTCAAAATGAATAAATAAATAATTTTAAAAATCTAGTTTTACAATAAAATCTAAATATATAAACTTTTAAAATATCTTAACGCAGTAGTGTCTTGGGTTTTTTGTTGTTGTTGAGACAGAGTCTCGCTCTGTTGCCCAGGCTGGAGTACAGTGGCTTGATCTTGGCTTACTGCAACCTCCACCTCCCAGGTTCAAGCGATCCTCCTGCCTCAGCCTCCTGAGTAGCTGTGACTACAGGCACTTGCCGCCATGCCCGGCTAATTTTTGTATCTTTAGTGGAGATGGGGTTTTGCCACATTGGCCAGGCTGGTCTCGAACTCCTGACCTCTGGTGATCCACCTGCCTTGGCCTCCCAAAGTGCTAGGATTACAGGTGTGAGCCACTGCACCCGGCCTAATAGTGTTTTTAAAAAGTAAAAATAAAAGAAGACAGTGGAGAAAATGTTAACCTTCTGATTTGGTTGCATGCTTGGATTCTTTGCTTTGGTAGAAAAAGGAAATAACTAATGGGATCAAAAGTAAATTAACTGGAATGATTCTAGGGTAACTCACAAACTGAAGGAAAAGTTAAAACAACCAAGTCTTTGGAAAAACAGAGAACCTCAGATCTCAGAAGTAGAAACTCATCAATCTTCTCCCTGCAGTGCTGTCATCCAGTGCTTCAGTTCACCATGCTGTCTTCGTTAACTGTATCCCTGGTCAAGATTCAGATCCAGACAGATATTTTGATTGGCTCAGCCTGAGACAAGTGCTTATCTCTAGACCACAGTCACTTTACCTAAGAGGGATATAGGAAATTAAAATTGTTCCAGCCCCTCTGGTGAGGGGAGCAAGGCAGAAGAGAACAAGGTGGGAGGTGGAATAAACTATACCGAGCTGACCAAAGAATAGCAACCATACATTCATTTATCCAGCCATTATTTAATAAGTGCGTCCTATGTGTCACTTGTTATTCTAAATGGTAATATAGTAATGAAGATAAAGCCCTTACTTTCATGAAGAGTGCATGTACATTCTACCCTTAGAACTGTAGGAACACAGGAATGACATTTACTCCAGACAGTGAGTTTTAGAGATGTTTCATAGAGGTGCTGATATCTTAATTTAGACTTAAAGGCTGAATAAGAATTAGCCACATTTAAAAAAATAATTTTATATCAGGAACCTCAGTTATTCATAGCCAACAAGCAAATACCTTGACCCAGCTCTGTTATTAACCTTTGCTCATAATTTCAGCTTAGCTGTACACTTCTATAAGGCCCAAATCATCAGTGAGGTCAGTAGTAGTAGATCTTAGTAGACTTCATATTTTTTTCCTGAAGCTTGTATTTTCCTGATCCCATCCTTCCCTCTACACATATATAGAGAAATATAAATGTTAGGGATATGTATACCTAAGAGGAGAAACAGAACACTTTTACAAATCTAGATAATTTAATGTCTATAATTAATATATATTTATAAGCAGATACATACTTAATAGTAGAAACAGTCAATGCATATTAACCATATGTAGGTCTGGCCTTATGTCTCCATATTAAAAATTCATAAATTGTTGTACTTTGGCATTCTGTACTTGCTTCAATAGAGTATTCATTTCTTCATTTTTCAAAACTGGGTTACTCTTTGTCATATTTTATCTTCTTGTGGCCTGGGAAAATTTTGTTAAACTTGTGTGCTAAGTGTCAGTAAAATACAGATATCATTAAAGTAAATATGCAGAATATAAATGTAAAAGATATTTTAATGACTCAAGGAATTGGCAGATTTATTTTTTGGCTGAGGTTACCAGAAATGTGACTAGCTACTAGGGTACTTATAAATAAAACTCGATTTATTTATGTCATGGAAAGATTCTTAAGTTTGTGAAAAGAATTACCTTCCATTTCCTTCAAATAAGAATGTCATATTCCTGTCTATATTTTAGAGGTAATCCTAGAATATTAGAGTTGGCACTAGGTCTCTTTAAAGCAGTGTTTTAAAACTGGTTGTCACCCATTATTATATCATAAAATCAATATAGCCAGTCACGTGCAACATTTTCCTTTTGTTAATGAAATGCAATGTCATAGAAAACAGCTTGTATGGTTCCTAGTAAGGGTAAGTATGATTTCATGGAATTCTTGTCTTAATTATATTTTATATGTTTGTGTTGTATATGTGTATATATATATATATATATACTAGATTGCAATATCAAATGTTATTTCTTACAAGGGTTACAGTCAGAAGTTTGAAAAAAAAAAACTGTTGCCCTAGACATTATCTTATCCAATCCACACATTTTTATAAGTGAGGAAACTCTCCTACAGAAAGGTCTACTAGTTAATTGCCCTATCTGGACTACAACCAAGTAAATTAAAGTGTGACTATAAAGATGTCCAAGTTAGGAGTCAGAAGACAGATCCAAGTCCTGTCTCAGTATTTACCCAGTTGTGACATTGAACAAGTCACTTATTTTTCTTGAGCATCAAAATTTCCTTTTGTGTGTTAAAAAAGGTGGAGGAAATGAGGGAAATAGATTTGGCTAATCTGGCCATCTCATAAGATTATTAAATAATATTTGATAATCTGTTGTGATGATGCATGTGAAAGGGCTTTATAAATTATCAAATGTTATATTAATATAAGGTGATACTTAATTTTACTATTAGAATCATGCCAGCTCATTGCTAAACATGTAGAAAACATGGAAACATTTGTTGAATCAATACAGAAACAAATATTTTAATGCAGTAATAGGAATTCAAGTATAAAATAAAACAAGGTGATTTTTTTTTTGTTCTTTAACGCACATTGAACTTTGTGAAACCTATTTACTTCATGTGTATATGTATGTATATTTCTTTTGAAAGGAATTGGTCCAGATGGTCATATCGCTTTCAATGAGCCTGGATCCAGTTTAGTGTCAAGGACAAGATTAAAGACTCTAGCAATGGATACCATCTTGGCAAATGCCAAATATTTTGATGGAGATTTATCAAAAGTGCCAACTATGGCTCTAACTGTTGGTGTGGGGACAGTGATGGATGCTAGAGAAGTAAGCATTAAATATTCTTTGCTGTCTTTCTTTTCATGTTAATATATTAATATTTTGGAGGAGTTATGATGCTGAATAAGTGATATTTTGATTGCATTCTATTTGCAGTATAAATTGTTTTCTAGTTTTCAGTAACCAACTTTTGTCAGTCTCATTGACATGTTTAGGGATCAATTAAGTCTTTTGGAGCTGTAAACTAAGAATTAAGCACCACCACTTTTGAGGTACTATTTCACTTGCCTATTCCTGCTCCAGTTTGAGGTCCTAAAATCTTACTGATCACATCGTTTGTTTTTTATTGAAAGTGTCTCATGACAGGACTGTTGGGACAATGATGCAATGCTAGTTACACTACATCTTTTTTGGAGCTCACAGGATGATTTAAATGCTTTTTGACTGTATGTTATGTAGGATGATAGAGCCCTGTTGGTTTCCAGCAGAAAAGGAACTCAGCTAGGGCTGCAACTGTTCTACATTTGGCATATTTAAGCATGGAAGAGCTCTGAACAGAAGACCCTGTGTAATTTTTAAGTTTTTTTAAATTGGGCTGTCATTTTCTTCCTTGAGAATACAGAACACATTGTAGTCAGTTCGTGGTTATATGTAGTTAAATTATATGGAAACCCAGAACTCTGTTCCTTTCTGGTAGCCAGATTGGACAGGTTCAGAGGAAAAAACTATAGACAAGGTATGATGAAAAAGTAACTTATCTTGATATAATTATATTTAAACTTGAACATACTAATAGAACTGTCAATCAAAATATATGAGAAACCTAGAAATCATAGGTATATGAATAAAAGACCTTTCAAGGACTGAAACTTCATAGTCAATAAGTTGAAAAAAGGATTTTAGAGCAATCTTATTTCTAAAATGTGAAACTGAGTTATGTAATAGATTACATTTAACAAGATGTAAGTTTTAATACAGTTTTTATGCTGATTTTTAGAACAAACAATTACTCAAATATTGAGTTTTTTTCTTTGGGTCAGTTTTTGCCCAGACAGGAGTGCAGTGTGTGATTACAGCTTACTGCAGCCTCAACCTCCAGGGCTCAAGAGATCTTCCCACCCCAGCCTCCTAAGTAGCTGGGACTTCAGGTGCACACCACCATGCCTGGCTGATTTTTCAATTTTTCATTTTTTTTTTTTTGGAAGTGACAAGGTCTCACTGTGTTGCCCAGGCTAATTTCCTCATTTATTAAAAATTACATTTGACTTAAAAATTCCAACCAAGAAGGGATGGTGGAGGATTTAATATGAGCTTATAGATTTTTGTAAATCACTTATATCAGTTTATGGGATGATTAAATGTTGATTATTCTTTAAAATTAGCTTATTTCATAACCTTTTAAAATAGTGTTATTGCTACACTTAAGTAGCAAAAAGCTGTATCAATGCAACATCTGCCTGAGCACTGGTTGTCAAACATTAGTGTACATAAGAATCACCTGGTATCCACACCTAGCTTGCTTCTTTAAATTTAGGGATTCTGCAGTTTGAACAAACATAACAAATTATTCCATATAGTTTGTCCTTTCCCATGATATGAGAAATAATCTCCTTGAGAGTAGAACAGGTATGATATAACTAATCACATATCAGATCAAGTCTATTTAAAGACCAATTTGTTTTATCTATGCCTTAGCCATAGATAAACACCAATAATGAATTCTTCATCCTATACTAAGCTTCCCTTCCAGCAGCCTCCTTTCCCTCCACTCCCTTCATAATGGTAATGCCAGGTATGTACTTACCTTTTCTCACCAATAAAAGTTTAGTTGTCTTTTTTTTCCTCAGTATATATACTTCATGTTGAGATTTCTTGCCACCTGTCCCATTACCTTTTTAGAGTGTGCATCCATAATGAAAAGACTCTTAGCTCATATTGTCTAATTGTTAGAACTTTTACAAGAGGCAATGTAATGTAATTGTTAATCGCTAAGAATATGCACTGTAGAAAAAAACTACTTGTTTGTATCTTACCAAAACCTTGGGCCAGTTACAGAATATGCCTCAGTTTCCTTATCTTTAAAATATGAGTAAGAATAGTATTTCTCTCATGGTGGTGTTTTGAGGAGTTGAGGTAATTCAAGGAGAGTGCAGAGTATTTCCTCCCATTTTAGGTCTAGTTATAAAATATGTAATACAAAATTTGTTATATTTTAGAACTACAGCAATTTTAACATTGTTTTTTAAAACAATTGTAATGAGGAAAAAAAGTTTAAAGATTATATTACAAAAATATGTGTGTAGATGAGGTGTTAAATGGGATCAATTTCCAGCTTAAACATGATAAAGAAAAGATTCCGACACATACACATTCACATTTGCAACATGTCATTGCATTATTTCATTGGCATTTAGGGCCTGGGGACCAAGAGCTTGGATTTTCTGTAGCTTATAAGGGTAATATCAGTCATATGTGATTATAAGACAGTTCCTATGTGCTTATAAGACAGTTCCTATGTTTAAGTAGATCCCTAATCCTTTTTTAAATCCAGTTTTTATTCTGAGTCAACTTTGAATAGCACATGTTCAGTGAAATGCTCTTCAGGCTTTTCTTGATAACTCTTCAAATTACCTGTTGTTTTAGAGTCTTTGCTTTTCTGACATAGTATCTTTTGCTTATCTAGACTACAGCAACTTGGTGTATCATTCTAGATTGTATAAATTATTTATAGATTTGTAACTCTGCTTTTGCAACACAGTCCTTTTGTTTCTTTTTCTTCATTGTCCCAGGTTTCTTTTATACATCATCATTCACTATGTTAAAAGTTACAGGTATTATAGTGTTTGCATTAATAACCCATAACAAGATATTGTTTTGCTTTGTTAAACTAGAAGCAACATTTTGTGCTTGTTAATCTTAAAAAGTAGAAATGAATACCTTGAACTATTATGTGGAGCTATGTATTTTTCTTTCTCTCAGAAAAAAATATTGGTGCTTAAGTTCTCGTTTAAAAAAAATAGAGCTTCTTACTCATTTGGAACAAGTTTTAACAATTGATGTTCATAATTTTTCAGGTAATGATCCTTATAACAGGGGCACACAAGGCATTTGCCCTGTACAAAGCAATAGAAGAAGGAGTCAATCACATGTGGACTGTTTCCGCTTTCCAGCAGCATCCCCGGACTATTTTTGTATGCGATGAAGATGCTACTTTAGAATTAAGAGTTAAAACTGTGAAATACTTTAAAGGTGAGCACTGAATTTCAAAAGCCGACTGAGATAATCTGTTGTGAGTGACAATTAAAACTTACTGTGACTGTGGGGTTAAATCTCACACTGTGACCTATTGAAAAGTGGCAACACATAGCTAGTTCTTTCAAGTAATGGAAAGTTCTCACCTCAGATAATAGTATCTTCAAAGTAGTACCTTTTTTTTTTTTTCATGAAGAGAATCTCTTCAGTCTCTATTTTCAGTAAACAATTTTTCTTGAAATCCAAGGTTTAATAATTTACTTTCATATTGAATATACAAGACCAAATAACCCAAAAGAAAATGTATCTTTGTCCATTCTGGATTTCTTTTCATGTTTACTAGTCCCACCTCAATCCCTCTTCCTCACTCCCCTCTAACCTTAATTTAGAACCTAATCAGTGGATAAGAGATCTCCCACTATCTAATTTAATCTTTACAATTTTAAGCCAATTTATTCCCATATATTAAAGTTATAATGTCTAAATGTTAAAATAGTATGGAATAAACTCTGCAAGTAAGCAGGAGTTTGATTGCCCAGACTTCATGTTGATTTTCCTTTTTCCTGTAGTCTAGTTCAGTAATTCAGAAACCTTACTCTACCAGGCTGTGTATTACAAAACACATATGCTTGATATAATGGTTTTAAGAGATTTTCAAGGGACATTTTGCCTATACCCAATGTAGAACCTATTCTCTGATTTAAGAGTCAGCTCCACATATTACACATATGTAAGCAAACTGTACAAACAGGTAATTTTCATAAAGCACCTGTATTTACATAGCTGATATTAAAAGTTACATAGTTGATCATATAGATAGGTCAGTGATTCACTATGTAGTATGTATGCTACTTTTGCTACATGATTATACCTTTTAATCTTTTTTACTCTAGTAACTAGGTATTTATTTTAATGCCTATTGGAAAATACACTGAATAAATCAAAGCTATATTTTTTGGATATTATTGCTTAAGACAAGGTCCAAAAAAGCTACCATATTTGATTGGCTCTAATACACGTTGATCTTGCTGATGTTGGACTGTGTCTTAAAACTGGTGTCAGATCATAGCTTACTGGGTAGCATTTTTTTCTCAGTGGTACATAAAATGGTGTGTCTTACAATTTATAGCATCTCATACTCAGAAATAAAGTATATAATCTTAAATTTTTAATTCAATGCAAAGAAAACCAACTCATATTTCATGTATATGTGTGAATATGGCAAATATCTTGAAGGTGTTATACAAATAACTGACATTTGGCAAGCACTGAAAATAGTCTATTTTTAAACAAAATGCTGATCATGCTTTGTATATAGTTTTGTATTTGTACTTATGTTTCATGAGCATTTTCCTGTTTTACTAAATATTTGGAAGCATTTTAATGGATAGTTAAGTACATAAATCATAATTTATTTAAACATTTCCTTATTAACACTTAGATTATTTCTAGTCATTTATATTTTTACCATTTAAATTACTAATTTACCAAGCCACAAATATATCAAACTGAAAAACTGAAAAACTGAAAAATTTCTGATTTGTGAATAAAAGAGCATTTGATGGAGTTTTAACTCTATTTTCCCATGTAACCCTTCAGATTTCATCCCAAATAATAGATTCCTTGACTACAAGGAATCCTCACTATCCACAAATTTTAATTCCAGTTTTAAGGAGATTCATTTAACATGGCCATTTTCTAGTCCTCATTAAGTCCCAGATAAATCCCTGTACTAATCTAATTTTGTCACAATTAGGTTTTTATCAGATTTTTATATCTTGGTGAATATTTAATAAGATATTTAATAACAGCCAGTATCTCTATGACCAGGCACTATTCTAAATGCATTTTACTTATTGATTTACTTATCACAAAAATGTTATGAAATGGGTATTCATAGTCCCATTTTTAAATTAATAGGCTTAACAGACAGAGACGTTAAGCTACTTACCCAAAGTCATACAGCACATATTTGGGCAGAGCTGGGTAATAGAAATCAAAATCAGGCTGATCTCTGGAGTATGCAGGCTTTTGTCTATTCTATTATACTGCCTCCCAGAATAAACTCTAGGTATGATACCATCTACATCAAAACCATATTTCCATCTGCTTTTTTCCCATATGATAATCACTGCTTCCAAAAAAGGTATATCGACATATGTTAGATAATTTAAAATAGAAGGGTGGTAGATGTTTATATGTATTTAGTTCTTTTAGTTCATCTAATTGTAAGCTCTTCTGAAAAATTTTGAAACAGACCATTCGTGAGAGGATAGCTGCACTGCATCAAGAGGACACAGTATTTTCCACTTTGGAGCTGTCTGTATTTCTGAAGAGGTTTCAGGGTATCAGCCTGTTAGGATACCTCCTTCAATATGAAGACAGAATTTAGACATTCTGGGCTACATATGGGCCTCATTTTACAGCATTTTAGTAAAGGGTAGAGAAATTGAATATTCTTAAATAAACACATTTCAAATGTAGTTTGTATACTTTTCATACCTCCATTGAGTTACTAGTATATCAAAATACTGGAGGATGTAAATTCCTATAATTGTCATCCATAACTCTTCAAATTCCATTCACATCACTACCCTTTCTTCTGTCATCACTAAAAAGTGCTGACCAGAATCTTAAAGGGTTTTATTTAGTGCCTAGATAAGATCTAGGTTAACTAGATCCAAAACAATAAAAATTGTCAGTAAATGCAAGTTTATTTCAATATATACCTATATAACGGTATATACCTTTTGAAAGATACAAGTTAATCACAAGACAACAAGTTTAGTACGTGGGGATTTGTTTTATTCATTCTCGCTTTTCATTTTTGCTTTTTAAATAGAACAGCTTTGATTTTTAGTATATGACATCATCATCATGAATTTTTTTCTCTTACTTTGTATTTAGGCTCCACCTCAGTAGTTTGACAAAGGTAGAATGAGTTCATTTTGAGTCAAAACCATAAAAGTTACTTTGTATAGACATTGGTTAGAATCTGTGACATTTAACCTTTCTTCTGGTAACGTTTCAGGAAGTCTGGTGCATTTTTATCAGAAGAATTATTTCTGTTTGACTTAAGTAGCAATTATTTATTTATATAAAATTCGTATGTAGAAAGTTGTCAGTTTTTACCTAAAGTCACAGTAAATATTTGACTTAATATCTAAAAAGCAATTAATAGAATTTTCAAAATAATTATTTCTAGTTTGGAAGCAGTCCTATTTGATGTATAAAAGATATATCCAATGTAAAGAAAAAAATTTTATAAAGGAGTTGAATTTTTAATATTTACTGATATTTTAATTTGCATGTATTTTAAAGCTCTGTGTATTCTTTCCGTAATCAAAGTTGTTAGCAAATGACAGATGAATACTATTTAAGTAGAAAAACGATCCTCTACAAAGTGATACTCTGGAAAATGTTGCATCTTCTAAATCATACAGCTGATATTACCCTTATCTTTGTTGTCCCCTCTCCTACTGGACATGAAGTTTCAGGTGACCTTCAAGTAGGCTGTTGAGCAGTTGCAGGACTAGTGAATGGAATGCTTCCCCCTTCCCTCCTTTAGAGTCCCATTCTTATGGTTAGAATTTCTCCTACTACACAAACACTTCCCAGTACTCTTTGCTTGTCCCTTAAAAGTGGGTCTTTCTCAAAGCTGGGATTTTAGAGTCCTTTTTGCAGCCTTTCTGACAAGGAACATCTGTTTACTAACAAGCAACCTATCTCTCCAATCCAGTAATCCCATTTCCTGCAAAACCGCATTAAGTGCCTTTCCCCACCCTCCCATGTTCTTAATACCTGGAAAACTTAACTCATTTCTTTACCCTCCAAAATATAAAATCTCTGGTTCATTAACTGGGTCAGTCTTTTTAGAACTTTTTTCTCCCCAAAGAAATATAGTACTGAGGCATTAAAACAGGAGTAACTGGAAGATCAGCTATTTCCCAAGCAGCTTCCATAGCTAAGAGCAGTCTGCAAGTATATGTACCAATTACAAAATGAAAGTTATAATCTACCGGATTTAAAATCGTAATTTCTATTCTGAATTAAATGATTTAATACAGGTTGTTTTCTGTCTTGTTTTAGTAACCCTCCCTCAGTGTAGAATTTGTAATCAACCTTTGTCATAAATACACATGCCAAACTATTGGAAAGTAATTTACCAGACGAATGGATAGGGTAATGTATTAAGAGTGAGACAGCAGTTCTGAGCCCCTGGCTGGAGTCTAGTAGAGGAACTGCCAGAGGATCAATATCAACATAGACTTTTAGATATAATTAAAACCTATTATCTAAGTCAGTATTCAAATTTGTCATGCTTAATCTCTTTGAAGACAAGAAATGCTCTTCTGGTTACTCCCAAAGTACCTGTACACATTCTAGATCTGCACTGTTACATAATTATAAATTGGTATTTGCTAGGTAGATAAAACTTAAGACATTCTGAAACATTTCTATTTGTACTTTTTCAATAAACTTGACTATATCAAGATGGGAACTAAACAGGCTTACTGTGTCTTATAAAAAATACTTTGTTGTCTAAAGTAAATGAGATAGTTCAAAATTAATAAAAACAACTAGAACTGTGCTTTTTTTCTTTAAGGTCTAATGCATGTGCACAATAAACTTGTGGATCCACTATTCAGTATGAAAGATGGAAACTGAAGGAGACTGGAGCAAAATTCAGCTTGAATGAACAGAGCACTTTTTACTAAGTAGTAGATGAATTTTCAGCTATGCAATATGACAAAACATGGGGAATTTTGAAGATTGTCATTTTTTCATTCGAGTCTCTATGTTAAACATTCCATATTTTGAATATTTATATCTTGTACTTGGGTTTAAGAGAAGTAGCTGGCTCTCAAGATTGACTGGCTATTTATTATAAAGTACTGAAGTCACATAGCCACCTATAAAACAGCATAGAAATGTCTGCCTGTTTAAAAAGTCATTTTAAAGGTAGAGTGTCCACATCAGGCACCATTTGTGATATGACTCCAGTGGCGTATATTTCATTTTTTAATGACAAGACACTCCAAACCTTTCAGATAACAAACTATCATTGCAGACCTTCACTTTTGGAATGCAATCTTTATATTTTCTGTGCATCACACACATGCTTTTCTGCACGTGGTTGCCTTAGTCATCTTCCTACAGCACCATCTAGACATCAAAAATTGTGCTATATATCATTGGTAAAGGAAATTTGAAGAGATGACAGTGCCTAAAAGTACAGTTTACATCCTTTTGGAAAGTATGTGTAAGTGCATGTTTTTTGTGCACCTTCTTCTATAGCACTTTTTTACAAATATCTTATTTTTATTTAACGACTTGGGTTCATGTCCCTAATATAAGTATCTTGACAATTATGAGCTTTATACCTAGCAAGCCACTTCAGGAAATTCTTTTGGAGAATATTTTCTGATTATTGTTAAACTTAATATACAATTAGCTTTATTCCTTATAAAATGTCTAAAAGAATAATACGAAGTATATATAAAAGGAATTACTGTAAACTACATTGCCATAGCAATTTACATAAAAGTATATTGTTTTTTATCTTTAACTCAAATAAAGCGTGTAATAAATAAGTTATCTAAATTTCCAGAAGTGAACCTGAAGAATACATGCATTCGACTCCCAACAATTATAGTACATGTGAACCTGCATTCATTTTGGGTTTGTTACCATCATGCATTAGGAGAGTTAGGTTAAAAGATGTCTTTGCCTCTGTGGGGAGCAAAAAAATGCTCCTTTTGCTTATTTTGCATTTCATAAGCCCACCTGGTAGAAGAAGCCTTACTTATCTGCTTGTCTATGTGATTAAAATGTAGTTTCTTAAAATATTAAAATAGCAAATAAATTAATGAAATAAAATTGGTAATAGGGTTTTATGGTTAAAAGTGGGGGATGGGGTAAATTATGCTGCTTTAATTCCAGATGATGTTTTAATAGCCTTATAAATGTTTTTTAAATAACTAGTGAGTAACACTCCACTTACACTTCCAGTAATAAGAATCATTTACTACAAACTATGCTGACTACCTTAGAAAGTCATACAGCATCACAGTGAAAAAGCTAAAGGTACCTGTTGTGCTACATGATTCACCAGTAATTTCTCTGCTTTAAAGGTCTAAAAATTCTCCTTTCCATTTTCCTTCCCTTGATGTTAGGGGCTTAGTTGAGGTTCATGTACTCAAGCTCCTCCACAAGCTGAGGAGCGAAAACTCTGGCCATTTTCATTCCTGCTTTCATTCCCTAAATTGAGGAGCTAAGCTGCTGTTAGGCAAAGAACCTAGCTTTTTCAAGAAACCAACCACTGAATCCCAGCTCTGTCAGGGAAATAAAAAAGTCTCAGCTACTTCCCCAAAATTTTTACATAGATTGAATAAGGGAAGCATACATAGCTCAGCACAGTGGTTGTCACATATTAAAGTCAATAAACGGTGCTATTTTAATATTGATAACAGTGTTTAAACATATTTCAGTGTTTGCTAAAATCTTAGTAATATTAAGTCCTCTGAGGAATGCACTTATAAAGCACACAACTCCAAATCACTAAAGTCATCTGACTGGGAAAGCGGGAAGGGGAAAGAAATTAAGCTTACAGAAAATGCTTTTTTGTACTACAACTAAAACTATAACTAAAACTACTTTTTTGTACTACTATAACTAAAGAGTCATAGGTTAAAAAAAGGTAAAATTAGTCTGAATAAAAAAGACTAAGACTGGTAAATTATTAAATAGCAAGCACATAGTACATATTACGTTCCAAGAACCAATTTGTAACTTATCCTTTGGCAGTGATAGAACAGAACACTTTTACAATTTTTTAATTTCAAATACTGTCATTTTCAAAATACTACTGTCATGGTCTTTCAGATTTCATCTGTTTTTATCAGAACCTGGAAGAGGGAGGGAAGATACATAAGATGATAATGTATGTATCTAGGACTATATCACAGGCTACTTCTACACATGATTTTAAGTAAATCTCCACTTAATTTATAATTAAAATGATTTCACAATAACTGTAAGCTCAAAATATCTGAGACAGCTCTCAAGTCAGTTTAGAAAGTTTATTTTCCCAGGGTTAAGGTGTGCCCATGACACAGCCTCAGGAGGTCCTCACCACATGTGCCCAAGGTGGTTGGGGCACAGCTTGGTTTTACACATTTTAGAGAGACATGAGACATCAATCAGTATGTGTAAGGTGTACATTGGTCTTGAAAGGCAGGACAACTTGAAGAGGGGCGGGGGCTTCAAGCATAGGCAGGTAAGAGAGAAAGGGTTGCATTTTTTTGAGTTTCTGATTAGCCTTTCACTGAATATACAATTTACATGTGAGAGGAGAGTAGAGGAATAGTCAGTTATACCTTAATCTGGCTTAGTGAAACATGAAACAGAGAAAGCAATCATTTATGCATTTGTTTCATGTGAAGACTTTGAGTTCTTTGTCCATAAGGAATTCCCTTGTGAGCAAATTTTATCTTTGTGGCTGTCTTATTTAGGAATAAAATGGGAGGCAGGTTTGCCTCAATCAGTTCCCAGCTTGACTTCCCTTTGGCTTAGTGGTTTTGAGATTTTTCTTTCATATAACCTTAGTATAAAATTCATCCTTGATAGTGTTTATCCCTAAAAGACATTTTCTTCATTCAATTCATTCAAGGTAGAAGATAAAAATCAATGGCTAAATGATGTTGTCTTGCTCTAATACAGTCTGCAGTCTGGTTTGTTCGTTGGCTGAATAAACATGGGAGCTGAGAGCTCTGGAGAAATACAGCCATTTACTGGCTGTGAAATCTCAAGTTAACTACTCTAAAATCGCTTCGATTATGAAATTTAGACAATAATTATTAAAATGTCATTATGAGTTCCTGGTAATACCAAACACCTGTCATTTTACACAAATGCGTTTTGAATGTCTGAAAGACAGCTCCTGCCCTTAATTTAGATGTAAACCATTTAGTTTCAAACTAACCACCTGATAAAATCTATAAACATTTTATCATTAACTAGAGCAGATGTCTGTTATTTGATGTCTATGTTATTTGAGTTTACTGTTTAATAAGTGAATTCATATCAATTAATCCTGCTAACAAATTTGACACTTAAGGTGATTCTGAAAATCCTTTAAACTTAAAGTAGATGGAATCTTAAGTATGGGGCCTTTTAGTGTCCGTAAAGAAAAACTGCATGCAACAAAATATAGCAGGTCCTCACTTGTTGAGATTCATGGAAATTGTGACTTTAAATGAAATGACATGGCTGGGCATGGTGGCTCACACCTGTAATCAGCACTTTGGGAGGCCACGGTGGGTGGATCACGAGGTCAGGAGTTCAAGACCAGCCTGGCCAACATGGTGAAACCCCGACTCTACTAAAGATACAAAAAATTAGCCGAGCATGGTGGTGCACGCCTGTAATGGAGGCTGAGGCAGGAGAATCTCTTGAACCCAGGAGGCAGAGGTTGCAGTGAGTCGAGATTGTGCCATTGCACTCCAGCCTGGGCGACAGGGCAAGACTCTGTCTCAAAAAATAAATAAAAATAAAATGAAATGACGCATAAACCAATTTTTTTTCCTCATCGATGTTACAAACCACTTAAGGAAATGACATCATTCAAGAACATTGTGCTACGTGTCATTTTGCTTAAAGTCAGTTTCTAAGAACCTTTCGATGGCATTTAAGGACTTAACTGTAGTTACAATTGAGTGCTTACTATGTGTCTTGCACCTCTGAATATTTAACGTATTACCTCATTTAATCTTCACAACAACAACTTATGTAGGTAGTAGTATAATCTCGATTTTACTGAAGAGGAAACAAAGGTTAATCTGGCCACGGTCACCTTACTAGTGAGTGGTTGGAACAGATATTTGAGAACAGGCAACATGGCTTCAAAATCTAAGCTCTTGCCTACCCACTAACTACTCCCTTTCAACGAAAGACTAGTAGGTTATTTGAACCTGAATACCCTGAAAGTAACAAGCAAATTTTATAATTTTCTTTCTGTTGTCAGCATATTACAAATTGCAATGAAAATTCTTTGTTTTCCCACCAATTATTTAGAAGATTGTGTTTTCAGAACTTTTATAAAAGCATCTTTTGGAACTTCAACGTTGCCAATTTTCCTCAGCTTTTTTTTCCCTTCTGCTTGTCTCTTCAAAAGCTTCATTTTTCGGGTAATATCACCACCATACTGAAAAATATTTTAAAACATTGGAAGTCTAAGTCACTCTAAAGAGAAACAATCATATGATTACAGCGGCATCAGTACAACCTTAACAACCATACCAAATTATTATCCATAAGGCAGACATCTCTCTAATCTTCCTAGCAGATCTAATTTTACTGTCTTCTCAAAGAATGATACAGGATTTAATCTGGATGGAGGTGAAGATTCCCAAGGAAACCTAGTATAATAATATGCATGTCAAGGAAGAATTATCAATCTCCTTACTGATTCTAGGCTTGGAATTTTGACTAGAAAGCCACAGTCTAATATAGGTAACTCTTAATCACATAGGAATAAATGTGCCTTTGGAGAAAGAATTGATCATTCAACTCTCACGATATTTAAGAATAATTTTTCTTTTTTTGAGATAGAGTTTCCCTCTCACCCAGGCTGGAGTACAATGGCAGGATCTCTGCTCACTGTAACCTCCGCCTCCTGAGCTCAAGCAATTCTCATGCTGCACCCTCCCGAGTAACTGAGATCACAGGCATGCACCACCACGCCTGGCTAATTTTTGTATTTTCAGTAAAGCTGCGGTTTCACCATGTTGGCCAGGCTGGTCTCGGAACTCCTAGCCTCAAGTGATCTGCCCATCTTGGCCTCCCAAGGTGCTGGGATTACAGTTGTGAGCCACCGAGCTGGTGCAAGAATAATTTTTTAACAGCTGAATAACAGCAAACTGGCAAAACAATGTCAGGAGAGGTAGACTTCAACTGTAAGATAAAGCCATTGTTTTCAAAATCTTTCATTATATGTTAGATCAAGAAAACATGTTACCCAGATCATAGAAATAACTGTTGTAAAAATCTTCCTTAGTATTACATATAAGAACAATTTTAATAAATATTTTTGTAAATTTTTATAAATAAGATGAAAAAATACTTAAAAGATATGGGCAAAATGAACAGGTTGCCATGGTCAAGCTGAAATTTACCTATTCAAAAAGGGAACTTGGAAACAAAGAATGTATAAAAACCAACAATGGAAATCAATAAGTTTATGCCCCCTTTGATTTAAAGCCCATAAAAGTTATAAAGTAGAATAAATACAACTAGATACATACACATTTTGCCAAAACGTTTTTCCTATAGGCTTTCACACTGTAAAAGAGAAAAATTCGTTTAAGTACATAATTCCATTATACTGTTTAAAAGCACTTCCTTACCAAAAACAATCTCCCCTTTACTAGAAAATTTTAATGATAGTATCATTACCTATGTAAAATTGCCATAAGCATATTAATTAGATACTTCAAATGCTCTTGTATTTATTTTCATGTACTTGGTATAAAAGAACAAATAAATTCAACATGTTTATCAACACACATTAAGAAAAAATGGTCAAGGCTTGTGGTAGGCTTGATTAGGCCAAATTCAAGCATGATGTGACCTTGATTACAAGAAATACATTAGGTTATTTTTTACTCAATCTAAAAATTACCAATCTAAAAATTAACACTACTACTTCAGAAAAACAAAATATGTTTATTATCTTATTACTGCCTCTACTGAATGTGGATGGAGTGGCTAGGAAGCTTGATATATCCACCCCAGCAGTTATAAACTAATCTATTTCTACAATGTTTGAGAAATTTCTAGATCACTCTAATTTTGAAAATAGCTCCATCTTTATGTATTCCTTAAGACAGAAAAACCAATTTTTTAAGGTATTATCTCAACACACTTATTTTAGAATGAGCAATTGCTAACTGTCTTAAATTGCACTTTCCAGGATGTTCCCTAGTTATCATTTCTACTCTGCCTGATCTCAGTATTTACAAAACACAGAATAACTAACCAAAGCAAAACAGTGTTAGGAAATGAAATGTATTTCAAACAGTGGGCCTAAAATTAACCTCAAGTCTATATTAACATGATGGTTGTATTTCCTCATTAGGTTTGGGTTAAGGTCGAATTTAATAGCAATTTCCAGCTTTTCATAACTGAGGAGATACTTCCTATTTCCTAGAAGTCTTAGGATCATTAAGGAAAGGAAATGGGAAGTGCTACAAGACACATCCTGCACCTGCTGTCACAAGCAGAGCAGCTTATTCAGTGTTCTTCATTGTTATTTTTGGGTTTTTGTTAAAAAACTGGGTCTTACTATGTTTCCCAGACTAGTCTCACAGCAATACTCCTGCCCCAGCCTCCCAAGTAGTTGGGATCACAGAATGTGAGCCACCACACCCAGCCAGTGTTCTGATTTATGTATTACATTTCATGAAAGACTAGTGTCCGACACAAATTAGCCTGTCTTCCATATCTACTATAATTCATGTGAGGTCCCTAATCTAGAATGCAAATCCTAACATGGTATTGGCATTCCTTGATTTATAACCTCCCTAGCTCTGCGGAAGTGGGGAAGCAATATTAAATGCTTTGGGTTAAAAAAAAATTGTAATTTTGTCATTTGGAAGACAAAACCTTTTAGTTTCAGTTTCTATTAATCTATAATCTACCTAAAGGGATAAAACCATAAAAGAAATTCCTTACCCAGGAAATTCAGTATAGACATTGATATGAGTGGAAATTAAAACAGTTCCTCAAACTCGTATACGTTATACTAACTGCAGATCACATCACCCAGTGCTGTTATATAAGTAATTCAAAGTAACAGTCATTACTTAAATCAGAAAACTGGAGAGCACCATCATACTGTTTCTACAAGTAAGAAAGCTTAGGCCAATGTTAAATTAAAATGTTCAATATTCTTTCACTTTTTAGGTATATCATTTCTGAAACTGGCTCAAGACCAAAAATGAATTTCAACTCACGTTTCTCTTGCAATGATTTTACTTCCAATAGCAGCTTGAATTGCTATCTCAAACAGTTGCCTAGGAAGAGAATCCTTCAGCCGTTCACATATGGCTTTGCCAATTGAATGAGCTTTGTCTCTGAGACAGAAAAATACAACTGTTTATATATCCTAAATAAGAATATTTCAAGT